>NC_000014.9:49611713-49914743 GCF_000001405.40 Homo sapiens
GGAGTTTGAGACCAGCAGGGCTAATATGGTGAAACCCTGTCTCCACTAAAAATACAAAAATTAACAGGGTGTCGTGGCGGGCACCTGTAGTCTCAGCTACTGGGGAGGCTGAGGCAGGATATATTGCTTGAACCCGGGAGGTTGAGGTTGTAGTGAGCTGAGATTGTAGCACCACACTACAGCCTGGGCTGCAGAGTGAGACTGCGTCTCAAAAAAAAAAAAAAAAGAAAAGAAAGAAATTGTACATTGTATTTATTCAAATTTGAAAATTATGTCCAAATGAGAAATGTTATAGTTTTGATTTGAAAAGATTATAACAAGTTTGGCTAAATGATCAGGTGAAAACATGCTGAAGTCCAACATGAAAAAGTACAAAGTTGGAAGGAAAAAAATAGATGATCAAAATGTGATATAATTGGCAAGGCACAATTTGGCAGAATAGTAATTTATTAGTGCTGAATGATTTCGCGTTATAGCATTTATGTTGCTTTTTAAATCTTACCACTATTAATATAGCTTTCTTGTAAGATGACTGAACCTTTGTTGAAGTATAATGTTGCGTGTTTTAAGCTCCCTTGTTTTAAAAAGTATATAGATTTAAAGCTGTGACACCAAAACCTATTATCTAGCTGTTGATAAATGGCTCTAACTACTGGTTACAAGCATACAGTTATGATCTATTAGGAAAATATGTGGGAATTTAAGTTATGTCAGATAGAAAATACAGTTTTTAACTGTTGTCTGTTTCCTCAATCTAGAACCATCTATCCGAAAGAGATTAATGTAAACATGTGGGAGACACTCCCTGGCAGAGTTTTTTAAAAAATGGTTACTTAAGCAACAGATTAATAAGTCTTTTTATGAAAAATTTAAAAATTGCAAATAGGGCCATCCTAGATCCCGTACCAAAGGTAACCGCTGTTTTTTTATTTGAAATGTGTATCTTTTCAGACTTTTCTGACAGGGTTTTAAACTCTCATTTTAAGTTGTAAGACTAGGCTTGTTTATTTGTTGAAAAATATCTGAGCACCTATTATGTGCCAGCCTAAGCTAGAGACTAGAGAAACAACAAAGAACAAGACACCGTGTGGGAGGCAAAGTGGCTGGAGCATGGTTGTGTTTAGCGGGGAGGTTTGGGCAGTGGGCAGGCAATCTCAAGACTGTGTTTTAGTGTCTTGTAGATGATTTAAAAACTTGACCTCAAGGCCCAGCGCAGTGGCTCTTGCCTGTAATCTCAGCACTTTGGGAGGCCGAGGTGGGCGGATCACTTGAGGTCAGGAGTTCAAGACCAGCCTGGCCAACATGGTTAACCCCCGTCTCTACTAAAAATGCGAAAATTAGCCAGGCCAGGCGTGGTGGCTCAAGCCTGTAATCCCAGCACTTTGGGAGGCCAAGGCGGACAGATCACAAGGTCAGGAGATCGAGACCATCCTGGCTAACATGGTGAAACCCTGCCTCTACTAAAAATACAAAAAATTAGCCAGGCGTGGTGGCGGGCACCTATAGTCCCAGCTACTCGGGAGGCTGAGGCAGGAGAATGGCATGAACCCGGGAGGCGGAGCTTGCAGTGAGCCGAGATTGTGCCACTGCGCTCCAGCCTGGGAGACAGAGCGAGACTCCATCTCAAAAAAAAAAAAAAAAATTAGCCGGGAATGTTGGCGTGTGCCTGTAATCCCAGCTACTCGGGAGGCTGAGGCAGGAGAATAGCTTGAACCCTGGAGGTGGAGGTTGCAATGAGCTGAGATTGCACCACTGCACTCCAGTCTGGGCAACAGAGTGAGACTCCATCTCAAAAAAAAAAAAAAAGTTTAGGCCAGGTGCGGTGGCTCACACCTTTAATCCTAGCACTTTTGGAGGCTGAGGCAGGCAGATCACATGACGTCAGGAGTTCGAGACCAGCCTGGCCAACATGGTGAAACCTCGTCTCTACTAAAAATACAATGCAAAAAAAAATTATCTGGGCGTGGTGGTAGGCGCCTGTAATCCCAGCTACTTGGGAGGCTGAGGCAGAAGAATTGCTTGAACCCAGGAGGCAGAGATTGCAGTGAGAGCGCGCACCACTGCACTCTAGCCTGGGTGTCAAAGCGAGACTCTGTCTCAAAAAGTAAAAATCAAAAGTTTGACTTGGGCACCACTGAAGGGTTTTAAGTGTGAGAGTGAAATGCCTTAAGCAAGGTAAGGTTAGCCTTACTTGCCCAGCCACTAAAGTAAAACTCATGTCCCAAGTGACATGTATTTTAAATTTGTCTTAGAGAGTTTAAGTTTCCCTTTTGAACAATTGATCCCTGGAAGAGCCTATTTAAAGGACAGGTGACTTTTTCATTCCATTTAGGGAGTTATGCTATTAAGTGGTTGTGCTGGAAGATATTTTATGGTGTGGTATCTGAAGTTTACAATATGTCATATATTGTTTTTTAGTATATTTTAAATATACTAATCGCTTAATAATTTTACTTTTCATTGTTAAAATTCCATGTCCTAATAATTCATGTCCTGAATCTAGTAACATGTTATAAAATATTTTTATCATTCTTTCCAATAGGATTCCATATGGCTCTCATATCATTCCATTCCATCTCTGCCAAGATTTGGATACCGCAAAAATTTGTGTTTGTGGAAGATTCTGTCTGAACTCTTTCATTCAAGGAACTACTACCATGAATCTGCATTCTGTTGCCCACACTGTGGTCTTAGTAGATAATTTGGGTGGTACTGAAGCACCTATTATCTCTTATTTCTGTTCTCTAGGCTGTTATGTTAATTCCTCTGATATGTTAAAGTAATGGGTGAGACCAGAAAAAGAAATTTCAATAACAGATCAGTTTGGGGTGCATGTATGATTTTGCAGCGTCAAATTGGAGTAAGGGAAGATTTCTGTATACTTGCTGGAGAGGAGGAATGTGTATAGTTACTCATTTAGATGACTCCAAAACTTTTATTAAAACCAATTTTAGTTTTACTGTGGTGTTAACTTTTTTTTAATTTATTACACTTGTGTTTATTTCACCCTAAAGTTTCCAACATGGGTTGTGGAGATATCTTTTAATGTTAAACAGATATTGATCCCAGTTAAACACATCTGAGTTTCTGTATGCAGAAAATATCTCTTGGAGGACTAATATGTCCTAAATTATAGTGAAAACTTGTTTATTATGAAATTATATGTAAGTTTTTAAGCATACCACTTTTTGTGTTTTTCAGATACATTATTCTACATGTGGAATTTACATTTACCAAGCAAAAAGTAGGAATTGTTTCAGGAAAGACTTTAGCTTTTATAATTTTTAAAAATGTTCCCATAGTAGTTGTTGTGGTTTCTTTTTTTGTTTTTGTTTTTCTAAGATGGAGTCTCTGTCTCCCAGGCTGGAGTGTAGTGGCGCAATCTCGGCTCACTGCAACCTCCACCTCAGCCTCCTGAGTAGCTGGGGTTGCAGGCGCACGCCACCATACCCAGCTAATTTTTTGTATTTTTTGTATTTTTCAGCTAACTTTTTGTATTTTTCACGGTGTTTCACCATGTTGGCCAGGCTGGTCTTGAACTCCTGACCTCAAATGATCTACCCATCTGGGCATCCCAGAGTGCTGGGATTACAGGCTTGAGTCACCGTGCCTTGGGATTGGGTGGGATGGGAAAGGGAACAGAAAATTGCTACTTTTTTTTTTTTTTTTTTTAGACAGAGTCTTACTCTGTCACCCAGACTGGAGTGCAACGGCATGGTCTTGGCTCACTGCAACCTCCACCTCCCAGGTTCAAGCGATTCTCCTGCCTCAGCCTCCCAAGTAGCTGGGACTATAGGTGTGTGCCACCACACCCGGCTAATTTTTATGTATTTTTAGTAGAGACAGGGTTTCACTATGATGGCCAGGCTGGTCTCGAACTCCTGACTTCATTATACGCCCACCTTGGCCTCCCAAAGTGCTGGGATTACAGGAGTGAGCCACCATGCCCGGCCAAAAATTGCTACTTTTTGCTGATTACATTTTGTATTATTAGGGTGGGTTTTTAAATTATTTTTGTCACATAATATGACAAAAATGTTTATTATTTTGTCATATTAAATGACAAAATGTTTAATGTTTTTGATTTTAAAAGTAGTGGCAATACACCAGCTAAATGGTGATTTGGGCCCAGTGCAGTGGCTCATGCCTGTAATCCCAGCACTTCAGGAGGTCGAGGCGGGCATATTGCTCAAGCCCAGGAATTCAAGACCAGCCTGGGCACGAAGACAAAATCCTATCTCTACAAAAAATGCAAAACTTAACTGAGCATTGTGGTGTACGCCTGTAGTCCTGGCTACTCTGGAGGCTGAAGTGGGAGGATTACTTGAGCATGGGAGATTACAGTGAGCCAAGATCATGCCACTGCACTCAATCCTGGGTGACAGATGGAGACCGTCTCAAAAAAAGATGACGTGAACTAGGGCATAAGGAATGGAAAAATAACCAACTTGAAAGACTCATGGAAAATAGAACCAGTATTAACTTTTTCATTCTGTTCATTCCCACCGACCTACCTCAAGTCAGCCTCTCCACCAGAACATTGCAATAATCCCAGCCTCGTTTTTGTGAACAAAGGAAAGAATAAAAGTTACTGGAGAAAAGCCCTCTCCAGTGTTAATGTAATTGCTGTTTTGGGCTTGTTAGCAGGGTCTCTGTAAGATTATTTCTTACAAAATAATTACCTTACCGCGTTTGTCTTCCTAAAATGTTTATTTGGGGCATTTTTTTTTTCTTTTTTGAAAGTTCAGATACTCCTGAGTAGATGCAGTTTTTTTTGTTTTTTGAGATGGAGTCTTGCTCTGTCACCCAGGCTGGTGTGCAATGGCGTGGTCTTGGCTCACTGCAACCTCCGCTCTGCCTCCCAAATTCAAGTGATTCTCCTGCGTCAGCCTCCCGAGTAGCTGGGATTATAGGCATGTGTCACCACACCCGGCTAATTTTTGTATTTTTAGTAGAGACAGGGTTTCACTATGTTGACCAGGCCGGTCTCAAAACTCCTGACCTCATGATCCGCCCTCCTCGGCCTTCCAAAGTGCTGAGATTACAGGCAATGAGCCACCACGCCTGGCCATCTAATTTTTGTATAGTAGAGACAGTGTTTCACCATGTTGGTCAGGCTGATTTTGAACTCCTGACCTCAAGTGATCCGCCCACCTCGGCCTCACAAACTGCTGGGATTACAGGCATGACCCACTGCACTCAGCCGTTCCAGGTGTTTTATAAGCAGCATTTAATCTTTAAAAATCACCCTACGAGAGAAGTACCATGAACCCAAATCAGATTTTAAGCCCAGGCTACTGTATTCTAGTTAATTTACTTTTGGTCTTTAAAACCAAGAATTCCCTAAGTATTTTAGGATTTTCTAAACTTGTAGGTTGGTGAGGGATTGTCCATAAATATTACAAAATAGCTGAATTAAAACATTCTTTAAAAAGTGATGGTAGGCCAGGTGAGGTGGCTCATGCCTGTAATCCCAACACTTTAGGCTGAAATGGGTAGATAACCTTTGAGCCCAGGAATTTGAGACCAGCCTGAGGAACAAGGCAAAACTCCGTCTCTATAAAAAATACAAAAATTAGCCAAGCATAGTGCTGCATGCCTGTAGTCCTAGCTACAGCTACTAGGAAGGCTGAGGTGAGAGGATAGCTTGAGCCTAGGAGGCCAAAGCTGCAGTGAGCTGTGAGTATGCCACTGCACTCCAGCCTGGGCAACAGAGCGAGACCCGTCTCCAAAAAAAGGAAAAAGTGATGGTGATGTATTTAAAAATAAACTCGTATACATGATTTTTACATTTTTTTTTACAATCAAATGCAGCTATAATAGTCAGTTATTGGGATTATGTGCAAACCATCTGTTACTCCTACACACCCTAGCCCTTTGCATTCCTCTAACTACTGTCATTCCCATGTATCTTAGTCAACTTAAATTCATATACAAAAGGCAGAATTTGACCTCTTATAACCCCTACCTTTTCCCAGTTTTTCACTTGATACTGAACTTTTCTTGCCTTTCATAATTACAAGGCTCAACTTTTTTCATTGTGAATTTCAACCTTCTTGTTTTCAGTCATAACTCCTAAACCTTCCTAACTGTCAAGTTCTGGCCAAGCACAGTAGCACACTGTAATCCCAACCCTTTGGGAGGCTGAGATGGGAGAATTGCTTGAGCCCAGGAGTTGAGACCAGCCTAGGCTCAAGAATTGCTTGAGCCCAGGAGTGAGACCCCATCTTTAAAAAAAAAAAAAAAGAAATAAAATTAGCCAGGCAAATTCGCCAGGCATGGTGGTACCCAACTACTCCAAGGCTAAGGCAGGACCTACAGAGCTACAGAGCCTGAGAGGCCACAGTAAGCCATGAATGTGCCACTGCACTCCAGTGCGGGTTACAGTGACAGATTGTCTCAAAAAAAAATTTTTTTTTGAGTACCTCCCAGAGTGTTCTAAGAGGTTCAAAAAACAGTTTATGCTATCTTGGACTTTCACTAGATTGAGAACTTTAGTGTGAAGTCAATTTTGAACTATCCTTTTATATTCAAGGCCACAGTCTCTAACAGTACTGTCCAAAAGAACTTTCTGCGGTGGAAATGTTTTACATCTGTGTTGTCCAATAAACTAGCCACACGTGGCTGTTGAGTACTAAATCTGACTAGTGTAACAGGAAACACATTACCTGGCTAGCGGCCCCTACTAGACAGAATATTTGGTCAGCTCTTACTATCCCCCAACTTCCATCCTTTGCCCAACCCAGCCTGCTATACACAAGCCTAGCGTTATCTTGTTCCTTCTCTTGCAAAATCTTAAAGATCCTTCTAAGCTGCTCAATGTTTATGAATTCATTCAACATTTGAAATTGACCAGAAAACAAAAAGTAGTAAAGTAGTATTTTCCCTTCATACATATATAAACTTGTTAGTAAAGTTTGAGGTGGGACTACACTAAACATGGAATTCTATTTATAAGTAAAAACCACAAAAAGTTTGCGTAAGAATATCACTGTATTTATTTTCCCTCGGGTAACTTTTCTATGGCTTCACCATTTTCTCTTCAAAATTGAAGAAAAATATCCCAAAGTTTAGAACTGGATCACTTGGCCCTTTCTCTTCTTATCTCCTCCCAGTTCAAAATGCTTGCATCTCTTAATGGCCAGCATCCTCTTGGATCTGCAGTTAGGCTCAACACATTCCAGCCTTAGCACAATCTTCTTTGTGGTCTTAGCCTTCTTCCGGAAAATTGGCTTTGTCTGCCCACCATAGCCACTCTGCTTCCGATCATAGCGCCTCCTTCCCTGGGCATACAAAGAATCCTTGCCCTTCTTATACTGTGTCACTTTGTGAGGCTGATGCTTGCCACACTTCTTACAGAAGGTTCTTCGGGTTTTAGGTACGTTGACCATCTTTGCAGCAGGGCTGTTTTGTCTATATGATGAAAACTGTAGTAAAATATTTAAAATAAGATAGCAGACGTTAAACATTCCGAAAAGTGAAAGTGCTATACAAGTATATACAGGAAAACCGTACACATAAATGAGTAATATATAAATCCACCACGTACTCTTTTTCCATATGAATAAACGCACATACAAGTACATACCTTTTTGAAACACTTCGTTTAAATTACTGGAGGACTAATTTGTCGACCTAAAGAACTGAGGCAAGGCCGAGCACGGTGGCTCATGCTTGTAATCCCAGCACTTTGGGAGGCCGAGAAGGGCGGATCACCTGAGGTCCGGAGTTCGAGACCAGCCTGACCAACATGGAGAAACCCCGTCTCTACTAAAAATACAAAATTAGCCTGGCGTGGTGGTGGTGCATACCTGTAAGGAGAATCGCTTGGGCGGGGTGGGGAGGGGCGGAGGTTGCCGTGAGCCGAGATCGCACCATTGCACTCCAGCCTGGGCAACAACAGCGGAATTACGTCTCAAAAAAAAAAAAGAACTGAGGCACAATTCATATAAGTAGAATGTTTATTTGGGGCAAGTTTGAGGATTGCAACCCAGAGCACAGATTCAAAATGCCCTGAGTAGCAGCAGTTGCAAGTGGGTTTTTAGAGGAAAAAATGGCAGTTCCTAAATTGTCTACCAAGAATTTACATTAAAATAACACAAGCGATTGATTGGCTATACATCATTCTTTTCATGACAAATTCCAGGAACGCGGACATAATGGGTGAAGCAGCTAGTCAGGAATAAAATGCCAGGCATTAAGTGGGGAGGTGTCTGAAGTCCCATACTGCTGTCTCTCTGGGCCCGGCAAATTTTGCACATCTCAAATAATTAACAATGCTCCGAGCCATTCTTCTTTTCTCATATAGAACAAGACTCACGAAAACCGACAGCAGCAGCTTTAGGAGGCCCAATACAGTCCGTTTTCCGTACGAAATGAGTTTAATTTATTGTGACTGCTCCAAAAGAAAAGTGCGGTTCATCTAATTTTCTTCCGAAAAGGAAGTTAAGGACCAGAGTTTCTTTGACCCCCTTCCCCCCACCCACCTCCTCCATTTTCCAGCTCTAGAGAATGGCTGGGGCAGCGCGCGACGTTGTAGCTACGGTTACGACCCGCCCCGTTCCTTCTACGAGAACCACATCAGCGTAGTATCACTTTTCCCCTCCGAAGCACAGTCACCCGTCAGCAGCCTCGAGGGCTGACGTGTCCTTATCAAGCCGGCGCGCCCCGCGATTCTATAGCCGCCATGCCTGAGACCTTTTTCCTGAAGGGAGAAGCCTGCTCTCGAACTAAGGCCGGCGAGGGCCATAGGTCTCGCCTTCCCTTTCCTAAGAAGGCCTAGTCCTACCCAGGATTCTGAGCAAGGGAGGCTCCTATTGGAGCCGCTACAGCCTCGTTCTTAGCTTACCGAGAAACAGCGCCCGACACCTGGCCCTTCGCAGCTCTCGCCTTTCGCAGCTCTCGCCTAACAGGAAAGGGAAGAAACAGGCGGAAGTGGGAACTGCACCTGAGCGACAGTACTGCAAACCAATAGGCAGCCGGCCACGGCGGTCAGGCGCCTTCGGTCGCGTCTGGAAAGCACCAACCAACGGTCTAAGGGGCGGGCCGGAGGGGTGTGGGCCGGAGGGCCGCGGTGTGCCGCGGGGCAGTTGCGGGTTGTCATAACGGTCCCCGCCGGAGTGAGGCGAGGCCGCGTCGCTCAGTTCTGGCCGTCTAGGGCCCCTGTAAGGATGAGAGCGCAGAGGACGCAGGGCCGCTGGAGGCGCAGGTAACGAAGCTAGGGTGCGGTTGGGACCGCGGCTGAGCTTTTTCCGGGACCCGTGGTGCTGAATGGAGAGGACGGAGACGAAGCCGAGCCGCGGCTCCTAGCGGCGGCGCCGATGCTCGAGCTGTAGCTGCCAGGCGAGGATGTGTGGAGCGCAGGCGGCGCGGGGTAAATGAGAGGTCTCGGGCCCCAGGACCCCCGGGGCCCGGGATGAGTTAGCGAGGGCAGCCGCGGGGGCCAGTTCCGACCGTGACAGGCCAAGGCGACGGCCGCCGCCCGCCCGCCCCTTCCGTGCAGAAGCAGCTGCTCCTTTCCGCGCCCGCCCGCCTGCGCTCCCGGCCCTGGAGACCATGAGGTTCCGCATCTACAAACGGAAGGTGCTAATCCTGACGCTCGTGGTGGCCGCCTGCGGCTTCGTCCTCTGGAGCAGCAATGGGCGACAAAGGAAGAACGAGGCCCTCGCCCCACCGTTGCTGGACGCCGAACCCGCGCGGGGTGCCGGCGGCCGCGGTGGGGACCACCCCTCTGTGGCTGTGGGCATCCGCAGGGTCTCCAACGTGTCGGCGGCTTCCCTGGTCCCGGCGGTCCCCCAGCCCGAGGCGGACAACCTGACGCTGCGGTACCGGTCCCTGGTGTACCAGCTGAACTTTGATCAGACCCTGAGGAATGTAGATAAGGCTGGCACCTGGGCCCCCCGGGAGCTGGTGCTGGTGGTCCAGGTGCATAACCGGCCCGAATACCTCAGACTGCTGCTGGACTCACTTCGAAAAGCCCAGGGAATTGACAACGTCCTCGTCATCTTTAGCCATGACTTCTGGTCGACCGAGATCAATCAGCTGATCGCCGGGGTGAATTTCTGTCCGGTTCTGCAGGTGTTCTTTCCTTTCAGCATTCAGTTGTACCCTAACGAGTTTCCAGGTAGTGACCCTAGAGATTGTCCCAGAGACCTGCCGAAGAATGCCGCTTTGAAATTGGGGTGCATCAATGCTGAGTATCCCGACTCCTTCGGCCATTATAGAGAGGCCAAATTCTCCCAGACCAAACATCACTGGTGGTGGAAGCTGCATTTTGTGTGGGAAAGAGTGAAAATTCTTCGAGATTATGCTGGCCTTATACTTTTCCTAGAAGAGGATCACTACTTAGCCCCAGACTTTTACCATGTCTTCAAAAAGATGTGGAAACTGAAGCAGCAAGAGTGCCCTGAATGTGATGTTCTCTCCCTGGGGACCTATAGTGCCAGTCGCAGTTTCTATGGCATGGCTGACAAGGTAGATGTGAAAACTTGGAAATCCACAGAGCACAATATGGGTCTAGCCTTGACCCGGAATGCCTATCAGAAGCTGATCGAGTGCACAGACACTTTCTGTACTTATGATGATTATAACTGGGACTGGACTCTTCAATACTTGACTGTATCTTGTCTTCCAAAATTCTGGAAAGTGCTGGTTCCTCAAATTCCTAGGATCTTTCATGCTGGAGACTGTGGTATGCATCACAAGAAAACCTGTAGACCATCCACTCAGAGTGCCCAAATTGAGTCACTCTTAAATAATAACAAACAATACATGTTTCCAGAAACTCTAACTATCAGTGAAAAGTTTACTGTGGTAGCCATTTCCCCACCTAGAAAAAATGGAGGGTGGGGAGATATTAGGGACCATGAACTCTGTAAAAGTTATAGAAGACTGCAGTGAAAATCACAGTTACAAAAGCGACAGTCTTCTATTTTTGATATTTGTCCAAACAGGACATACAATTGAATAAAAGAGTTTAGGAACTGGTTTCTGCTTTAATACAAAAACAAAATCTTGTAAAAGGTGTCCAAATACATAGTAATCTTTTCCAGTTATGTCTGATTAAGATTTAAAACTGAAGGTTTCATTTTGGGAGTAGGGTTTTAAAGCTCAATCTGTTATCTGCTAAAATTGATTATTGTTGATATGAGAGAAGAGGGGAAATTTTATTTAAATTGCATTTATTAATCTTTTTATCTGAAACTTTGTACACTTTTCCACTTTCAAAACCTATTTTAAGTACAGCAAAATTTATTTAAAACTGTCATAGCAGTAAAAAGTATTACGATGAAATTGTTAGGGTATTAATGGAACAAACCCAGTTTCACTCTCTTGACACACTTATTAGGAAGGGATTGCTTCACTGGTTTAATAATTTAAAAGTTATGTTTGTTAAACACCCTGTCAGAACAGTCATTTTCAGTATTAGATTCCTGTACTATTGTGTTTTGAGTGTGTTTTGGAACCTTCATAGAACACACTTTCTTTTGGAATGTATTTGATTGATAAGAAAGTTTAAACATTGTTTTCACCTCAATGTAGAAATACAGTGGTTTTGTTTTTTTTTTTCTTTTAGTGCTGACAAAATAAAATACTCATTTTTGCATAAAAAGGTTCCTAATCCTTTTGCAGAATAAGTTTTGTTTACTCTTTATACCAAAATTCAGTGAAGGCATTCTACAAGTTTTGAGTTAGCATTACATTTTAATATTTACTATTGCTACATTGTATAATTGAGTTTGAAATAAAACCCAGCTTATGACAATGCATTCCCTGTGCAAGAAACTGTTTGGCTTTCAAATTACCCAGGCATTGAAAATGAATGATAAAAAGTTGCTGTGTAAGGGAAATACAGCCTAAATTGTTTTTGAAAGCCAGAAATGATACAAAGTTCAGTCATGCCAAAGTGAAATACTTTCTAGTGCCAGCTTTAACTTAAATCATACGTTTTAAAAGGACAGATACAGAAAATTATAGGAAACAGGCTTAAATTTTGCTCCATATTTAATGTAGACGTTTATAGAAGTTTCCCTTAATTTGTAATTGCATTCAACCGAGAATTTCTCATAAAAGACTAATTTCTGTGTAAAGATATTACGGGCTGGGTGTGGTGGCTCATGTCTGTAATCCCAGCACTCTGGGAGGTTGAGGCAGGCAGATTGCTTGAACTCAAGAGTTTGAGACCAGCCTGGGCAACATGGCGAAAACCCATCTCTACTAAAAATACAAAAAATTAGCCGGGTGTAGTGGTGCATCTGTAGTCCCAGCTACTTGAGAGGCTGAGGTGGGAGGATCCTTTGAGTCTCGAGGCAGAGGTTGCAGTGAGCCTAGAGCGTGCCACTGCACGCCAGCCTGAGCAACAGAGCAAGGCTCCATCTAAAGAAAAAAAAAAAAAGTTACTTAAACTTGTAACTATTAAATGGCAGTCTCAAAATTATTGCATCAATTTAAGATTCATAGTAGTTTAAGAGCACATATGCTTATCTAAGGTGAGGCAAATAGTTCTCTTGCTTTACGAGCTACCTTTAGACTTACCCACGGCCCAGTCTGGTGCAAGATTTTGCCTGGGGGTTATAAATAAGGGTGAATCAGGAGGCTTTGTACCTATTTCTGGTACTCTGACCTGACATCACTAGTTCAAAGAACTAAAAAATTAGGTTATTTCCAGGACTGAGCTAAGAAGGCCAGAGTGTGAAGTAGTAGCTGTTTTTGAAACAAATAGATCAGCTCCTGGCTTTGGGGTTAGTGATTAAATCAACAAATATTTCCCTTTCTGTATTTCCTTCCTTTCATTTTCTTTGGCTGCCCTAAAATTTTTTGTAAGAAAAAAACCTGTTAGGATCTTCTCTTTGCCTCACATTTTAGGTGTTATAAAGGAAATTGATTATGCAGGAGGCTGAGATGAGAGGATCACTTGAGCCTAAGAGTTTGAATCCAGTCTGGACAACATAGCAAGACCCATCTCTTAAAAAAAAAGAAAGTGATTAGGAAACACTGGCTTTTTTTTGTTTTTCTGTGTAATAATGTAATGAAGGCAATTTTCCTATCAGAGCAAATTGCCAGATTTTAAAAATTCCAGTTTTACTCTTAAATTTCTATAAAACCACAAGATGTTTTAATATTTCAATAACTTCTAAGAAATACTTCAAAATTGAATTTTGAAAATCATTACTAAATAACTAAATCTATTATATATACTTTATGTAACAAAAATATATATAGTTTGTGTGACAAAATATAGAGCTGATGAAAAGTACTACATTTTATCTGGTGAATTTGTATCGTAATTGTTTAGATTAATATTGGTTAGTAAAGTTCTTTCCCCTCTAAGCTCTATTTCAAGCTTAAATATGTCCTACTTAGTGAGACTGAGAAACAGTTTTGAAATTCTACCCCCCACACATGTACTTATAATTCCAGTTAAATGCATTCTTGAGAATTACTTTGTGTGACAAACACAATTAGTGAATATTTTTAAATTTTATTAATGACAAAGCAAAATTTAACACAGAAGTATATATACATAGGTTGTATTAAAACTAAATGTTTTAACTCTCAAATGTTTTAACTCTCAAATAGAAAACATACACATCTATTACAGGAATCACAAAACTTATCTCCATAAGGAAACTTTAAACTCCAGAGGCAAAAAAAAAAAAATTATCTCCAATTTCCCCCATGAGAATCAAAATTGCAATTTTTTAAAAAAAATTGCAAATTTTAATTTTATACTTTAATACCTTTAGTTTTAAGACAACAGTTAACAGAATCAATTTTAGATACAGGTATTTTTTAACCTTAATATTTAAAAGTCCAAAATTATATAGAATTAATCCAAATCATATAGCAAAGAATTCTGAAAACTGAATGCACAATTGGTCACATGATCTTTAATGACCTGCACACTACCATCCTGCATATTGGTTTCTTTTATGCTGTCGAATCCAGGTATATTGTGAACCGTAGTTTTGTTCAGTAATGAAGATAGGTGATCTCCATCTGTTTCTTTCTCTTCAGTTATTACTGACTCGTTTAAGTTATCTTTTTCCTCATTTGAACAAGTAGCACTTTTTTCTTTTATAAATTCAGATTGCATTTTTGACTCAGGTTGCTGAGATTTTCCAAGTATCATTTGAGAAACATCAAGAGACTCTTGTTGAAAGCATGTAACTAAACCAAAGCTATCTATTTGTAGTGCTTTAACTGCTATAGATGAATCAGAATCAGTTGTAGGGGTGTTACAATGTTCTATATATTCCTTTTCAGTTAGATGACTTTCTTCATTTACTCTTTCCTCCTTTCCTTGTAGCTGATCAGAGTTACTACATTCTTGCAACTGTGTCAAGAGAAACAACAAATTAATAATTATTTTAAATAATACAAAATTAAATTGTACTACCCTCTGGAAATAAAATTTTTAACAGTTGTGAGGTAATAGCCCTTACAGACCTGCAGGTATACATCCAGGCTTTCCTGTCAAAATTCATCCTCCAGGCTGGGCACAGTGGCTCATGCCTGTAATCCCAGCACTTTGGGATGCCAAGGCAGGCAGATCACTTGAGGTCAGGAGTTCGAGACCAGCTTGGCCAACATGGCGAAACCCCATCTCTACTAAAAACACAAAAATTAGCCGGGTGTGGTGGAGCACACCTGATAATCCCCTCTACTTGAGAGGCTGAGGCAGAAGAATCACTTGAACCCGGGAGGTGGAGGTTGCACTGGGCCGAGATAGTGCCACTGTACTCCAGCCTGGGTGACAGGGTAAGACCCTGTCAAAAAAAGAAAAAGACAGGCAGCATTTGAAGGATGACTTTTTTTGTTTTGAGACGGAGTCTTGCTCTGTCGCCCAGGCTGGCACAATCTCAGCTGACTACAACCTCTGCCTCCAGGTTCAAACAATTCTGCCTCAGCCTCCCAAGTAGAGGGGATTACAGGCATGCACCACCACGCCCGGCTAATTTTTGTATTTTTAGTAGACACAGGGTTTCACCATGTTGCCCAGTCTGGTGTCGAACTCCTGACCTCAAATGATCCACAAAGTGCTGGGATTACAGGTATGAGCCATCACGACTAGTCTGCTGCCAGTCTTTTTTTTTTTTTTTTTTTTTTTTGAGATTGAGTCTGGCTCTGTCGCCCAGGCTGGAGTGCAGTGGCGCAATCTTGGCTTACTGCAATCTTTGCCTCCCAGATTCAAGCGATTCTCCTGCTTCAGCCTCCCAAGTAGCTGAGATTACAGGTGCCTGCCATGACGCCCGGCTAATTTTTATATTTTTAGTACAGACGGGGTTTCACTGTTGGCCAGGCTAGTCTCGAACTCCTGACCTCGGGTGATCCGCCTGCCTCGGTCTCCCAAAGTGCTGGGATTACAGGTGTGAGCCACTGCACCCAGCCTACTGCCAGTCATTTTTTAACAATGTAAACCTGGCACTAATATCCTGATTATATCCTTTCACAACAATAATCCATACTTTTCAACATGGTCTACAAAACTATTTAACAGTTATAAGCACATTGTTGAATTTCTTAAATTTTCTTGAATTCCTCTAATTTTTCAGAGCCGCCCTTCTAATACATATGTCTGTCGATTGTGGTAGTTACTAAATCATTTGCATCTTCAATACTGAAGACTATAAAAATGACCAAAATTAAGATTGAATTAGAAAGAACGTACAAATTGTATAACATAGTTCTCATGGTTTGAGAGTCAAAAAAGATTGTATGTCCCTGGACTAGTACTCAAACTTCCTAAGTGTTAGTTTCTCTTTGTTCCTCATTGTAGGGTTATTTTGGGATTAAATAATGTGAAAATGAATAGCAAAGTGTTTAGCACATAATACATACACAGACAAAAGGCTTTTCTTGGCTGGGCGCGGTGGCTCATGCCTGTAATCCTAGCACTTTGGGAGGCCGAGGCGGGTGGATCATGAGGTCAGGAGATCGAGACCATCCTGGCTAACACGGTGACACCCAATCTCTACTAAAAATACAAAAAATTAGCCAGGCATGGTAGCATGCTCCTGTAGTCCCAGCTACTTGGGAGGCTGAGGCAGGAGAATCGCTTGAACCCAGGAGGCGGAGGTTGCAGTGAGATGAGATCGCGCTACTGCACTTCAGCCTGGGTGACAGAGGGAGACTCCATCTCAAAAAAAAAAAAAAGAAAAACTTTTCTTCTCTTAACATCACTCTGCCCAACCATTATGTAAATTTTGTTTAAAGTTATGATATTAAGAAATCAATAATTTGTTAGGTTTTAACTCTGTGCTTCATTACTCCTCTATAGAGCCCATCAACTTCCTTACCTTTGCATTAATTTGAATCTTATTATCAGTAACTTGAAGAACTTCAATTAATGGTGGGGTCAAGGACATAGACTGTTTGAATGGAGAGCTCAGGACCTCTTCAAGAAACTCATTAACATTTTCTTCATTGACAAATAACCTTTCCTAAAATAAAAAGGGAAAAAATATTCTGCCTAATAAGTCCCACTTGACAACAGTTGTATCTCAAAGCAGCTCACAAAAATTCTCACATTGTTCAGGGTTACACTTTTTAAAATGTTTATTTTAATGTTATTCCTATGAGCTGTCTTAGAAAAATTTAAGTTTGGTATTGTACAGAGCAATAAGAGTTGTACTGAGAACAAACATAAACGTATAGAAAAAGAACCTAAAAGAAAGAGGTCTTGGTACTTTTTCTGTCTATTAAACCTGACCTTTTAGTATTTTTCTTTCTTTTTTTGTTTCTTTTGTTTTGTTTTTTTGAGACATAGTCTCACTCTGTTGCCCAGGCTGGAGTGCAGTGGTGCAATCTCGGCTCACTGCAACCTCCGCCTCCCAGGTTCAAGCAATTCTCCTGCCCCAGACTACCGAGTAGCTGGGATTACAGGCGACTGCCACCATGCCGGACTAATTTTTGTATTTTTGGTAGAGATGGGGTTTTACCATGTTGGCCAGACTGGTCTTGAACTCCTGACCTCAAGCTATCCACCTGCCCTGGCCTCCCAAAGGGCTGGGATTACAGGTGTGAGCAACCACAGCTGGCCTCTTTTAGTATTTCAGAAGAATAACATCATCTCTAGGGCTATAAATGGGATCCCAGATACAAAATATAATTCAGCTTTAAAACATTTCCTAATGAGGTGGCTAAGAAATATACATGAAAAGATCTATTCAAATTTTGTGTGACCTTTTAGTTCTTGGGCAGGTAAGAGCCAATTACAGTATTTTATTTCAAATAAGTGGTGTGTTTTTTTGTTTGATTTTGTTTTTGAGACAGAGTCTTGCTCTGTCTCCCAGGCTGGAGTGCAGTGGCATAATCACGGCTCGCTGCAGCCTTGACCTCCCAGGCTCAAGTGATCCTCCCGCCTCAGCCTCTACAGTAGCTGGGACCACAGAACATGCCACCACTCTCGGCTAAGTTTTGCATTTTTTTGTAGAGACAGGGTTTTGCCCTGTTGCACAGGCTGGCCTCAAACTTCTGCACTCAAGTGATCCACCTGCTTTGGCCTCCCAAAGTGCTGGGATTACAGGCGTGAGCCACCACCACACCCAGCCCCCGCCCCCCTTTTTTTCTTTTTTTTGCCTTGAGACAGGGTCTCACTTTGTTGCCCAGGCTGGAATGCAGTCGCACACTCATAGCCCCCTGCAGCCTTGACCTCCCTGGCTCAAGCAATCCTCCACCTGTGCCCCCAAGTGCCTGGGTACCTGGGACTACAGGTGCATGCCATAATGCCCAGCTAATTTTTACATTTTTGGGGCCTGGTGTGGCAGCTAACGCCTGTAATTCCAGCACTTTGGGAGGCCAAGGTGGGTGGATCACTTCAGGTCAGGAATTCGAGACCAGCCTGGCCAACATAGTGAAACCCTGTCTCTACTAAAACTGCAATCACGTGAACCCGTGAGGCGGAGATTGCAGTGAGTCCAGCCTGGGCGACAGAGTGAGACTCTGTCTCAAAAAAAAAAATTTGACATTTTTTGTAGATACAGGTCTCACTTTGTTGTCCAGGCTGGTCTCCAACTCCTGGATTCAAGCTGTCCTCCTACCTTGGCCTACCAAAGTGCTGGGATTACGGGCGTGAGCCACTGCACCCAGCCAAGTGTATTATATTTTTAAGCACTGGGATACTCCAGCGTAACATTAGCAAACTGTATAGTTATTAAAAGAATGAAGTAGAGAGCATATATTCAGGGCATTTTGAATCTATGCTCCAGAGAAAAAGTAAATTATGAAAAAAATTAGGCTGGGCACAGTGGCTCATGCTTATAATTCCAGCACTTTAGGAGGCCAAGGCAGGTGGATTGTTTGAGCCCAGAAGTTCGAGACCAGCCTAGGCAACATGGCAAAACTCATCTCTACAAAAAATACAAAAATTAGCCGGGAGTGGTAGCATGCACCTGTGGTCCTAGCTACTCCAGAGGCTAAGGTGGGATGATCGCTTGAGTCTGGGAGGTTGAGGCTGCAGTGAGCCATGATCGCACCACTGCACTCCAGCCTGGGTGAGACAGAGCGAGACTCTGTCTCCCAAATAAATAAATAAATAAATAAATAATGAGGTAGATTTCAAGATGCTGACATGAAAAGATTTCTAAACTATTACTAGAAAATGCAAAAATCACCTTTTACCTGAATCCCAAACACAAAGCAGTTTGTTCATGTCAAGTGAATACAGGTGTATAGTTAGGGTGTGGGGAGAATAACCATATTAACCATATTTTAAATTAATTTATAAAAGCAGTTCATTGTTGCCCCAAATAAAAATGTTTTCCTCTGTAGTTTTATATAAGCAAATTTTGTAATTACAAAATAAACACAGCTCATTATTTGGTCCAAATAGGTGGAAAATATCAGAAAGAAACAAGTTTCAAGTTTCTTGAACTTGGGAACATATATTCAGGGCAACTTGAATATGTGTTTCCCAGGTTGCAGTCCTCTATTTTGGCCCAAATAAACTCTCTCTCCACACACACACACACACACACACACACACACATAAACTCTCTACACACACACACACACACACAAACTCTCTACACACACACACACACTTTTTTTTTTTTTGAGAAAGAGTCTCACTCTGTCACCAGGCTGGAGTACAACTGCGTGATCTCAGCTCACTGCAACCTCCACCTCCCGGGTTCAAGCAATTCTCCTGCCTCAGCCTCCCAAGTAGCTGGGACTGCAGGCGTGCACCACCACGCCCAGCTAATTTTTGTATTTTTAGTAGAGACAGGGTTTCACCTTGTTGGCCAGGATGGTCTCAATCTCCTGACCTCGTGATCTGCCTGCTTCAGTCTCCCAAAGTTCCGGGGCTACAGGTGTGAGCCACCACGCCTGGCTACGTATTTTTCTTCCATTAAACAGTATTTAAAATCGTGAAAACCTACCAAACAAAAGTGAACCTTGGGAATAGAAAAATTTTACATTTAGAGTAACTGGCTTTGCTATTATTTGAAGATCCAGAATAACACAGTGTTACAGAAACATCCCCATCGAAAGCATTTCTAAGGTTCATGCCTCTGGGAAAAGACATCATCTTTGACTCCTTGCAAATAATACACCAAATATTTTAATTTTTAGTTATCCGAAGGAATATATAGTGGACATGGTTATGATTAAAATACAGAAGATTTGCAGCCGGGCGCGGTGGCTCATGCCTGTAATCCCAGCACTTTGGGAGGCCGAGGCGGGTGGATCACGAGGTCAGGAGATCAAGACCATCCTGGCTAACACGGTGAAACCCCATCTCTATTAAAAATACAAAAAATTAGCCTGGCGTGGTGGCAGGTGCCTGTAGGCCCAGCTACTCGGGAGGCTGAGGCAGGAGAATGGCGTGAACCCGGGAGGTGGAGCTTGCAGTGAGTGAGCCGCCCCACTGCACTCCAGTCTGGGCGACGGTGCAAGACTCCATCTCAAAAAACAACCAGAAGATTTGCATAAACTTGCCTTCTCAGTCTAATGACTGATTAAATGACTAATGAACTGAAAAAGTTACTGACCTCAGAGGCTCTGAAGATTTAGGAAAATTGTCAGTAAACACTGAAAACTTCAATACATATATTTAGTATTTATTTGTAAAGTTCTGACCTTGAAAGCCACATAACAGTCTCTTTATGATTATTTTCATGTAATGCATATAATATTATCATTATATATGTTCCACTACTCATGATTTTTTTCCAAAAATTTAACACTGAGAGCCTGGTCCAGTACAAAGTAAAGCAAAAGAGTTACATGCTGTTGTTCCATCAGCTTTAGAAAAATGTGATGATTAGTGAAGTAATTACAAATCTATTTCAGGCTTCAAAGATATAAAATACAGTTGCCCTAATCCCATTTTCGTCGTTTATTTTCTAAAATGTTAGCATACTTGAAAATCGGATTAAAATGTATTATTGAATATTTTCTTAATTGCTTGTCTACAAAGTTTTCTTCCCACATTGTGGGTTATTTTCATATTTACTAAAACTGTTACAGGAAAACAACTGCCCTTTCCTAAATGTCCCACTTCTGATGACAAAAACAGATACTCAGTTTCATATTTTATATTCTAACAAACTACCTTAGCTAGCCCAGCTATTTATTTTACCACTTTTGGAAGGTTTCCAATTAGCCACTTCTCATAGAGATACCCAACTCAAAAATTACACATGTAACTTCCTAGCAAATTTCTAGAAAAACGAGGGAAAAGTAAAATTTTCTCGTAAGTTAAAGCCCAAAGTCTAATACTTAATTTTTCTTTTTTTTTTTTTTTGATACAGAGTTTCGCTCTTGTTGCCCAGGCTGGAGTGCAGTAGCATGATATCGGCTCACTGCAACCTCCACCTCCTGCGTTCAAGTGATTCTCCTGCCTCAGCCTCCCAAGTAGCTGGGATTACGGGTGCCCGCCACCACGCCCAGCTAATTTTTGTATTTTTAATAGTGACGGGGTTTCGCCATGTTGGTCAGGCTGGTCTCAAAGTCCTGACCTCAGAAGATCCACCCGCCTTGGCCCCCCCAAAGTGCTGGGATTACAAGCGTGAGCCACCGCACCCAGCCAACTAATACTTAATTTTTAATATATAATCCGTGCAGCTAGTGTTGTTTCTCAACACTTAACTCTTGTTTATGTTAAAAGAGCTAAAAAAATTACATGTAACATTAACAAAAACCACCAATTGTCCATTTATGAGTTTAAAGAGTCTTCAGAACTTCAAATTTTAAGTTGTTTTTTTTTTTGTTTTTTGTTTTTGAGACGGAGTCTCCCTCTGTCGCCCAGGCTAGAGTGCAGTGGCGCGATCTTGGCTCACTGCAAGCTTCGCCTCCCGGGTTCAAGCGATTCTCCTGCCTCAGCCTCCCGAGCAGCTAGGACTACAGGCGCCCGCTACCATGCCCGGCTAATTTTTGCATTTTTAGTAGAGACGGGATTTCACCGTATTGGCCAGGCTGGTCTAGAACTCCTGACCTCGTGATCCGCCCGCCTCGGCCTCCCAAAATGCTGGGATTACAGGCGTGAGCCACCGCGCCCGGCCGGTAATAGCAAATTTTTAAAGTGAGATGGGATATTTCAAATATGAGGACTCTGGAAAGAACTGTTACCTCCAAAGAATCGTTGTTTACACCATAATACCACTCTCTCCAATGTCCATGGCTCTCTGGAGATTTTGCCAGTTCTATCACTGCATTGTTTGAAGAAATGCTAATCACAGGTTCTGTGGTACTCAATTTATTCTCTGGAGCAAATTGCAAAAAGAAGGAATAAACTAAGTCTTGTGCGGAGAAGCGTAATTTGTACCAGAGGGGATTCAAATCTCCTTGAAGACTTTGCGGCTGGATCCGAGGCACCTGAATGAGCAGAGTCAAGGTTTCTTTGTCCTGATTACACAGTAACGGAGGACACAAAGGCTCCCCGCTCTTGGTCCCGGGACCACCCATGGCGCAGGCTGAGCGCTGGCCGCCCGTGCCCTCCGACTCCTCGCGTGTTTCCACACTGCTATCTCCGCGCGCACTCTCTCTTCCCGCAGAAGAACCCCACGCCAGGCTCCGGGAGGACAAACAAGGGGAGCCTCCGCCACCAGGTGAGTTTTCTCCTCCAGGAGATGGCTCCTCCACGCTGCCCGGCGGTGACCCCGCGTGCCTGCTCAAGTCCTGCTCCCCCGGCTTGGGGACACGCTCCTCTCCAGCTGCGGCCGGCGGAGGCGCCACCTCCGGGTCGCCCAGGGTGGTGACCCCGGAGCCCGCAGCCCCAGCCACGCAGGTATCGTGGCCTCCGTCCTCCGCGCGACTCCTCGCGGGTCCCGCCTCCCCCTCGCGAGCGGAAGCGCAGGCCTGGCCGTCAGTTCCGGACCGGTCCGCGGACTCTTCCGGCGCGGCGGCGGCGACGGCGACAGCGGGCTCCCGGCGCGCGGCCGGCAGCACCACTGGCAGCGTAACCACCAGCTGCCGCCGGGCCTTGTTGAATTGTGCCTTGCCGCGGCCATCGTCCACTGGGTACGGGAGCGAGAGCCGCAGCCGGTAGTCAGGTTTCCTCGAGTCGAGGCACAGCAGCTTTCTCGTTACCTCCAGCGCCGCCTGCTCGGCCGAGCGCAACAGCGGCAGTTCGATGGTGATCACCAGCTCATGGGGCACGGGGCTCGGGGCTGAGTCCCTGGAGCAGCGGTAATCCTGGAGGTCCACGTGGTGGCGCTGCACCACGCTGTAGCGAGGCTCGGTGGGGGCGGGCTGCAAGGCCGCTTCCGGAGGGGAGGGCGCCCGGGGCCCGGGGGCTGCCGGGTACTGGTAAGGGTAGGGGAAGTCCGGGAGAGGACCCTTCGGCTCCCCGTCAGGCCTTGCGGGGATGACCCCGGGCAGGGGCGTGCGCAGCACCGCAGCCTCTGGGGTCCCCTTATACTTGGCCTTCAGGGTCTTGGCATTCCTGCGGTCCAGCTTCACGCCGAACTGCTTCTCGACGGCCTCCAGGGCCGTGGCGTCCAGCATCTGGCGGAAGCCCTCGTGCCGCCGGGCCAGCGCAAGCGCGTCTGGATGGAAGACCACGTCGTAGACCATGTAGCGGCTGCTGCTGCGCCCCGCGTACTCGCGGCCGGGCGCCAGGCTGTAGGGCAGGGACCAGTGGCTGCCAGGAGCTGCGCCCCGGTCGCCACCGGAGCCGGGCCGGCTGCTGGGCGCGCCCACCAACGCGTTGCTGCAGACATTCACAAAGCAGCGCCGCGCCCCGTCCAGGCTGGTGCGCAGCACATGGCCGGGCTCCGGGTGCACGAACCGCACTTCCACCCCGCGCTCACGCTCTAGCGCGGTGATCTCCGCCTCGTAGCGCCGCCGGTTCTCCGGGTCGGTGAGCTCCTCGGCGTACTGGGAGAACATTCGCCGGAACTCCGGGTCCTGGAAGGCGGAGGTGAGCCGCTGGACCTCCTCTCCGCTCAGGTCCAAGTCCTCCAGCGACGAGGAGGCCGCCGCTTTGGCCATACTGTCCTGTGGCTCCTCGCCCTCGGGCCAAAGGCGATCAGTCTGACACTGGGTTGGGGGATCCGCCTCAGAGTTTCTGGGCAGCGTACAGTGACGCGGTGGAGGTCGGTAACGGCTGGAAAATTGAGCCTTGAGCAGCGCGTGCTTGTTGTCATAGTTACACCACTAACATTCGGGAGGAGGGGTAGAGATCATGGTGGAATAGGCCGGGCGCGGTGGCTCAGGCCTGTAATCCCAGCACTTTGGGAAGCCTAGGCGGGCGGATCACGAGGTCAGGAGATCGAGACCATCCTGGCTAACACGGTGAAACCCCGTCTCTACTAAAAATACAAAAAATTAGCCGGGCATGGTGGCGGGTGCCTGTAGTCCCAGCTACTCGGAAGGCTGAGGCAGTAGAATGGGGTGAAACCCAGGAGGCAGAGCTCTTGCGGTGAGCCAAGATCGCGCCACTGCACTCCGGCCTGGGCGACAGAGCAAGTCTCTCAAGGAAATCATGGTGGAATAGTGGAAATGCCAGAAATAGCCCTCTTAGATTCTTCAAACCAACCCACCACCGTACTTTGTTTTGTTTTGTTTTGTTTTTCTTTTTTTGAGACAGAGTCTCGCTCTGTCACCCAGGCTGGAGTGCAGTGGCGCAGTTTCGGCTCACTGCAAGCTCCACCTCCCAGGTTCACGCCACTCTCCTGCCTCAGCCTCCCGAGCAGCTGGGACTACAGGCGCCTGCCACTACGCCCAGCTAATGTTTTGTATTTTTACTAGAGACAGGGTTTCACCGTGTTAGCCAGGATGGTCTCGATCTCCTGACTTCGTGATCCGCCCGCCTCGGCCTCCCAGAGTGCTGGGATTATAGGATTACAGGCATGAGCCACCACACCAGGTCCAAAACCTTTTTTTTTTTTTTTTTTTTTTTGAGGCTGTCTCACTCTGTCACCCAGGCTGGAGTGCAGTGGTGCAGTCTTGGCTCACTGCAACCTCCGCCTCCCGGGTTCAGGCAATTCTCCCTGCCTCAGCCTCCCAGGTAGCTGGGATTACAGTGACTCACCACCACGTCCGGCTAAGTTTTGTATTTTTAGTAGGGATGGGATTTCACCATGTTGGCCAGGCTGGTCTCCCACTCTTGACCTCATGTGATCTGCCCACCTCAGCCTCCCAAAGTGCTGGGATTACAGGCATGAGCCACCGCGCCCGGCCTAAAACCTTTCTAATGTGCATATTTTTTTGACCCAAATGCCCTTAGAGTATTTGACACAATACTCTTAGAACATTCTCAAGGTGACATCATTTATGATTCTAAAGGTTTGAGAAGAATCTACAAATTCAACAATGGAACTGATTGAGCAGGTTTTGGTAGAGCCACGCAACAGAGTTTTGTGC
This sequence comes from Homo sapiens, assembly GCF_000001405.40. Lineage (NCBI taxonomy): Eukaryota > Metazoa > Chordata > Mammalia > Primates > Hominidae > Homo > Homo sapiens. The sequence continues at coordinate 49,636,524 of NC_000014.9, forward strand.
AACCATTCAAAATGATCATATGGAAGTATATTTATTTACTGGAGTAATTATTTATTCATTGGTAATTGGTCAATTCAGTGATCATTTTTCTATTCTCAGCAACATTTAACACAGTTGATGTTGGCATTACCTCAGTGACAAGACACTTTCCAGATTTCTCTTCTGTCTCATCACTCTCATAGTTTTGCTCTGTAGGTATCTACTTCTTTTCAACTTCTACATGGAAATGCCCCAAAACTGGGACCCAATCTCTTACCCATCTATACTCTCCTTCAGAAATATATTTACACTCACAAATACTTGTCTTAGACTCAGATTTTACACTCCTATATCCAGCTGCACGTTTGAGGTGTCCATTTGAGTGATTAATGCATAAGCTACTCAGGCTTGAAATGACCAAGATCAGAACTCCTGAATCCTCTTTTCCCAAACCACTGCCTTATCTTATGGTCTCTTGGAAGCATTCAAAGCAGTTGACTGCCCCTTCGAAACACATTTTTCTCATGTTTTGCAGAACTCCAAGCTCTCCCATTTTCCTCCTTTATGCTCCTGCCAGTTCTGCAAATGTGGGAGTTGCCCAAGGCTTTGTTCATCAGCCCTCTTACCTAATCACATTTCTTCCAAGATGTCTTATCCAAGCCCATAGTTTTAAATGCCATCTGTGTTCAAATTAGTCCTTTCAACAGATATTTATTGTGTGCTTATTGCACTTATTATATAGGTAATTAACAAAGATGTGAAGCAGTTGCATTGCTTTTTTTTTTGAGACAGAGTCTTGCTCTGTCGCCTAGACTGGGGTGCTTTGGCGCGATCTTGGCTCACTGCAACCTCCGCCTCCTGGGTTCAAACAATTCTCCTGCCTCAGCCTCCCAAGTAGCTGGGATTGCAGGCACCTACCACTGCGCCCAGCTAATTTTTGTATTTTTTAGTAGAGATGGGATTTCACCATGTTGGTCAGGCTGGTCTCCAACTCCTGAGCTCAGGTGATCCGCCCACCTCGGCTTCCCAAAGTGCTGGGATTACAGGCACAAGCCACCATGCCCAGCCAGCAATTGCACTTTCATATCCTGGGAGTATATATTGGAACACTGTTAACATAAGGCTTACGACAATGAAATTCTCCCAGATACACATTCAACAGAAACACATATCCCCACCAAAACACATGTACTACAATGTGTGTATTCATAGCGGCACTATTTCATAGTTGACAAATTCTGGAAGCAACCCAAATTCTCATTCATAGTAGAATGGATAAATGTAAATATCCACCCACACAATGCACTACTCAACAGTATAGATGAGTATCATTAACATAATGGTGCTTGAAAGAAACCAGATGTAAAATAATACATATGACTCTGTCATATAATAGACAAAACATGGCAAAATAAATCTGTTAAGCCAAGCTAGTGATGGCCATGTTGGGAGAGCTTCTGGGTGAGGGTCTGTTAATCTTGGTTACATTGGGTGTGCAATTTGTGAAATTCATTGTGCTGTACGCTGACAGTAGATTTTATGTATCTTATACTTTTAGAGTTAAAAAATGTACTTTTTTTTTTTTGAGACAGAGTCTCCCTTTGTTATCTAGGCTGCAGTGCAGTGGCACAATCTCAGCTCATTGCAACCTCCGCCTCCCAGGTTCAAGCAGTTCTCCTGCCTCAACCTCCCGAGTAGCTGGGATTACAGATGCCCACCACCACGCCCGGCTAATTTTTCTATTTTTAGTAGAGACGGGGTTTCGCCACGTTGGCCAGGCTGCTGTCAAACTCCTGACCTCAGGTGATCCACCCTCCTCGGCCTCCCAAAGTGCTGGGATTACAGGAATGAGCCACCTTGCCTAGCCTAAAAAAAAGAAAAAAAAAAAAAAAAAAAAAACTTTGCCCTCGTGGATCTCATCTGGGGTGAGACTAGTGACTCCAAAATGGTATCTCCAGTTCTACCTGACCACTGAGCTCCAAGAGACTCACATGCCACTGCCCCGCAGTTATCCACCTGGATGTTTGATGGGCATCTCACATTAACAATTCTACGTAGAAATCTTGATTTTTATATCTAACTTGTTCTGTCCCCAGTTGCACTAAATAATACCGCCTACCCAGCTACTTAAACCTAAAACATAAGCTGATTCCTCTTTCCCTCACCCTGCTGCCATTCAGTTACATAGTCCTGTTGTCTCTTCTTGTACACTCCAAATATATCCACTTCTATTTCTGCTCTGAGCCACCATCATCTCCATCGCAGACTTGTGCAATAGCTTCCAATCGGTCTCTTCAGCTCTTCCCTTCTGACAATCTCTTTTCCACACAGTTGCTTTAGTGATCTTTAAAATCAAATCAACTTACATCATTACCTGCTGAAAACCTAGTAACTTCATATCCAAGTTCCTTATGTGTGTCTACATTTAATCCCTAACACACTTCGTATTCACCATCTAGTTTTCTTCCCCAATCAGTCTAATGTCAGAATACTCTTGACTCCTGTGCAGCCTGGGCACAGGCCATCGAACCTCAAGACCTTAAATGATGTCACCTTAGTGACTCCCTGCAACATGCTTCTCCCACCTCCAACACCTCATATAAAATGGCCAGCATCGTTTTTTGTTGTTCTTGTTTTGAGATGGAGTTTCACTCTGTCACCCAGGCTGGAGTGCAGCAGCGCGATGGCGGCTCACTGCAACCTCTGCCTCCCGGGCTCAAGCAATTCTCTTGCCCCAGCCTCCAAGCAGCTGGGACTAAAGGCATGCATCACCATGACCAGCTAATTTTTGTGTGTGTGTGTTAGTAGCGATGGATTTTTCTCCATATTGGCCAGGCCGGTCTTGAACTCCTGACCTCAAGTGATCTGCCTGCCTCGGCCTCCCAAAGTGCTGGGATGACAGCCATGAGCCACCATGCTTGGCTTTTTTTTTTTAAACATGGTTTGCATTTGGTATTTTCTTGTTATAAGGTATGGCTCTCCCCATTTGAAAAGGTAAGCATCATGAAATCTAGGACCCTGCCTTTCTGGTTTACCACTGGATTCTCTGATGTCTAGAACATTACTGGGCAGGCAGATGAATGAATATAGTAAAGAAAAAAGCAAGTTTAGTATGTATAGTATGATCCCAAAATATTTTTATAGAGAAAAATCTGGAACCACATTTACCAAAATATTAACAATATTTCTGATAGTGGAATTGTAGATTGTTATAACTTTTTCGTTATGCTTGCTTACATTTTATAATTTTCTATGAACTTGTTTAGTAAAAAGTCTTAGAATACCCTACCGTTAGGTTTTAAAGCTTTGCATCTAAAATAGCTTTGAGATGAGTTCCAAAAGGTTTAAAGCACCTGAGGGATGTGTAAAATTGCACTCTTTTCTATTATAACCCTGAGGTCAGTGAGCATAACCAAGGATTAATTGTCAACTTATTTTCACTCACCTTTGTAACATCAAAATTCTGGACGTTTGACCTTAAAAAAGGCATTTCCAAACATGAATACATGAACACACCATACTTCTCAAAGGACAACAAACTACAACTGGTTGTTTAGAAGTGATAATGGCCTTTAGGGTTCCCGAACCCTCTGAAATTATGTGTAGGGGCAGGCTCATGTGGGGCTTGGGGACATGGGTCTCAGTAGAGGCCCATAGGGCCCATAGCTTTCATTAGATTCTCTGAGGGTTCCTGCCCTCTGCTTTGCCAAGTTTCTTACTATATGATGTTCTCTTTCCCAGAAGAATCTCTTTGGGAAAAGACAGTGTACAGTTGTGGAAGAGCCCCCTTGCGCAAAACAAATGTTCTCTTGCCTAAAATTCATCCATTAAGGAAAGCTATCCTTAAAAAAAAATGGGCCAGGCGCAGTGGCCCACACCTATAATCCCAGCACTTTGGAAGGCCGAGGTGAGTGGATCACCTGAGGTCAGGAGTTCAAGACCAGCCTGGCCAACATGGTAAAACATCACCTCTACTAAAAATGCAAAAATTAGCCAGGCGTGGTGGCAGGCGCCTGTAATCCCAGCTACTTGGGAGGCTGAGGCAGGAGAATCTCTTGAACCCGGGAAGCTGAGGTTGCAGTGAGCCATGATTGCACCATTGCATTCCAGCCTGGGCGACAAGAGTGAAACTCCGCCTCAAAAAAAAAAAAAAAAAAAAAAGAATGCCTTTTGGAGGGAGAAGTGCCTAGGTATTGAGCCATTATCAGTTATTAACCCCTTTGTGCAAACTCTCTTATCCTATCCTTGCGCAAATACTGCATTTGCTCTCTTCAGATGCCATTTGTTCTATTTATTGGGAAGTAGAGGTCCAGAGTAGATGGCTGAGACCTACTGACTTAAGTGAGATACTGTGATAGCACATGCCAGATCCTAATACATAACAAACAGCTTCATGAGACAAAACTTAATGCACTGGAATTTTCTATTCTGCCATGACTCATTAATATTTCAACCCACTGATCAGTTTGACCTTCAGTCTGAAACACTGCTCAAGATAAATGATCTTGTATATCTTCAGTAGCATGTTCAGTAAGGAAGTAGACGAAGGCAGGACAATACCATGCTGGTGAGGCGCCTGGACTCCAGTCAGATAACCCAGCATCAACTCTGCTGTGACCCTTACCAGCTGTGTGACTTTGGGCAACTTATTTAACCTACCTATGCCTGTTTTCTTCATGTATAACTAAAGGTGATAGTGAACCTAATGAGGATTAAATTGCGCAATGAATAAGCACTTACCACAGTGCCTAGCATAGTAAACATTTAATACATGTATTAAAGAATTGGAGCAATGGTCTTGCAACCTTTTCCACAACCCCCCCAGCCCTTTAATTCAGAAAACCTGCCTAAAAATGAAGCCCAAAGTGTAAGCACAATAAAAACAATAAAAGTGGAGCCCTTGAATAGAGTGGGTAGGAGCCTTGGCTCCAGAGAAAACGCATATATGTGCATAGGATCAGAATGAAATGTCCCATTTTAAGTTTACCTTCCCTGCTATGAGCTACCACCACCATTACAAGAGGACACTAAATTTCACAGATGGTGGTGAATGACTGGGGCTCACCTGATTTTGCTTAATAAGGATCTCTTATGGACTACAAAATCAAATTCCTATGCCTGTAAGGCAGGGAAAACAGTTCATGAGCACAATCCAATCTGTAAGCATGTCTTCTTGGTTGCAAACTGCAGTTTAAATTAGTGCTTGCGAAGTCAGGATATTGTACCGAAAAATCCAGATTTCTCTAAAATGGCCCCATAGGCCTGGTTTCCTGCATGGCTGCCCCTGGCTGAAGAATGCTTCATTCGGTCTGTCCAGTCTCTGGCATTCTGTGGTTTCCCTACAGAAACCACGTGTTTGCTTTTTTTATAGTAGAGAAATCTTACCACTATCTCTGTGTGTTAACAATCTGGCTCCTGCTTTGAGGTGCACCTTCACTTAATGGTGCCTCGTAAACAGATTGCAGCAGTGAGATCAGCCGGGCTTCAGCTGATTAAACACCCAGTTGGGAACACCCAGCTGGGAACACACTGTCTCTGTTCTTTACTAAAGCAAAGTCCACTCTTTCACACCGGCTCCTCTGCTGTCCTATCTTACAGACCTTGGCTTTCTTTTCCATCTCTGGACGATGTTGATCCTCACCTGGTTCTAGTTCCTGCCTTACCTTATTCTAATATTGATGGCCTGCTTCTGGCAATTTACACTGCCTTGTTTCACTTCACTTCATCTTGTTTAACCCCTAAATGCACCCTACTTTCACTGTGTTCTTGAAAAGATCTCAAAATACCTCTGCTTTAATTATAGAAGCAATTATGTATCCACTGAATGAGAGGACACCTTGATTTCAATTTCCATTTATAAACTTCTGCCCATCATCATTCATATTTAGCTCTGTGAGTCTCATAACTGCACCAGCAGCCTTGCATGTCTATTTTACTGCCACTTTCTAGGCCCAAACTGTTTAAATTTATGTCTTGATTTCATCTTTAAACTTTGATTTTACCAGGTTATTCTTGAAATTAAAGTTAAACCTTGCTCTTCTAACATTAGGCCCCTTCTAACATTCTTCCAATTTTCCATCCCCAAACCACATATCAGATTGTCATGTTCTCTTTGCTGCTAAATTAACTTATCACTGCATTCATATTAAATTTCCTTGAGGAATTTCCCTTTCACTGTGTCATTTTTATATTTTTTTATTAGTACCTTTTCTCTCAAAAGCTAATTCTCTTTGAAAGCAATGTCTTCCAGTCCAGGCTCTTCGTAATTTTTTTTTTTTTTTTGAAAGAGTCTCACTGTGTCGCCCAGGCTGGAGTGCAGTGGCCTGATCTCAGCTCACTGCAACCTCTGCCTCCCAGGCTCAAGCGATTCTTTCATCTCAGCCTCCCAAGTAGCTGGGACTACACCCGACTAATTATTGTATTTTGGGGGGTTTTTTGTCTTTTTTTTTGAGATGGAGTCTCTCTGTCGCCCAGGCTGGAGTGCAGTGGCGCGATCTCGGCTCACTGCAACTTCTGCCTCCCAGGTTCAAGCGATTCTCCCTGCACTCTAGCCTGGGTGACAGAGCTAGACTCTGTCTCCAAAAAAAAAAAAAAAAAAAGTATATACATATCCACATATTTTTATTTCTTTCTCTTTTTTTGACAGAGTCTCGCTCTGTCACCCAGGCTGGAGTACAATGGCACAATCTTGGCTCACCGCAACCTCCGCCTCCCAGGTTCAAGTGATTCTCCCTGCCTCAGCCTCCCGAGAAGCTGGGATTACAGGCGCCCGCCACCATGCCCAGCTAATTTTTGTATTTTTTTTTTTAGCAGAGATAGGGTTTTGCTACCTTGGCTAGGCTGGTCTCGAACTCCTGACCTCAGGTGATCCACCCGCCTTGGCCTCCCAAAGCACTAGGATTACAGGCGTGAGCCACTGCGCCTGGCCCCCATATATTTTTCTTAAAAGACTATGCAGAAAATATTTTTCCTAGAAAACTTTCTCAAGTATACCATCATATTTATCACTTAGTATCAAAATTTCACAAAATACAAATTTAAGCAGAACATCCTAAAGTTTACCATAATTTTATTGTAATATCAGAATCACATAAGATATAGAGTTAAGCAGAAAACTGATGAATTTTCTTCAGATGATCTTTAAGAATCTCAAAAGCCTTGAAGTTTGCTGAAAATAGAAAAAAAAATTAAATATTTGGAAACCTAAGTTGTATACTTACTAATAGTTGTAGTTAATTTTTTTAAATAGGTATAGTTAATTGATTTTTAAAAACAGGTCAATACATACATACTGTTTCAAATTCAAAAGGAGACTCTAAAAAATAAGTCATTCTCATGCCCCCTTTTCTGCTCCCAAAAAGCAAATGTATGTCTTTTTTTTTTTTTTTTTTTTTCGAGAGGGAGTCTCACTCTGTTGCCCAGGCTGGAGTGCAATGGCGTAATCTCGGTTCACCGCAACCTCTGCCTCCTGGGTTCGAGTGATTCTCCTGCCTCAGCCTCCTGAGTAGCTGAGATTATAGGCACTTGCCACCATGCCTGGCTAATTTTTGTATTTTTAGTAGAGACGAGGTTTCACCATGTTGGACAGACTGGTCTTGAACTCCTGACCTCAGGTGATCCACCCGCCTCAGCCTCCCAAAAAGTGCTAGGATTAGAGGCATGAGCCACCGCGCCCGGCCAACAACTATATGTCCTTTATAAAGGTAGACTAATTTTTAAAAAAAGTAGCCGGGCGCGGTGGCTCACGCCTATAATCCCAGCACTTTGGGAGGCAGAGGCGGGTGGATCACCTGAGGTCAGGAGTTCGAGACCAGCCTGACCAACTTGGAGAAACCCCATCTGTACTAAAAATAAAAAATTAGCCAGGTATGGTGACGCATGCCTGTAATCCCAGCTACTCGGGAGGTTGAGGCAGGAGAATCTCTTGAACCCAGAAGGCGGAGGTTGCAGTGAGCTGAGATTGCGCCATTGCACTCCAGCCTGGGCAACAAGAGCAAAACTCCGTCTCCAAAAAAAAAAAAAGTATTCTAATCATATATAAGCACATGTATATGTGGGCTTATGCTTTAAAAACATACAGAAGTGATAGGATATTATGCATACTTTCTACACCTTTTTTCCATTAGTAGTAAATACATTATATTTACTTCTTTGAGGCTTAGAAATTTAAGTAAATCAGAAAGTTCTGAATAAGTACAAATATTTAGATATATATACATTTTTAAAATTTCTTGGTATAAAAACTGCAGTAAAAAGGCTGGGCGCAGTGGCTCATGCCTGTAATCCCAGCCACTTTGGGAGGCCAAGACCGGTGGATCACCTGAGGTCAGGAGTTTGAGACCAGCCTGGCCAACATGGTGAAACTCCATCTCTACTAAAAATACAAAAAATCAGCCAGGCGTGGTGGCATGTGCCTGTGATCCCAGCTACTTGGGAGGCTGAGGCAGGAGAATCGCTTGAACCCAAGAGATGGAGGTTGCAGTGAGCCGAGACTGTGCCGCTGCACTCTAGCCTGGGCAACAGAGCAAAACTCCGTCTCACAAAAAAAAAAAAAAACACTGCAGTAAAAAGCCAGCTGTACCTATACATGATGTACCTACTTGTATGCATAGGCTTAAGTATACCTATAGAATAAATTCCTAAAAGTGGAATTGTTGGTGTAGGCATTAATAAATCTTGTCAAATTGCCCTCCATAAAGGTTTCTGCCATTTTTCATTCTGACCAACTACATGTGAGAATGTGTATTTCCTCCAAAACATCACCAATATTGTGTTTTTAAATAAAACTACTTGAAAGTCATGTTTAAACAGGGTTAATTTTATCAACTTTGACTACATTTCTGTGACTAATTCCACAATATGATTTCACAAATATTCTAACAGAAGGCTTCTTAGGAGAAACTAAGTGGCAAGAAGGCCAGATTATTTCAATATATCTTGAAACTTTTCTGTTTTCCTAAAACATAAACTTACATCAGTTTGTTTGATCTAGCATTGAAAAGATTCCCCAGTTACCAATACAAAATTATAGTTTGGAAATTATGTCAAGGCTTTCAGCATCTGAGGCCACAGCAGATAAAGGAAGCAACTATTTCAGTGGACAAAGAGTGAGCATCAACTGCAAGTACCATGAGACAGGGTACTTGACAGCTGTCACCCAGGCTGGAGTGCAGTGTGGACCAATCACAGTTCACTGCAACCTCTGACTCCCGAGCTCAAGTGAGCTCAAGTGATCTTCCCACCTCAGTCTCCCCAGTACCTGGGACTACAGGTGTGGGCCACCACACCCAGCTAATTTTTTGTATTTTTTTGTAGAGAACAGGCCTTGCCATGTTGCCCAGGCTGGTCTTAAACTCCTGACTTAAGTCATCTGCCTGCCTTGGCCTCCCAAAGTGCTGGATTACAGGTGTGAGCCACCACGAATGGCTGCAGACTGTTTTATGTCTACAAGTTTTATGCCAAATGTTATTTCAGTAAAAGACATTCTAACAGTGGATAAGACTGTATGCTCCAGGCTGACAGCCCTCAGAGTTGACTTAGTCCTGGGGTCACAAAATCAAGTGCCCTCAGGATATCCAGCGTAGACAAGTGGGCTGGAAAAGAGCCACAGCGTCTGGCCTCCTTTTTAATTTTATATTTATAAGCATGTTTTGAAAATTATTCATTTTATATTCACTTTTATTTTAAATAAATATGTTAATTCCAAAAAGAAAAAGACAACTGGGCTGTGTTCAAGATTATATTCTCTGACAATAACCTGGAGGGGAGTTACTTGATTTGGTCAGTTGTTTTTTTGTTGGTTTTTTTTTTTTTTTTTTTTTTTTTTTTTTTTTGAGATAGAGTCTCACTCTGTTGCCCAGGCTGGAGTGCAGTGGCGCCATCTCTGCTCACTCAACCTGTACCTCTCAGGTTCAAGCAATTCTCCTGCCTTAGCCTCCTTCTCCTGAGTAGCTGGGATTACAGGCACACGCCACCACACCCGGGTAATTTTTGTATTTTTAATAAAGACGGGGTTTCACCATGTTGGTCAGGCTGGTCTCAAACTCCTGAGCTCGTGATCCACACACCTCGGCCTCCCAAAGTCCTGGGATTACAGGCATGAGCCACCGTGCCCTGCCTGGGCACTTGTTCTTAACCAGTGGTGGGAACTTTTTCAAAATACAGTTATCTGAGAAATCACATGTTAGGATGCCTGAAATTACAGGAAATAATATTTAAAATGCCTATTCTTTACAATTAGAAAGTCATTTGATGAGTCTGGGGCAAAATCCTAACTTAACATTTTTAACAAGGACCCCAGAGGATTCTGATGTGGGTGATCTATGTAGATCACCCTGTGAAAACTACTACCCACTAGGTGATTATTTTCTTCTTTCTCAAGACCTTTCCGTAACTCCAACCCCATACCATCACCAAACTCACACACAGCTCCCTCACTGTCAATTTAAGGGAAAGTACCTAAGAAGCAACCATACGGAGGGCAGGACTGACCTCTCAGAAGAGTGAGACCATCGTCAGGAGTTGGCCTGTAAGAGAACTAGCTCACCTCCACAGCTGGCCTGAGATTTCCCCCAGAAAACAGTTCTTGATCTATTTCAACACAAACGTACCATCATGTACCCACAATTCTGTGTCACACAGCATAACCGTGATAAGCTCAGCCAATAATATTTCTTTATGGGCCACTGTAGACATTTTCAAAAATCCCAACACACTGATAGAACATCTCATTTTCAGTAATTTAACACCTAGAGAAAGATCTTTCTTGCTGTGTCTGTGCACACACTTACCTATCTTCTACTGTCTTATTAGAAGGATAAAAAACTTTGAATGAAAATCCACTTCTTGGAAAAGAGCCCTTTGGGGGAGAAAAATGCCTGTAAGTGAATGCTCAGACTTTTTTTTAAAATAAATTTTTTTAAACACAATATGTATATTTTTTATTTTTTATTTTATTTATTTATTTTTTTTTTGAGACATGGTCTCACTCTCATCACCCAGGCTGGAGTGCAGTGGGGCAATCTCACTGCAACCTCCATTTCCGGGATTCAAGCGATCTTCCCATCTCAGCCTCCCAGGTAGCTGGGACCACAGGCATGGGCCACCACGCCTAGCTAATTTTTGTATTTTTTGTAAAGAGGGACAGGGTTTCACTGTGTTGCCCAGGCTAGTCTTGAACTCTTGGGCACAGGTGATCTGCTCACCTCGGCCTCTCAGAGTGCTGGGATTACAGGCATGAGCCACCGTGCCCAGCCGAATACTCAAGTTTTATAAAATAATTCCTGTTTTTTAAAAGTCCTTGGTTGTGACTTAAAATGACAAGATGTGACTATAAAGTAACACAACAGATTTTTACACGATCTTTTTACAGAGTTGTTACTATAAAATATCTCCACTTGAAGCAAAAGTCTTTTGAGTTGGCTAGACAGTCTTAATGCTAAAAGATGAGGTTGGAAATGCTTAGGAGGAGCTCTACTTAGTGTAAAAAATAAACAGACTGTGTAACGCCAAATATGCATGTGAGACAATCAGCAAGTTCAAGAAGTCTTTCCTGCCCCTCTCTCTAATGCAAAACTGATTTGCATTCCTATGTACCTGTTTGATTCCCTTCCTATGTGCCTGTAAAGCAACTGAGCAATAATCACACATACAATTGTTTGTCTACTATGAAACTCTCACGTGGCTGAGCAGAGGCCCTGTCTTTTCAGTCTTTGTGCCCCAAGCACCGAACCCAACACCTAGCCTATGGCAGGCATTCGTTAATGTGAATAAATATCAAGAAAGGATGAAGTAATGTCTAAGGCTAGTTTTGAGCTTGCCCAAAAGGTATAAATAAGGTAAAAAAGATATAATGATGGTGTAGGAGGTGGTGGTTTACTCACAGGGATGAAAAAGTAGAAAAATTCAGAAATAAGGTATATTCAAATAGAGCATTAACTAGGAGAATGCCCAAAGTTTAAGTAAGGAAATAGCATCACCATGAAAGACTATTTCAATGTGAATAAAAATCAGGTCATAAATTTCTAAGCAATAAAACCAAATCAGTTAACTGTGTTCATTCTTAAAGCAGAGGCTCTTAACCAGGGTTCCTTTGTCCCTCAGGGGGACATTTGGCCAGTGTCTGGAGACATTTCTGATTGTTACAGCTGGGGAATACTACTGGCATTTAGTGGACAGAGGCCAGGGATGCTGCTAAACAGCTTACAATGCACAGGATAGCCCCCACCACCAAAAATTACTTGGTCCAAAATGTCAAAAGTGCCAAGGCCGATAAGCCATGTCTTAGAAGAAGCTGGACAAACTGTGTGTTTGAGGAAAGCAAAGTAGAGACAGGCCCTTTCTATGTTGCCCATGCTGGTTGTGAACTCCTGGACTCAAGCCATCTTCCTGCCTCGGCCTCCCAAAGTGCTGGGATTACAGGCCCAGCATCATGCCAAAAATAAGGCATGATGTTTCTAGAAATTACTCAGATGAAACAAAAAATTAGTAAAGTCTAAAATTCACAAGAATCAAGGAAGCATGCATATTAAAAATCTCTAGTGGAGATAATATTTTGTTTGACATAACTGTGTTTATGTCATTGTTTATGCAGTATTTATTCTCCAAGTTCAAAAAGTCAATTATATTTCTTTCCCTTTTTTTTTTTTTTTTTTTTTTTTTTTGAGACGCAGTCTCGCTCAGCTGCCCAGGCTGGAGTGCAGTGGCGCGATCTTGGCTCACTACAAGCTCTGTCTCCCGGGTTCACGCCATTCTCCTACCTCAGCCTCCCGAGTAGCTGGGACTAGAGGCGCCCGCCACCTCGCCCAGCTAATTTTTTGTGTTTTTAGTAGAGACGGGGTTGCACCATGTTAGCCAGGATGGTCTCGATCTCCTGACCTCGTGATCTGCCCGCCTTGGCCTCCCAAAGTGCTGGGATTACAGGCGTGAGCCACCACACCCGGCCTATATTTCTTTTCTTTTTTTTTGAGATGGAGTCTCGCTCTGTCGCCCAGGCTGGAGTGCAATGGCGTGATCTCCGCTCACTGCAACCTCTGCCTCCCTGGTTCAAGCAATTCTCCTGCCTCAGCCTCCCAAGTAGGTGGGATTACAGGCGCGCACCACCACGCCCAGCTAATTATTGTAATTTTTAGTAGAGACGGGGTTTCACCATGTTGGTCAGGCTGGTCTTGAACTCCTGACCTCGTGATCCACCCACCTCGGCCTCCCAAAGTGCTGGGATTACAGGTGTGAGCCACCATACCTGGCCTAAAAGTCAATTATATTTCTGCAGAAATTCTGAAGCAACCTCAAGATTCTGAAGCAATTTCAAGGTTCTACATAAAATTAAGTAATAAAATATGTACCAATGAGGTTTCTATATTAATCAGGCTTAGATTTTTGGGACCTGTGCAATTTCCAAAAATCAAAATCATTCTCAAAGGACAAGTACCACCAATATGCAGGCTCTGAAGCAATTCCCAGAAAGGAATCCCAAGATAAGTTCTGAAGAGGAGAAAATTACTCTTTTGGATTTATGTTTTGGTATGCTTGTGGGTATGCTTGTTTTTTTGTTTTTTAAGTCATGTTACTTTATAGTCACTATACTGAAAGTTTAAGAACTTTCTGTGTATACCAACTTTCTGTGTATAGAAACTTAATTCAGTGTTTCACTAATAGCATATTTTTACTTCGACAATAATCTTATTAAATATATATTTTTAAATTAAAAAATGCACTCTAATCTTGATAAATAATGACTATATAAGATTAACTACATTCTTACAGGGTTTATGCAGAGGCATTCGGTATTTGTCGTAGTGAAAGGATCATATTTGTCTGCAATGACAAGTAGATCGGGCACAGGATACACTCTCAAAGCATAGTCATATGCCCAATACACTGGGCAGACATAAAGAGGTAGGGGAGTCAGATGTCCTTGGGATAAGATAGTCTTTACAAACTACAAAAGAGCACAAAACAAAGCAAACTTCAGTTCATTTGCAAAAGTGAAAATAGCTAAACAAATAATTTCAAATTAAATATTAATTACCAAAAGGAACCAGAAAATTTGAGAAACTAGGAAAGCTTTGACTCACAGAGCTTTGGGAGACACTAATTTAAAAGTGAAATAAACTATTCTGTATTTTAGGAAAAAAAATCTATGAGTTTTCATTTAATAACATATACATCATTATGCTGCCCAGGCTGGTCTCAAACTCCTGGCCTCAAGCAAGCCACCCAAAGTGCTGGGATTACAGGCATAAGCCACTGCACCTGGTCCATAAACTTTAAATATTATAAAATGAATAATAAAAATGCTCTGTAACATCTATTTCCGTACTTCTCAAATGGGGGTGTATGTAACCTGTGATTGACAACTATTGTCAGGGAACCTCGAAGCTACAAGATAAATACTGCACATTCTTGTGATATGGACATACTATATAAAATATGTAACCAATGGGATAAATAAGAACAGTTTATTAAAACAAATATACATATATTTTCAAGTATAATTTAAGAGTTTAAAAGGCAAAACACGAAGCTTGAAAGAAATTTCATGCTTATTCTCAGCTTTTCTCTGTCCTCTAAAGGACATACACTTAGGTAGAAAGCTGAGAAACACTGACTTCACTAACAAAAATTAACTTACTGACAAAAGTACGTTCAAACTATTTTGAACCATAAATAAATGTCCTAACCCAAGGACAAATTATTAAGTGGCTTAATAAAATTTTATATAATGCAACATGTAAGGCAGTTTAATAAAAAAGTTGTTTCACTTACGTGATTAGGAATAGCCAAATTGCTGCTAGGAAAACGGACGCAGTTTCTGCACATTTTATTTACTAAGTCTTCACGGAAGACAGTAATTTCCTGTGTACAGTACTGAATTCTGAAATGAAAACAGTAGTTGAATTTGACTTCTCAGAAAAAAATGATATTAATTTTAAAGGTAAAATCTCTTACAATACAACCCCATTCCCACATTCACTGTTCACCACACAAAACTTCAACCAGAGTCTGTCTATTCATCTATTCATTTAACAGCTATGTATTGAGCTCTTAATATATGCCTACCCCATTCTAGGGATTAGCGAACAGAACCAAAAGATCCCAGCCCTCATACAGTTTACATTCTAGTAGGGGGTGGGGCTGAGAAAATAAAAAGCGAACATAATCATATAGTATGTTTTAAGATAATTAAGCATAAGAGAAAAAGAAAAAGACAGGCTAAGAGGGACAGCATATGTGGTAAGAGAGAGCCTAGAAGGCGGGCATATTAATAGGATGATCAGAACAGGCCGGGCTCATAATTTAGTGTGACTTGAGCACAGGCTTGAAGCGGAAGAGGGACTTAGTCAAGCAGATACCCAGAGGAAGCGCACTGCAGGCAAAGGGAACAGATGGAGCCCAGGCCCTCAGACTGGAGCTCGCCTGGCATCCTTGAGGAACAGAAGGGAGGCTAGTGTGGCTGGAGTAAATGGGGAGGAGAGGAAATCAGAGAGGTAACGGAGCCAGATAACACAGGGCCTTGATTACCACTGCAAGGATACGGCTGTCACTAAATCACGAGGGGTCCCTTTTTCCAATGAGGGTCCCTTTTTCCAGGATCGGGAAGGTGGATGGGATATGCCTTATGCTTTACAGGATCACTTTCACACTGCGTTAAGAATAGAATACGGAGAGGAGAATGGCATGAACCCGGGAGGCGGAGCTTGCAGTGAGCCGAGATCGCGCCACTGCACTCCAGCCTGGGCAACAGAGCGAGACTCCGTCTCAAAAAAAAAAAAAAAAAAAAAAAAAAAAAAAAAAAAAAAAAAAAAAAAGAATAGAATACGGAGGGGAAGGAGTAAAAGCTGGAGACCAATTAGGAGGCTATTGTAATAATCCAGGCCGAGAAGATGGCAGAGCAGGGCTCCTCAACCTCCAGGCCATGGACTGGTACCAGTCCATGGTCTGTTAGGAACTGGACCACACAGCAGGAGGTGAGCAGCAGGCTGCAAGCAAGCAAAGCTTCATCTGTATTTACAGCCACTCCCCATCGGTTGTATTACATCCTGACCTCTGCCTCCTGTCAGATCAGCAGGGGCATTAGATTCTCACAGGAGCACGAATCCTGTTGTGAACTGTACACGTGAGTGATCTAGGCTGCACACTCGTTATAAGAATCTAATGTCTGATGATCTGTCACTGTCTCCCATCATCCCCAGATGGGACCGTCTGGTTTCAGGAAAACAAGCTTAGGGCTCCTACTGATTCTATATTATGGTAAGTTGTATAATTGTTTTATTATATATTATAATGTAATAATAATAGAAATAAAGTGCACAATAAGTGTAATACGCTTGAATCATCCCAAAATCACCCCCACCCCCCCTGGCGTCTGTCTCCCATAAGATCAGTCCCTGGTGCCAAAAAGGTTGGGGACCACTGTGGTAGAGGGTTGTGGAGGTAGAGGTATAGAGAGAGAGCAGATTCTGGATATAATTTGAAGTTAATGGGACTTCCTGAAAAAACATGTGAGAGAAACCCCAAAGTGTTTGGCCTGAACAACTGGAATAATCATTGTTCAGACCATGAAGGTGTCATGAACTAACATGGAGAAGTCTACAGAAGAGGTTAGGGACACTCGTGGGGAGGAAGATCAGGAGTTCACTTAGGTTGGGATGGTGATAAGTAGGCAACTGGATACCTGAGTCTGGAGTTTGGAAGGTAGGTTGAAGTGGAAATATAAATGTGGAAGGTGTCAATACACAGATGATACTTAAAGCCAGAGGACACTGGAGAAGGCCAGCAAAGGAGTGAATGTAGGCAGAAAAGAGGCGAACCAAGGCTGCCTCTGATGGTATTCCCACAGGAAGAACTTATGATTACAATGAGCAATACGAACAGTAAATAAGTAATCTTTGTATTCTTCCTTTGTAACCTTTCTTAAAGGATATGTAGTAATAATATCTATTTTTAAACTGCTATCCATTATTCAAGAGTCTGAATTGACTACCAATAAATTATTTAAATATAGTTAAACTATTTTCAAAGTTTTGAGAAACCTAAAACAAAAATAAATTTTCTTCTTATATTTATTCCATAACAGTCGAAATTCAGAGACACATTTTAGGAATCAAGTTAGTTTTTTTGTTTTTTGTTTTTTTTGTTTTTTTGTTTTTTGTTTTTTTGAGACAGGGTCTTGCTCTGTCGCCCAGGCTGCAGGCTGGAATGCAGTAGTGCATTCTCAGCTCACAGCAACCTCTCCACCTACCAGGCTCAAGTGATCCTCCCATCTCAGCCTCTTCATAGAACCACAGGCGCGTGCCACCAAGCCCAGCTAATTTTTGTACTTTTTGTAGAGATGGGTTTCACTGTGTTGCCAAAGCTGGTCTCGGAACTCCAAGCAACCTGCCTGCCTCGGCCTCCCAAAGTGCTGAGATTACAGACATGAGCCACCACACCTGGCTAATTTTTAAATGAAAGGAAAAATGTATAACACAAAATACTAATTCTTACCTGCAAGGATTAGTAGTAAAAACTGAAAATGGTACCCTTTGTCTGAATTCATTAGTGATGCTTTCAGCAAGTGGTGGCCTATAAAAACAATTTATGTGATATAGTTTATCTTTTTAAGTTTTACAAAATTTTCTACACTGTTGCAAAAATCTGAACAAAACTTACCTTGGTAAGATGGAACCAAATCCAGGATCCTCTGGACCAGGTACAAACACAAAACGACTACTGTAGCAAAATTCAACACAATTCATTTAAAAATATTATTGTAACACTATCCAATAGCTTAAAAGCAAGTTATTCCCTTTGTTTTCTCTTTAAAATTAAAAAACATTTAAATTTCATGCATTATAATAAATGAACTATTAAGTCTCCAGACCAACACTGTCTAGTAATGTCATGATAGAAAAGTTCTATATCTGCACTGCCCAATTGAACACTTGAATTGTGGCTAGCATAGCTGATGGACTGAATTTTATATTTAAATTTAATTAAACTTAGATTTAAAGAGACATGTGGCCAGTGACTATCATATCGGAGAGTGAAGCTCTAGACTCTTAAGAGTAATGCCACGAAGAAATTCCAAGTATGGCTGAAATTACCTCTATCCCTTTCAATACTTTTCATTATAAACCTCTAGTACAATGTGAGGATAACTTTATCTCTTAGTTCTTTTAATTTTCTCAACTTTATCTTTCTTCCTTAGTTTTGTAATAATTGCTGATATAACAAAATTCATTTTTTGTTTTTTTTTTAAGTAAAACGGTGAAAAAATATATAGTGCTAGAGATCATTACCTTTGGTGAATATCTGGGTATTCACATATTATATCTGCCAAAGTTTTTAGGGAATCTAAAATTTTAAAAAGGTATTGAATTAAATTTGCATATAATGCCATAAAATTATATTTGATTAGATACAATCCTGTATATTCTTAATTAAAATATTATGGATAATTTCTTATTACTTTAGTTTATATGACTATAGAAACACTTCTTATTAAATAGATCGTTAATACCTTTCAAAGCTTGAACTTGATTTTTTCCATATGGTGCAGATGAAAAATTACCACACAGAATAAAGCAGGTTGGAGGTGCTGGTGAATAACCTAAACAATAAAAGAGTAAATGAACAATACTTTTCTAGTCTACAAATCAAGTTAAAAACCCTTTAACCATGACTTTCTAATAATAAAAATTTATTTTAATTAAAATAACATTTTAATAACTTATTAAAATAATACTAATAACAGTAGCCATTCATTGAGCACTTACTATAGGCCAGGCCTGCATTGGCTTAATTACTCCTCAGAACATCCATAAAATCTGAGACTTAGGTTAAGTAACCTGCCCAGGGTAATAGGCTTGCACTTAAACCCAGTTTGTTTTTGTTTTTGTTTAGAGATGGGGTCTCACTATGTTGTCCAGCTGGTCTTGAACTTCAGGACTAATTCTTACTTATCATGACTATAAACACACACACACACACACACACACACACACACAGGTTTTTTTCTTAATGTAAAAATTTAAGTCTTTAAAATGAAATCTAATTTAAATTATCTCATTGCTAACTCTGTTTTTTTTTAAATAGAATACTCAAAAAGATAAATAGAATACTCAAAAAGTTTTAAAACATGAACCCTTAAAAGAGTTCAAGAAAGAAGAAAAAAAATAAGACCTACCAGCAAACATTATGCGAAGTTTTTCCAATACTTCCACCTGGTCCAACCAAACATCAGATAAAAACACAAACATAGCATCTTTATTCTCCTCTTCTAGCTGTTTTAGTTTTGCAGAAGTCTTCACAGATGTATTAGAAGGACCTCCAAAAAAATTAATATTTCCATAGTATGCCCTAGATAATTATAACATAATTATCTTCTATATACCACTAGAGATATTTTTCTAATAGTTGTATACATTTAGCTTCTTTGTATCTAATGAAGTTATTTTCCAGTGTAAAAAGGTACTCTTTGTAACACTTTAAAAGTACAAAGGTTATCTAAATATTCTAAAACAAGATAAGCAATATGGAAGCAGTAAATAAAATAATAGGCTATATCTGTGTCTTAAAACTGACTAAACGGCCGGGCACGGTGGCTCACGCCTGTAATCCCAGTACTTTGGGAGGCCGAGGCGGGCGGATCACGAGGTCAGGAGATCGAGACCATCCTGGCTAACACAGTGAAACCCCATCTCTACTAACAATACAAAAAATTAGCCGGGCGACGTGGCGGGCGCCTGTAGTCCCAGCTACTCTGGAGGATGAGACAGGAGAATGGCGTGAACCCCGGGGGGCGGAGCCTGCAGTGAGCCGAGATTGCGCCACTGCACTCCA
Source organism: Homo sapiens (assembly GCF_000001405.40). Classification (NCBI taxonomy): domain Eukaryota; kingdom Metazoa; phylum Chordata; class Mammalia; order Primates; family Hominidae; genus Homo; species Homo sapiens. Next base: position 49,656,327 of record NC_000014.9, read on the forward strand.
ACCTGGGCGACAGTGAGACTCTTGTCTCAAAAAAAAAAAAAAAAAACTGACTAAAGCAAACATTAAAATAATAATTTCCTATGTCACTGAAAGTAGAAGAAATGAGTACACCATTTGAACAATATCTCATAGAAACCTCAAAATATGTGCTAACCATCTGCCCAAGTAATTCTACTTCTGGAATGGCTAATCCTAAGGAATTAAAGATATATACAAAGACTAGCCTATATCCAAGAACTGTGAAAAAATTATTCAACGGTTCCTTCAAAGCTTGGTTTTATTCAATGCTCACCAAGCAAGGGTCAGTAGGAAAGTGGGTAATCTACACACTCCCAGCCTCCACCACTCTTGCCCACTCTACACTGACATCCTGCAGTTCCCAGCTTAAATGCAAATACCCCATAGGCCTCCTCTGAGGATCCCAAAAGAGGTTAGATTTTCCCATTATACACTCTCATAGGAACCTGTACTTCTCCTTTGCAGATCTTATCAAATTTGTAATCAGGCCAGGGTGGCTCACACCTATAATCCCAGCACTTTGGGAGGCCGAGGTGGGGGGATTGCTTGAGGTCAGGAGTTCAAAACCAGCCTGACCAACATGGTGAAATCCACCCCATCTCTATTAAAAATGTGAAAATTAGCCGGGCATGGCAGCAGGCACCTATAATTCCAGCTACTCGGGAGGCTGAGGCAGGAGAATCGCTTGAACCTAGGAGATGGAGGTTGTAGTAAGCCGAGATCATGCCACTGCACTCCAGCTTGGGCAACAAAGCAAGATTTTGCCTCAAAAAAAAAAAAAAAAATTGTAGTCAGCCAATTGTAATTGGGCGATTGTTTCATGTCTGTCTCCCCACCTAGTGGCAATACAGTATGTGCTCAAAACATATTTCCTGAATGTCACGAATCATGCTATAAAACAATATTTCACAGTAATAGAAAATGTTGATAGCATATTATTAGATGAAAAACACAGGTTACAAAGCAAGGTACAGTATGTATCCATTTATAATGCCAAAAAAAGGGAATAGATATAGACCTGTGCATTCATGCATAAAAAGAAACTCTCCAGATATACACATACATATCTTGTTATAGTTGATTCCTTTTTTTTTTTTTTCTTTTTTTTGACGGAGTCTCATGCTGTCTCCCAGGCTGGAGTGCAGTGCTGCAGCGGTGCGATCTCAGCTCACTGCAACCTTCATCTCCCGGGTTCAAGCAATTCTCCTGCCTCAGCCTCCTGAGTAGCTGGGATTACAGGCACATGCCACCGCATCCAGCCAATTTTGTATTTTTAGTAGAGATGGGGTTTCACCATGTTGGCTAGGCTGGTCTTGAACTCCTGACCTCAAATGATTCACCCTCCTCGCCCTTCCGAAGTGCTGGGATTACAGGCATGAGCCACCACGCCCAGCCAGTTGATTCTTGTTATTAGTGATATTATGTTCTATAAAATCTCCACAAACAATGAATTGGCAAACACTGAACCATTGCTCCTTGGGAAAATTTGTACTTATATATACATGGATTGATTATAGTCTTAAGTCCTAAAACCAATTTATCCTGGTAGATTCTATTTTTACAAATGAGAAAAGTTGGTTCAGAAATGTTAAGTGACTTATCTGAGGTTGCTCCAAAAACAGGTGCCAGAGGTGAGATTCAAATGCCCCCTCCCCACACAAAACTGGCCCCAGGGCCAGAGCTTCTTGCACTACCCTGTACTGCTCCCTGCAGTCTCTGTCCTCTGGTCATCTTTTTTTTTTTTTCTTTTGAGACAGAGTCTCGCTCTGTCCCCCAGGCTGGAGTGCAATGGCATGATCTCGGCTCACTGCAAGCTCTGCCTCCCGGGTTCATGCCATTCTCCTGCCCCAGCCTCCCAAGTAGCTGGGACTACAGGCACCTGCCACCACGCCCGGCTAATTTTTTGTAGTTTTAGTAAAGACAGGGTTTCATCGTGTTAGCCAGGATGGTCTCGATCTCCTGACCTCGTGATCCGCCCGCCTAGGCTTCCCAAAGTACTGGGATTACAGGCCTGAGCCACCGCGCCCGGCCCCTCTGGTCATCTCTTAATGAGGCTGAAACAAGAAGGCAGTATGGCCTGTTCGACTTCAGCTGGGAACATGCATGCCAGGTGACTCAAAATTTTTTGCTGTTCTGCTAAGCATAAATGACCACTAAAGCACCTTTAGTATTGACTTTAGGAGGTACAAAAACATTTTAGCACAAATCTGTAAATTAATGAGGATCTACTACATATGGACTGTCATGCACGGCATAAAAACGTTTTGGCAATGACGGACTGCATATATGAGTGGTTTCACAGAATGATAATGGAACTGAAAAGCTCTTATTGCCTACTGACATCTTAGCTGTCACAATGTCCTAGTGCCACACATTACTGTGTCTGTAGAGACACTGGTGTATACAACCTACTGAGCTGCCAGTTGTAGGAAAGTACAGCACATATAATAATGTACAATATGTAACACTTGATAACAATAATAAATGACTATGTTACTAGTTTATGTATTTACTGTACTTTTAATCATTATTTTAGAGTGTAGTCCTTCTACTTTTTTTTTTAACTGTAAAACAGCCTCAGGCAGGTCCTTCAGGAGGTCCTTCAAGAAGAACGCATTGTTACTACAGATGGCAGCTCCATGAATTATTGCCCCTGAAGACTTTCCAGTGGACAAGATGTGGAGATGAAAAACAGTGATACTGATGATTCTGTGTATAGGCCTAGGTTAATACACTTGTTTTAGTTTTTAACAAAAAAGATTTTTAGAAAATATAAAGATGGAAAAAAGTGGCTGGGCACAGTGGCTCATGCCTGTAATCACAGTACTTTGGGAGGCTGAGGTGGGAGGATTGCTTGAGGCCAGGAGTTCGAGACCAGCCTGAGCAACATAGTGAAGACCCCCACCAATCCCTACACAATTTTTTTTTTTTAATTAGCAGTCTTAGCTACTTGGGAAGCTGAGGCAGGAGGAACACTTATGTCCAGGAATTTGAGGTTGCAGTGAGCTATAATCATATCACTGCATTCCAGCCTGAAGAAGAGAGTACAGTTGTATCAGTAAATCAATTAATCAATAAAAGAAAAAAGCTCACAAAATCAGGATACAAAGAAACAATTTTTGTGCAGCTGTAGAATGTGTTTGTGTTTTAAGCTGTTTATTACAAAAAGAGTCAAAAATTTAAAATTTTTTAAAGGTTATAAAGAATGTTATAGTAACTAAAGTTAATTAATTTTATTAAAAAATTTTTATTTCAAGACAGGGTCTTCCTTTGTCACTCTGGCTGAAGTATAGTGGCACAATGATAATTCACAGCAGCCTTTAACTCCTGGGCTCAAGCAATGCTGCCACTTCAGCTTGCCAAGTAGCTAGGACTACAGGTACACACTGCCACACCCAGCTAATTTTGTTGTTGTTGTTGTTGGTAGAGATGAGGTTTTGTTATGTTGTCTAGACTGGTCTCAAACTCCTGGCCTTAAGCAACACTCCCTTCAGCCTCCCAAAGTGCTAGGATTGATTATAGGTGTGAGCCACTGTGCCCAGGCTAGGTTAATTTCTTACTGAAGAAAGAAAACTCTTTTTAAACAAATTTAGTGTAGCCTAAGTATACAGTGTTAATAGCCTACAGTAGTGTACAGTAATGTCCTAGGCCTTCAAATTCACTCACTACTCACTCACTGACTCACTCAGAGCAACTTCCAGCCCTGCAAGTTCCATTCATGATAAGTGTTCCATACAGGTGTACCAATTTTATATTTTATACCATATTTTTACTTTATCTTTTCTGTATCTAGAGAGACAAATACTTATCATTGTGTTACAGTTGCCTATAGTATTCAATACAGCAACGTGTCACACAGGTTTGTAGCACAGAAGCAACAGGCTGTACCATACAGCCTTGGTGTACAGTGGGCTATATCATCTAGGTTTGTATAAGTACACTGTGATGTTTGCACAGTGACATAATCACCTAACAACACATTTCTCAGGATGTATCCCCGTTGTTATGCAATACACAACTGTATATACATATATAAAGTAATGTTAACAGTTTTTTTCTGTTTAGTAAAATTACAGGTGATTTTCCTTTCCTTTTGTGTGCCTTCATATATTTTCTAATTTTTTTTTTTGCAATCATGAACTACATTATTAATAAGAAAAAACTTTTCTTTTTTTAAAGACTCAACTACTTTTCCAATGCAGCATACTGGCTTGAGTCGGAAACCTTGGGATCAAAGCACATCTCTAACAATAAAAAGTTTGGGCCAGGCACAGTGGCTCACACCTATAATCCCAGCCTCCCTCTGGGAGGCCGAGGCCAGTGGATCACCTGAGGTCGGGAGTTCAAGACCAGCCTGACCAACATAGCGAAACCCTGTCTCTACTAAAAATACAAAATTAGCTGAGTGTGGTGGCACATGCCTGTAATCCCAGCTACTTGGGAGGCTAAGGCAGGAGAATCACTTGAAACCGGGAAGTAGAGGTTGTGGTGAGCCAAGATGGTGCCATTGCACTCCAGCCTGGGCAACAAGAGCAAAACTCCGTCTTAAAAAAAGTTTGTGACCATGGACAAATTACCCAACCCTTCTTTTTTGGGGGGTAGGGGGACAAAGTCTCAGTGTGTCACCCAGGGTGGAGTGCAGTGGCAGGATCTCAGCTCACTGCAACCTCCGCCTCCAAAGTTCAAGCGATTCTCTCACCCAAGTAGCTGGGACTACAACCGCATGCCACCACACCTGGCTAATTTTTGTATTTTTAATAGAGACAGGGTTTCACCATGTTGCCCAGGCTAGTTCTGAACTCCAAAGCTCAAGCGATCCACCCACCTCAGCCTCCCAAATCGACACTTCTTAACCTAACTCTTCAAATGCAAAAAAAAACTAAACTGATATCTACTGCACAGGGTTACTAGAAGGAATACAAGTGATAATGTACAGAAAGCCCACAGGGCACAGTGCTTAGTACGGTGTGAGCCCTTAGATATGGTAACTGATATTGTTATTGTTCCCACCAAGTGGACCAACTGGCATTTTCAAAGGTACAGTAATAATTTTATAGTTGCTAGAGGAATGCAGTAAGTAGACATAATTGTATGATGATTTCAGTTAAGCATATACCCAAACATAAATCAGAGCATCACAGAAACACCTATTAAGCTAAATATTGAGAAATTAAACTTCAGAAAAGCCTTACTCACATCTTCCGTTTAAAAAAAAATTATTTGCATTAACTACACAATGGTAGGGAGGGTATTGAGTCAGTGTAAATCTCTTTAGGATAGGACCATGCTGTAGACCTATTTGCACTTATTTGTAAAACAGTATTTTACACATAAAACATACTCACTAAAATATTAGTTGTTGAATTGATTGACTACCACCAGATTTAGCCCCCTGAATTTTATATTTTGAAGGCATTTTAGAGAAAATTTATAATCCTAACAAGAATAAAATGATCATTTTATTTTAATGTACTTTATTACACCTCATACCAATCCTTTGGTTTACTAAGCATATACTAAGCAGTTGGATTTAGAGAAAATGGTATAATTTAAGTGGAAAATTATTTGAAACATTATAATAATGATCTCTTGGCTAAAGAGAAACAAATGGTAAACTCACAGCCAGCCAACTCAACTATACCTCTCATTCCAAAGTAGTAATTTTGAAGCTTGTACAAAACAAAAATACCATGACAATGGCAATTTTGCTCTAAATATATTCCAAAGGAAACTTACCATATTGGAAAAAAGCCACAAACTGCACCAAAAGCACTCAAATAGAGGTGAGCTTGGCTTGATTAGGGCTTGTGTTCTCCTTAGCAAGATCAGCACCTTTCCCTCAGTTACTTCAACAGCAAGAGTAGATGCTCTGCACAGGCCGCCCTGCCAGTAAACTCCCAGCCAGGAAATGTTGCCTTTGCACCTTGAATTTATACAGGCATACTAAAACTAAAATCCTTGTTGTTGTTGTTGAGACGGAGTCTCGCTCTGTTGCCAGGCTGGAGTACAGTGGTGCGATCTCGGCTCACTGCAACCTCTGCCTCCTGGTAAAACTAAAATCTTAATCTTTATGCTTCCTTTTGAAATCATCACCATTATACAGAATCTCATGGTTAGAAGGCAACTACTTTAATTCCCCCAGAGGTGGCAAACTCAAATGCTTACAGGCTCCAGGAAGATAACACTAAATAGCAAAGCAGCAGTCCACTGACACTAACTAGGGCACACATACATGCCCTGCCCAAAGTGGGCAACCACTGCAGTTTAGTTTTTGCTGTGTGAGAATTCAGGCTCTGTATTGCCAGATCCTCCTGTTAAGAGAACTCTGAAACCTAGGCCTTTATGAGAAATCTTCTAGTTTTTATACACTGGAAACTAACTCGAAATGTTTTTAAACACCTCAAAGTGGGGAGAAGAAAAGAAAGGTCTATAAACTACTTTCAACCCATGGGACACCAAGTACAATTTTTATACTATCATTCAGGTTCTGCCCAAATAATTCAAGTGACAGGGAGCTCAGCTCCTCTAAGAGAAGGCCATTTTGGAATAGCTCTAATATTATGATGCTTTCACTTATATTAAGGAGCTATAAGCTACCTCACATAACTTTCATTCATTGGAATATAAAAATGAGAATTTTATATTAACATGGAATTATATTCTTCTAAGTGTTATCCTAGTTGTCTTATCTCACTTCAACTTCTCATCAACCCCAGAGATAAAACAGACTGGAAATCTTTCCCAGTTAAAGCCGAAGTACAAAGACGGTATTGCAACTAATTGTTGGCCAATCTGCTAGTTTTCACATTACATACAAAACCCAGTCTTCTAATTCTCATTTTCCATTGCTTTTTCCATTTTGACACAAAGCCTGACACCTTTTAGTAACTGAGATATGACGTACTATCTTACATTCACTCCTGCCAGTATTACCAAATTCCCATAGAGTATAAACCAAACATTTTAATACCTAGTAGTACTAGAGGGCTCAGTGGGTGGAAATCCAAAGGCATTGACATGAAACACTTGATCTTCAAACCAACCTGAAAAAAAGTAACGTCACTTTCATTTGTCTAATCCTCTATGTTTGAAAGGACAAAATTATGTTACAACAAAGCAATAATGCCAGGCTAGTCTCATGCCCTGTGAACTAATTACAGAGGTTGCCAACCTCAATGAACCACAGTGAACAACTTTAGATCCACAGAGAGTCTCAACTTATAAAATTCATTAAATAGAAATAGATTCAGAACTTTTCACTTTTCAGTTTGGCAGTACGTGTTGATACAGATTAGGAAATGTTTCATTTTATGGCCCTATATAAAATTAAGTGTTTTTTTCAACTTTATTGAGGTATCGTTCACATACTATACAATTCACCCTTTAAAAATATATAATTCAGGGCCGGGTGCAGTGGCTCATGCCTGTAATCCCAGCACTTTGGGAGGCTGAGGCGGGCGGATCACAAGGTCAGGAGATCGAGACCATCCTGGCTAACACAGTGAAACCCCGTCTCTACTAAAAATACAAAAATAAAAAAAAATTAGCCAGGCGTAGTGGCAGGCGCCTGTAGTCCCAGCTATTAGGGAGGCTGAGGCAGGAGAATGGTGTGAACCCGGGAGGCAGAGCTTGCAGTGAGCCGAGATCGTGCCATTGCACTCCAGCCTGGGTGACAGAGTGAGACTCCATCTCAAAAGAAAAAAAAAAAAAGTATATAATTCAGGCCGGGCATGGTGGCTCACGCCTGTAATCCCAACACTTTGGGAGGCCGAGGCGGGTGGACTGCCTGAGCTCAGGAGTTTGAAACCAGCCTGGGCAACATGGTGAAACCCCGTCTCTACTAAAATACAAAAAATTAGCTAGGCATGGTGGCATGCGCCTATAATCTCAGCTACTCGGAAGGCTGAGGCATGAGAATCACTTGAACCCGGGAGGCGGAGGTTGCAGTGAGCCGAGATCGCGCCACTGCACTCCAGCCTAGGTGACAGAGTGAGACTCTGTCTCCAAAAAAAAAAGAAAAAAAAAAAAAAGGGTGTGTAATTCGGTGATTTTTAGTATATTCACAAGTTGTGTAGCCATTACTACTATCTAATTTCAGAACATTTTCATCACCCCAAAAAGATTTCTATTAGCCCATTAACAGTCTAAGAGTTATTTTGCCAAAAATATGCTCTTCTAATTAATGGTATCCCAAATTATATCATGTTAACATATTTTACCCAAAGCAGAAAGTTTTACTGGAGAATGAGAAGAAGGACAGTAACAAAGTATACTGACTTACCTTCTGCTAAGACAAAGCATGCCTCTGTGTATAAACCACTATGGAACTGGTACACAACAGTTGAGGAAAATAATTCTATTCTTGAGGCAGTAATAAAGTCAACATACATTTTGAGTCCAACAAGGCTTCTAAATAATAAATTTAAAGACTTCCCATTTGAAACTGTGAATAGACCACAGCTTAGAAAGAGCTTAAAAAATTTTAGTTTTAAATGTCCTCATGTTTAATTCTTGGTAATATTGACAGGGTGGATCATTCTTACCATGATATAAATTTCGTCAGTGATTCATCTAGATTCTCCAAATAAGAGAAAATTAAAGTTGTTCTGTCCCTGTTTAGGATTATATCTCTACATTCCTACACCAGCAACATAGAGAAGTTACATTGAGAACCCAAATAGGTAAATTTTAGAAGGATATATAATCAATTTCCCCAATTCACGTAATGCAGATTTTAAAAAATACAGACAAGTGAAGGATATAGCTTTACTAAGGTCTAGTTGGACTGTTCCAGTAGGATCTTCCAGAAAAAATTTTCCCTAAAAAAATGAAAATAAATAAATCCACATTTATGTAACAATGAAAACCGTTGACAAAAAAATTAAACTACAAGTTTGACAACAGAATACAATAGGGAGAAAGTGGATTTTAAAAATCAGCTATTATTTCTAGTCCAGGCTCTTCCATTTACTAGTCTGATAACCCCAGACTAATCACTTAACTGAGATTCTGACTCCTCACAGGTACAATGGAGAATGACTCCTACAGATAAGAAATGGCAAGAGGGACATTTGATGTCTGCCATAAGGAGGGTCTCCCCAGGTACCTTCTAAGACAGCCAACAGCATGTCCAAGGGACCAGGACATACTCTGCAGCTTGCTTGTTCAGAAACCCAGTACTCTCCGTTTATCCAGAGGTCACTACAGGCCTAATTTCAGGCTATGCAAACTGGGCTCCTGCACAAGACACTCTGTCCTGATGTCTTCTCAGGAAACCAAACACAGATGAAAAAGACACTTGGTGACTGAGAAAAGGTTTTTGTTTTTTCTGGGTTTTTTTTTTTTTTTTTTACTATTACAAAAGTTTATTTAACAAAAAGTCTAATATGAAAATGTACATGACCTAATTTTTACGTCATTGTAAAACAGGCCCTATGGAGAGAGAAAATGGGTTTCTCTGCTGAACAGCCATTATTATTTTATTTATTTATTTATTTTTGAGACAAAGTTTCGCTCTTGTTGCCCAGGCTACAGTGCAATGGCACCATCTCAGCTCACTACAACCTCCACCTCCCGAGTTCAAGGAATTCTTCTGCCTCAGCCTCCTGAGTAGCTGGGATTACAGGCATGTGCCACCACGCCTGGCTAATTTTGTATTTTTAGTAGAGACAGGGTTTCTCCATGTTGGTCAGGCTGGTCTTGAACTCCCGGCCTCAGGTGATCCGCCCACCTCAGCCTCCCAAAGTGGCTAGGATTACAGGCGTGAGCCACCGCGCCCAGCCAACAGCCATTATTTATCCTTGTTCCAAGGCTTCTGACATGATGATACTATTTCCTCGTATTACCACTATTCCAATATTGTTCTGTTGGTGAGGCGAGTTTTCAATAAAGAATACATTCCTGTGCCCACTACAAAAATGTTCTATGTAACCGACATTTCATCAATCCAAGGCCAAAAATAAAAGTTTGATGCTTATTAAGTTACCTCTTTTAACTGCGTTATCATTCCAAGAACAATCGCATCTCCGATTTTGGTTGTACTACCCAATAAGGTTTCTATTGTTTTAAGCTAAAATAAAACAAAATAAATTTTAAAGACTGTAAATATATTCTTTCAAGAAACAAAACTTTTTATAAATAACTATATTTGGGGTATACATTTCAGCATTTATAGCTACTTTACAGTAGAAAATCAAATAAAATGGAAATAAAGTTGTAAAATTAAACTTAGGATGTTTAATTTTGTCCTACAAAAAAGCTGTAAGATCAAGTGTATGATGCCTAAAGAAACACCACATCGACTCAGGCTCTTACCAATGACTGAATCCTCACACCATATCATTCTGAATAATGATAAGTACATTTATTTTTTAAATATAGAAAAGAATATCAATTTTATTTTCTTTGAACAGTACCTTTTGAAAACTAGCAAGCTATTTAAAAATATATATTCCAATTTTACTTAGTATTTTAAAAGGCTCTCATTATTATTTACATTCTCAATCTGATCTTTTTTTCTAATCAGAAAGTTTAAGGTAGTAAAAATTGGGACACTATTGTAAAAAATCCTTTCCGGCCAGGTGCAGTGGCTCACGCCTGTAATCCCAGCACTTTGGGAGGCCGAGGCAGGCGGATCACGAGGTCAGAAGATCAAGACCATGGTGAAATCCTGTCTCTACTAAAAATACAAAAAATTAGCCAGGCATGGTGGCAGGCGCCTGTAGTCCCAGCTACTCGGGAGGCTGAGGCAGGAGAATGGTGTGAACCCGGGAGGCGGAGCTTGCAGTAAGCCGAGATCGCCTTGCATTCCAGCCTGGGTGACAGAGCAAGACTCTGTCTCAAAAAAAAAACAAAAAAAACAAAAAACTTTCCATCTTTTTCTATATGTAATCCTAAATATATGTAAATACATACATATATAATTTATAACACACACCTATACAGTTTATTTACAAAGATGAAATCATAGTATATGTACTATTCTGCAACTTAACTAATTGAAGTTAATATTATCTGAGACATCTTTCCATTTTTCTACATATAGATTTCCTTCTGTTTAAAGAATAGAGATATCTATATTATACATATGACCATTTATTTCACCAAACTCCTATTAAAGGACATTTAAGTTGTTCCCAGTTTTCTACTAATAAAAACAATGTTTAATATTTCTGTGCAACTTTCTTGGCCCACTACACAGATAGAAACTTTTTTTTTTTTTTTTGAGATGGGGTTTCACATTGCCCAGGCTGGAGTGCAGTGGCACTCTCATACCTCACTGCAGCCTTAAACTGGGCTCAAGTGATCCTTCCACCTCAGCCCCCTGAGTCACCAAGATTACAGGCACTAGCCACTGCATCCAGCTACAGATAATAACTGTTGAATAAAGTTCTACACATTCTAGAAACACAATTGCTAGATAAAAGGATATATAAGTTTTCATATTTATAGAAATTACCAAGTGGAGCTTCTTTTATCTTTACGTTTTATCTTTATGTTTTCTTATTACAAATAATTCATGTTTACTATAGAAAAAAATTTAAAATATAGACAAGAAAAAAATAAAAACTTATATAATCCCATCATTCCATAATAATCACATTAACATTTAATACTGGAGTTACTCTTAAAAAATATGAACCAAGGACTGGGCGTGGTGGTTCACGCCTGTAATCCCAGCACTTTGGGAGGCTGAGGCGGGCGGATCACTTGAGGTCAGGAGTTCAAGACCAGCCTGGCCAACATGGCAAAACCCCATCTCTACTAAAAATACAAAAAAATTAGTTGGGCATGGTGGTGTGCACGTATGTCCCAGCTACTCAAGAGGCTGAGGCAGAATTGCTTGAACCTGGGAAGCGGAGGTTGCAGTGAGCCAAGATCGCACTACTGAACTACAGCCTGGGTGACAGAGCAAGACTCTGCCAGAAAGAAAGGAAAGGAAAGGGAAGGAGGAAGGGGGAAGGGGGAAGGGAAGGCAAAAGAACCTAGCTAAGAGTAGTGGTGCACACCTATTGTCCAAGCTACTCAGGAGGCTGGGGCAGGAGGATCACTTGAGGCCAGGAGTTCAAGACCAGCCTGGGCAACATGACAAGACCCCATGTCTCTATCAAAAGAAAAAAAAAAAAAAGAACCTAAAACAACACAAGAGAAGTAAAAATAACAGTATTTTTTAGCACATCATTTTTGCAATTGGTAAAAGGATATTATACAGGTAGATAAATGTAATTTAAGTAGGGAATGTGCCATCACAGATACAGAATTAAGACAGTTTGAAAAGAATAATTATTTAGTTAAGCCTTAAAATTACTTTGTCAAAGAGGAGAAAAGGGAAAAGGCTCCTGGGCTGTGGGCATCTCAGTTGCCAGAGAAAACCTAATATAGAAAACATATAGATGATCTTTGGTAGGGAAATATAAGTAATGTCAATTTCTAAAATCTAATTTATACTCTAATAAAAGTTTTGTTTGTTTGTTTGAGAGGGGTCCTTACACTGTCACCCAGGCTGGAGTACAGTGGCATGATCTCAGCTCACTGCAGCCTCAACCTCCCAAGCTCAAGTAATCCTCCCACCTCAGCCTCTCCAGTAGCTGGGACCACAGGTGCACAACATCACGCCTGGCTAATGTTTTTTATTGTTTATAAAGATGAGGTCTTACTATGTTGGCCAGGTTGTGGGACCCATTTGTGTTCTCTTATTCATTCTATAAATGTTGTTTCCTTAGTACCTTAAGTTTTCACTTCAACCAATATAACACATTCTAGTTCAATAACTGTGTGTGGTGGTCACTGAGGGATGAGTTGGGCAAGGAACCAGCATTTGAGTTCCTTAGTGTTATGGTCACTAAGGGATGAGTGAGGGCAAGAAAAGAAATGTTGAAAAGTTATCAGAAAGCCAGTGTAGTATCCAAATGAGCTAGGAATCTACCTTGGAGGCCAGAGTGTATCTGGGGCTAGCATCGTATCAGGGCCTTCTCAAAGGAAGCAGTAGCTTCTGTTAGAGATTTGTGGGACACAGGACTCTAGGAATGGACTGTATCAAAAGTGGGCATGCAGCCCATCCAGTTAGCTAAACAGTTACCAATAGTTTATTTTCATTTAAAATTCAATGAATTAGAATTAAGCAACAAATATTAAACTTACACACTTATACCCCCTACATAACTAGGATAATGTTCTAACCTGGAATTTGCTTCCGCTTTCATCAGGGTGAGAACCTATCACCGGAGGAGTAAATAATTCATGCCTGTGGGTCCTCTATAAAAAAGAAAGATTCACATGAATTCCTGAAACAGACATTTAAATATAAGATTCATTAAAATAGTGCCCTGATGAAACACTGTCCTTAAACTAATGTCACTATTACTTATTCTCCACAAATTTGAAAACCCACATAATTTAACATACAAATATCTAGTAATGTAAGTTTTAAAATTTAAGACAAAAAAAATGTAAAAATTTTAAAGGTCTATTGTGTGTATGGCAGCAGCACATTGTAGGCTGAGGATATGAAGAACAACCAAGTGTCACCCTGAGAGCATTGGGGCTAGTGAAAGAGAAGTGCCACCACACAACAAAGTTCTGTGAGGGCTGACTGTACCCCAGGCCAAAGGGGCCACTGAACAACAGCCCAGATGATAAATAAGATTTGGGTAGTAAGAAACAAAAGGAGTCTGAGATAAGACATTTCAGGGCCAGGCGCGGTGGCTCACACCTGTAATCCCAGCACTTTGGGAGGTCGAGGAGGGCGGATCACCTGAGGTCAGGAGTTCGAGACCAGCCTGGCCAACATAGTGAAACCACGTCTCTACCAAAAATACAAAAATTAGCTGGGTGTGGTGGCAGGTGCCTGTAATCCCAGCTACTCAGGAGGCTGAGGCAGGAGAATTGCTTGAATCCAGGAGGCAGAGGTTGCAGTGAGCTGAGATCGTGCCACTGCACTCCAGCCTGGGCAACAAGAGCGAAACTGTGTCTCCAAAAAAAAAAAAAAAAAAAAAAAAAAAGACATTTCAGGCAGAGAAATTATAAGAGTTAGAGTATTTAGGAAGCTATGCAAAGTTTAATACAGTTGAATTATGCGGTGCACAAGGTAGAACATGAGACAAGGCCAGAGATTAATAAGATCCATGTGGAGATACTTCCCTCCCCAACTCTCAGTCCATATAGTTTAGGTAGGATTGATACCCCTTCCCCCTTCTATAGATAGGAATTCAAGGTCTAGAAAATGAAAGTACTCCATCCTTTGGCCAGTGATTGGTTCAAGGATGAGCAAGTGCTTCAAGGTAGGCTCAAAAGAGACAGATTCAAGACTTTTGCTAGAGCTATTAGAAAAGAGGAACTCTCTTTCCAAGAGTTGCTAAGGCTACTAGTGGAGATCTTTGTCACTTTATAGGGAGAACCTATTTGAAAGTAAAATCAATTTTTTAAAAGAGGTGGGACATGGAAAGAGACAGATGCCTCCTGATATTGTGTGAGCACCTGAATCCAGCCAGGCTTGAAACTGGTGGACTTCTAGACTTCATAATACAAGCTAAGCCAATATATTCCTTTTTCAGTTTTAATCTATTTGAGTTTCTGTAACCTCCAGCTCAAAAAGCCCTGACAATACAAACTTCGTATGCCCAGCCAAGAAGTTTGTCCTATAGACAATGAGAAACAAAGATTTTGAAGTAGGATAATGATAACATCAGATTCATTTTCTGGAAGATAATTGCAATGAAAATATGGATGGACTGAACTTCAACCTGTTTATTTCACAGATGAATAAACGAGGCTCAGAAGGGATAAGTGGCACACCCACCATAACAGAGTAGACTTCAAAACATACTTAAGAAAAAAGAAATGTGGTGTTTACTGAGCACCTTCTCTGTATAAAGGACAGTGCCAAATGTGGCACAGGAGATAAACAACGAATCCACAGTCTGATCACAGGGATAAGCACCTCAAATGCAAGGCAGGGCCAAGTCCAGTCAGTGACATAAAAGACGTACTACTGAGTTGGGCACAGTGGCTCACGCTTGTGATCCTAACACTTTGGGAGGCCGAGGCGGGTGGATCACGAGGTCAGGAGATGGAGACCATTCTGGCTAACACAGTGAAACCCATCTCTACTAAAAATACAAAAAATTAGCCAGGCGCTTTGGCACATGCCTATAGTCCCAGCTACTCGGGAGGCTGAGGCAGGAGAATCGCTTGAACCCAGGAGGCGGAAGTTGCAGTGAGCCGGGATTGCGCCACTGCACTCAAGCCTGGGCAACAGAGTAAGACTCTGCCTCAGAAAAAAAAAAAAAAAAAAAAAGACGTACTACTGGGTTCAAGCAGAAAGAGATTCAGCTGGGCATGGTGGCTCATGCCTGTAATCCCAGCACTTTGGGAGGCTGAGGTGGGCAGATCACTTGAGGTCAGGAGTTCGAGACCAGCCTGGCCAACATGGTGAAACCCCGTCTCTACTAAAATAAAAAAGTTAACTGGGTGTGGTGGTATGTGCCTATAATCCCAGCTACTTGGGAGTCTGAGGAAGAAGAATCACTTGAACCCAGGAGGCAGAGGTTACAGTGAGCCAAGTTTGCACCACTGCACTCTAGCCTAGGCGACAGAGCAAGACTCTATATCAAAAATAAAATAAATAAAAAAGAAAAAGACTGCATCCAACTGAAGATCAAGACAGGCTCCAGAAAGGAGGAATCTGAGAAAAGCCTTCCAAAATAGGACGGTTTCAACAGTGGAGATAAGAGGGAAGAGCAGTCAACAGGATAAACAAAGTCACAGAAGTAGTGAAAGAAACAGAAACAATAATTCCATATTTCAGTTTTGGCTCCAGCCCAGATTATGACTACAGGAAAAGCAGAGATTAGGCCAATTATGTGTGAGAGAAGATCTTACATATTAAGGATAATCTGCATTTAATTCAATAGGCAGTGAATTTCCTTGAAAGACTTCTGTACAAAACCCACGAGGTGGTCAGAGCTATACTTTGGGCAGATTAACCTAGCAACACTATGTCGGCAATGGAAGCAGCAGAGGATGCTGGTTCCTCAAGATCATTCTTTTCAACCTTTATTTAACCTACCGCTGACCATCTGCTCCTCCTTGAAGCCTTCTTGTGCTTCTGCCATATAACACCATCCTCACCTGGCCCCCAAGTTCTATCCTCTCCCCTCTTTTTTTTTTTTTTTGAGACGGAGTTTCGCTCTTGTTGCCCAGGCTGGAGTGCAATGGCGCCATCTTGGCTCACCATAACCTCCGCCTCCCAGGTTCAAGCGATTCTCCTGCCTCAGCCTCCCAAGTAGCTGGGATTACGAGCATGTGCCACCATGCCTGACTACTTTTGTATTTTTACTAGAGACAGGGTTTCTCCATGTTGGTCAGGCTGGTCTCGAAATCCCGACCTCAGGTGATCCACCCACCTCGGCCTCCCAAAGTGCTGGGATTACAGGCGTGAGCCACTGCGCCTAGCCTCCCTCTTGTCTTTTTATCACTTCTCTTTCTCCCAAGGTCTCATCCTTGCAGTTCCATTTTTTACTCTATGCAGATGCTCCCAAATCTCTCTCTTGCTACCAACTCTCTTTCCATAGCTCCAGATGTACACTTCACTTGATACTCTCCTGGCAATCTTAACTCAAATGCTTAAAACAGAACCTGCTATCACCTTCTACAACATTCTCTTTTTCCTGTTTAATGTATTTTTCTATATTCTACTCTCTCAGACTCTAGGCCTTACTCATCTCTGATTCTTCACCCCCTCCCTTCTCCTTCACATCCAGACAGTCACCATGTGTTATAGTTTCTGCTGCTTGAGTGTGATGCCCTCATTCTACACCCCTTGCCACTTCCTTCATCCAGGCTATCATTTATGCCAAGACTAATACCACAGACTCCTAGAAGACTTCTCTCACACTCCAAGTCATCCCCATATCTGCTGGTGGAGGAAGCACTCAAAAAACCTGGCTGCGACCGAGTTTCTCTGGTATTCCAAAGCACCTCACACAAGGAGAACAGTCCCAACTCCCAAGGGTGGCATCCAAAGTGCTCCTACAATTTGGCTCCCACTTGCCTTTCCAAACTGATCCCACACTACTCCTGATTTTCTCATCATTTCCTGCTCAGAGTCCATTTTTTGCTGTACCTTTCTTCACAATCACCACCTTTTCCCCATTTCCACAAGATTAAGGCAATCTAGGTCCATGCCAAATGCCATCATTTCCTTGAAGCCTTTCCTGATTTTTCTATTGAATACATTGTTTGTATCTCTTTTATAGCACATATAAAATTCTACTTTATGTATTGCACAAATGTCTATAACTTCATAGACTGTAAGCTACTTGAAAGTGGTAAAGTATAGTAGGCAATGGTTGGGCTTTAGAGTCAGGCTGGATTAAAATCCTGTCTTACTATATACGATCTATGGGCAAATTACTAAACTTCTTTAAGCCTCAGTTTCCTGATCCGTAAAATGGGAATAATAGCATTTACACATTATTAGTATTATGAGGATTAAATGAGGTAAATAATGTATGTTAAGTGCTACCTGGCATATCATGTATTAAATAGTAACTACTATTTTTACCATCATCATTGTTGTTAAGGGGAAAATAGCTTTTTCATCTCTGTATCTTCTACACAGTCTCAATCACAGAAATCTTAATAACAGTTTATTGAATGACCAACTTTGGACCACAAAATTCCATTCTTTAAATATCCCTGAGATTTCCCTAAACTGAAACAGTCTCCTTTTCTCTCATTTTACCCAGTATCCTCCCCTCCGCCCCCTACCAAACTTACCTGGTGCAAAATGGTATATCGCTCACGAAACATCTCTGCTTTATCTCTTGGTGTTCCAAATAAATTTGGTGCAGGGTGGTTGGTCATTAACAGACTAGAAAAAGAGAATGCCTATTTTTGACTATCATAATACACAAAGGTGAGCCAAAAGTGAAGCAAGAGACTATACCTTCTGAAAAAAAAAGTACATTTGAAATTAATTTAAAATCAGTGGATGACATACTTACGGAAGAAATTTTTTTCTTTCTGAATTGTACACAAAGCGTGGAATATCAAATGCTCCTATGATATTGAAAACGTGCTCTCTGAAAAACATCCCACAAAATACAGACCTGATTTACTAAAACATAAGTACTCTAGGTGAACATGATAACTTGCATTATAAGTATTTGTAATAACACACTTTTCACATTTTCTCAGGCCAGGCACACAATTTCTTTTTCTTTTTCTTTTTCTTTTTTAAGACAGAGTTTCGCTATTGTTCTCCAGGCTAGAGTGCAATGGTGGGATATCAGCTCACTGCAAGCTCCGCCTCCTGGGTTCAAGCGATTCTCCTGCCTCAGCCTCCCAAGTAGCTGGGATCACAGGCATGCACCACCACGTCCAGTTAATTTTGTATTTTTAGTAGAGATGGGGTTTCTCCGTGTTGGTCAGGCTGATCTCAAACTCCCGACCTCAGGAAATCCACTCACCTCGGCCTCCCAAAGTACTGGGATTACAGATGTGAGCCACCATGCCCAGCCCATAATTTCTTATAGTGTCAAAAATACAATGGGTGTAAAATGTTTAGCTTGTGCATTTTCATCTCAAGGGACAAGAAAGCATTGCCAAAACTCTCAAGAAAAAAATTAATCAAGTTAATTTCCAGTTAAGAATTTCATCTGTTGAAAAAGAAGAATTATATAAACAATAGTCACATCTTAAAGAAATCTCTCCCTATATGTACTACTCTTATGAGCTACAGTATTTTTTTTTTTTTGAGACAGAGTTTCACTCTTGTTGCCCAGGCTGGAGTGCAATGGCTCGATCGTGGCTCACCACAACCTCCGCCTCCAGGGTTCAAGAGATTCTCCTGCCTCAGCCTCCCGAGTAGGTGGGATTACAGGCATGCACCACCACGCCCAGCTAATTTTGTATTTTTAACAAAGACGGGGTTTCTTTATGTTGGTCAGGCTGGTCACTAACTCCCAACCTCAGGTGATCCACCCACCTCAGCCTCCCAAAGTGCAGGGATTACAGGCATGAGCCACTGCGCCCGGCCATGAGCTACAGTATTATTAAAGGATATGATTAAGTTCCAACAATTTTTTATTTTTTTTGTTTTTGTTTTGTTTTTTGAGACAGTCTCACTCTGATGCCCAGGCTG
The DNA here is from genome assembly GCF_000001405.40 of Homo sapiens. Lineage (NCBI taxonomy): Eukaryota > Metazoa > Chordata > Mammalia > Primates > Hominidae > Homo > Homo sapiens. The sequence goes on from NC_000014.9 coordinate 49,675,489, forward strand.
GGGTGTGATCTTGGCTCACTGCAACCTCTTCCTCCCGGCCTCAAGCGATTCTCCCGCCTCTCAAGTAGCTGGGATTACAGGCATGTGCCACCACACCCAGCTAATTTTTGTATTTTTAGTAGAGACAGGGTTTTGCCATATTGGCCAGGCTGGTCTCAAACTCCTGACCTCAAGTGATCCGCCTGCCTCAGCCTCCCAAACTGCTGGGATTACAGGCATGAGCCACCATGCCCAACCCCAACAATTTTAAAAATCTAAAATGTTTTTTGTTTGTTGTTTGTCTGAGATGGAGTCTAGTTCTGTCGCCCAGGCTGGAGTGCAGTGGCACGATCTCAGCTCACTGCAACCTCTGCCTCCTGGGTTCAAGTGATTCTCCTGCCTCAGCCTCCCAAGTAGCTGGGATTACAGGCACCCTCCACCACGCCCAGCTAATTTTTGTATTTTTAGTAGAGACGGGTTTTCACTGTGTTGGCCAGGCTGGTCTCAAACTCCTGACCTCATGAGCTGCCTGCCTTGGCCTCCCAAAGTGCTGGGATTACAGGCCTGAGCCACCGCGCCCTGCCAAATCTAAAATGTTATGCAGAAGTGTCCCAGGAAAAGTTACACAATGGAAAAAGAGCTCCCCCTCCAATTCTGGCCATATCTTTCAGACTTATACAATATATATATAGTGTTAGAGATGGAAAACCAAAAAAAATTATTTAATTTCAGATACTTTTAATAATATAACCATGTTTAAAAGAAGTTAAAAATTTCCACAGCACTACTGTATAAATATCCCAACCTAAAAATCTTTCCTAAAATTACATGTTTATCTCCCAAATTGAAAATGATCAAAAAAGATTCATGCTACCCTAGAGGTAACAAGTATAGAGTGGCTGAGAATCACTGAACTTGAGGAAAACCTAGACTCCAGACACTGCTCCACTATTTTCTGGTAGATCAGTCTGAGTAAGTTATTGAACTTCTCATGCCATCTCTTCATCTATGAGAACAAGAGCCTCTACTGTGGTATGATATAATGACTCTCTGACAATTGAAGGTACAAAAATCCTTTACCATTCAGTCCCCACTGGACCTCCATGTAGGCTGGCTATAACATATAAACAGCCTGACAGAAATAGCCGAGCCAGGTCAGTGAGGAGTACGGGCTGGCCGACCCAGGCACTGCGCACTGAGGCCAGGGATGGGCCTGAGCCATGCACCTCCTCTGAAACTACCCTGTGCCCTGCCTTTGAGGCCTGACAGGTGTGGGAGCAGGAGCTGCCCAAAAGTGGGCTGGGGTTGGAGGAAGCATCCTGGTCGTTGCTATGTGCCCTGAGGCTTTAAGGCACCTGACCCCACCCTTGCTGAACTGGCATCACCAGGACCTGTTTACTCTAGATGAGAATCATGATCCCTGGGCGCTTAGTGCATTGCCTGGAAGAGCCCACTCATCCTGGACGAGCCCTTTGGCAGCCTCAGACAGTCCTTGAGGAGGATGACTGAGACATCATGGGCCATGCACTGTGTGCCTGCTCTTAGGGAAATGTCATCATTGACAATAGCTATTTCTTCATCCAGAACCTGGGGGAGAGTGGGTTCAGCCATGTGGACCTAGTGGAGGGGTTACAGGATGGACACTTCTACGCCCTGAAGCGAATCCTGTGTCACGAGCAGCAGGACTGGGAGGAGGCCCAGCCAAGAAGCAAACATGCATCACCTCTTCAATCACCCCAACATCCTTTACCTCACGGCTTACTGTCTGAGGGAGTAGGGTGCTAAGCATGAGGCCCAGCTGCTGCTTCCGTTCTTTAAGAGAGATATACTGTGGAATGGAGAGAAAGGCCGAAGGACGATGGCAACTTCCTGACTTAGGATCAAATCCTTCAGCTCCTGCTGGGTATCTACAGCGGCTTGAGGCCATTCATGCCAAGGGTTAGGCCCACAGGGACCTGAAGCCCACCACTATCTTGCTTGGAGACGAGGGGCAGCCAGTTTTAATACACTTGGATGCCATGAATCAAGCATGCCTCACATGAAGGGCTCCCACCAGGCCCTGACCCTGCCGGACTAGGCGACCCAGCAGTGCACCATCTCCTACTGAGCCCTAGAGCTCTTCCCTGAGCAGTCACTGTGTCATTGATGAACAGACTGATGTCTGGTCCCTGGGCTGTGTGATATATGCCACAATGTTTGGGGAAGGCCCTTACGAAATGGTGTTCAAGAAACGTGACAGTGTGGCCCTTGCTGTGCAGAACCAACTCAGCATCCCACAAAGCCCCACGCATTCTTCAGGAGTGTGGCAGCTCCTGGCCTCAATGATGACTGTGGACCTGCAGCAGCACCCTCACAATGCTTGCCTCCTCAGTCAGCTGGAGGTACTGCAGCCCCCAGCTCCTGGCCAGCACACTGCCCAAATCTGAACAAAGCAGTGGCCATATTGAGAAGGTGGCGCCTTGTGCCTTGGAAAGAGGCTCCCATCACTCACTGGAATCTCTACCCATTCTTTCTTTATTTTATTTTATTTATTTTATTTTTTTTTTTTTGAGAGACAAGTCTCATTCTGTTGTCCAGGCTGGAGCAGAGTGGCACGATCTTGGCTCACTGCAACCTCCGCCTCCCGGGTTCAAGCGATTCTCCTGCCTCAGCTTCCCAAATAGCTGGGACTACAGGCATGCACCACCATGCCCAGCTAATTTTTGTATTTTTTAGTAGAGACGGGGTTTTGCTGTATGTTGGCCAGGCTGGTCTCGAACTCCTGACCTCAGGTGATCTGCCCACCTCGGCCTCCCAAAGTGCTGGGATTACGGGCATGAGCCACTGCGCCCAGCCTGCTTTTCTGCTTTCTTACCCCCAAGAGCAACACCTGGACAAGGGGCTTTACTGAGTGGGGGTGGAATAGGGGTTGGGAAAAGGAAAACTGATGCGATATGGTACATGGCTCTGTGCAGGACTGTTGAGCTCATATTACGTTCTGCCTCCAAATCTGGGAGCAAGAGAATGTATAAACAGAAGAATAAAGTGAATGCAGATTGGTGTGGGGGAAAATAAGTAAATAAATAAATAACAGGTAACTTTAGGGTAAACAACGAGTAACGTCTATTTTAGGATAATAATCAAACTTCAGTACAATCATTTTGAATTTCTATTGATGGCTTTAGGAACATTCATTATACTCCAGTATTTATTTTATGTATTTTTTTTGAGACAGAGTCTCACTCTGTCGCCCAGACTAGAGTGCAGTGGTATGATCTCAGCTCACTGTAACCACCACCTCGCAGGCTCAAGCAATTCTCCTGTCTCAGCCTCCCAAGTAGCTGGGATTACAGGTGCGCCCCACTACCGCCCAGCTAATTTTTGTATTTTTAGTAGAGATGGGTTTCACCATGTTGGCCAGGCTGGTCTTGAACTCCTGACCTCAAGTGATCCAGCCACCTTGGCCTCCCAAAGTGCTGGGATTACAGGCATAAGCCACTGCATCTGGTCACACTATAGTATTTTAAATGAGTTTGCAAGGGTAAAATTAAAAATCCTCAATTTCTCTATTTTTTTTTTAGCAGTTATAAGTTCTGACAGGGAGAAGATTATAACTTCTGACTAAAATAAAGATAATGACTCCTTTCAATCATCTCCATTGCCCCAAATAGGAAAGAAGTGGCAATGTTAAAACTGTCTCTCAGCCCATTTTCCCCAGTGTTTTCCTTCCAGTTAAATGCCATCAATTTGTATAGAAGTATCATATCAAGAGGAAAGAGGGATATTCAGAGAAATAAAACCCAGAAGAATTACTGCCATATAAATTCTTAAACCTAAAAACATGACATAGTGGAGTCACAAAACTGAGGTCCTACCCTCATTTGCCATTCACCATGTGACCAAGTAAAGTTGCTGAACTTCTCTGGACATGGTACTTTCCTAAGAGCAAAGTAAATTATACTTCTGAATATTCATTTCAATTCAACTCATTTGTAGCATACAGAATAAAAAGTCAGATCAACCGGTTGGGTAGGCAGCAAAAGTTAGTAATGAATGGTACAAGCAACACTGTAACCTCAAATCCCAGGAAAAACCAGTAAAGATGAGTCATTTAATAATGAGGTTTGCAAAGAAAGCCATTATTTAAAAAGACACACAGAAATAACAACAGTAATCACTGTAGAAACGTTGATCACTAATAATTTTCCAAGACAATAATTAAAAATAAGTGCTCAATAACACCTCCAAGGAGGAAAAAAGTTAACTGTACCCACATACATAGTTTCATCAACAGACTGACTGCATTCCTGGACTGCTGCTTCCACCACAGATCGTTCAATCATGTTTGATGACACTGAAAAGAGAATTTCAAAGTCAAAATTTAAAAACAAAAAAAAAAATAGTTCTTTCCACAGACAGCTCTTTTCCCAAAAATAATTTGCAAATATTAATACTGAGATTCTCATTATACAGTTTTTGGAGAAAAAAAGTGTTAGGTCAGAACAATAACAAAAGCCTTATCTCAAATACCTTCATTTTCCACACTCAAAGTTACAATACCTTAATATACAGTCAAATGCCTTAATTTTCTAAACCCTGTTTAGTTATAAGAACATTTCTGAGCTAGGGTCGGTGGCTCACACCTATAATCCTAACACTTTGGGAGGCCAAGGCAGGAGGATGGCTCGAGCCCAGGAGTTTGAGACCAGCCCAGACAACGTGGTGAAACCCCTTCTCTACAAAAAATATAAAACTTAGCTGGGGGTGGTGGCACATGCCTGTAGTCCCAGATACTCAGGAGGCCAAGATGGGAGGATCACCTGAGCCCAGGGAGGTGGAGGCTGCAGTGAGCTGTGATCATGCCACTGGCACTCCAGCCTGGGCCACACAGAGTGAGATACTATCTCAAAAAAAAAAAAAATTCTCTAAGCTCCCAGTTTTAATAAGGTTACATTAGTATAACTTTATCATCATAACTGCTCAGTTTCAATGAGCATGATAGTAACAATAGCAGCTACCACTTATTAAGCATTGAGTAAATGTGTGGCACCATCCTCAGTACTTTATTTACAAGTATTATTCCACTGGGTAGATGTCCTGTAAGACTGATGTTAAGATGCCCATATCTTATAGATAGGGAAAATACAACTTTAAGAGGTTGAAAATTTTGCCCAAAAACTAGAAGAGATAGAGAGCAACAAAAACCCAGGACTGATTCCAGTGGGGGCTCTTTTAATCACTTTGATATGTTGTCAAGCAAAATACCATGTGCCATCTTAAATCAATGTACACAGGGACAAGTATCATTTTCTTTTTTTTTTTTTTGAGACGGAGTCTCGCTCTGTCAGCTAATTTTTTGTATTTTTAGTAGAGACGGGGTTTCACTGTGTTAGCCAGGATGGTCTCGATCTCCTGACCTCGTGATCCGCCCGCCTCAGCCTCCCAAAATGCTGCGATTACAGGCGTGAGACAAGTATCAGTTTCTAAATGTTCAACTGTAAAGGAATTTTTTAAGCAAAGGTATATGTAAAATTCTGCCTTTAGGAATGAAAATGAGATATAATAACCATTTATCCTGTATCACGGAGTATGTTTCTTCCTATATAATTGAAGTGACTAGCATCTATATAACATTAAGAGTGAACTCGGCACTTCTCAGCCTTTTATGCTAAGATAAAGTGGACAGTGAGCCATACCCACTTCTATCCTCAGGGTGCTATAAATATCAGACTTTTTTTCCAAGGGGAAGAGCATTTCTTCTTTCCAGTCCCATGCTTGTGGTATTAAGTATTTAACAAAAAGGTCCCTGAATCCCTATGGCAGTGTGGCAGTGGCAAGAGGAAACATGCTGATACAGTTTTACTGACAGGTTGAATAGAGAGGTGTCTCAGAAAACTCCCCGAAGTATATGGCTGAAATGGACTGCAAATCATAAAAAACTGGAACAGAGGTTTAGTTCATGTATTGGTGGCCCCATTCTAGCTTCTTTGGGCATGTTTCAACAGATGTGACTTTCCAAAAAAGAACATGAAGAAAGAGAGGAGGGGCCAGGTGTGGTGGCTCACGCCCGTAATCCCAGCACTTTGGGAGGCCAAGGTGGGTGGATTACCTGAGGTCAGGAGTTCAACACCAGCCTGACCAATATGGTGAAACCCTGTCTCTACCAAAAATATAAAAATTAGCCTGGTGTGGTGGCACGCACCTGTAGTCCCAGCTACTCAGGAGGCTGGGACAGAAGAATCGCTTGAACCCGGGAGGCAGAGGCTGCAGTGAACCAAGATGGCGCCATTGCAGTGAACCGAGATGGCGCCATTGCAGTGAACCGAGATGGCGCCATTGCACTCCAGCCTAGGCAACAGAGTGAGACTCTGTCCCGCTCTCACCAAAAAAAAAAAAAAAAAAGGGAGAGGAGGGAAGCAGTGTGTAGAAAGCAAATGCCTTGAAGGAGTTCCCAAACCTCTACCTTCCTGGGTCACCTTATGTTTCATAACTTTGGTATACTCAAGAAAAAAATGACCATCTTTTATAGAATGTGCTTTTCTTGAAATCCACTTATTCTTTTTTTTTTTTTTTTTTGAGACGGAATCTCACTCTGTCACCCAGTCTGGAGTGCAGTGGCATAATCTCAGCTCACTGCAACCTCTGCCTCCCGGGTTCAAGCGATTCTCCTGCCTCAGCCTCCCAAGGAGCTGGGATTACAGGCGCCTGCCACCATGCCTGGCTAATTTTTGTATATTTAGTAGAGACAGGGTTTGCCATGTTGTCCAGGCTGACCTTGAACTCCTGAACTCAGGCGTTCCCACCAGCCTCGGCCTCCCAAAGTGCTGGGATTACAGGTGTTAGCCACCATGCCTGGCCCCACTTATTCTTATCACAAGCGTTATATAATTTTGTATCAATGTCTATTTTCACCAGGTACAATGGCTCACGCCTGTAATCCCAGCACTTTGGGAGGCCGAGGTGGGCGATCACCTGAAGTTGGCGGTTCGAGACCAGCCTGGCCAACATGGTGAAACCTCGTCTCCACTAAAAATACAAAAATTAGCCAGGCATGGTGGCGCACACCTGTAATCCCAGCTACTCGGGAGGCTGAGGCAGGAGAATCATTTGAACCCAGGAGGCAGAGGATGCAGTGAGCCGAAATAGCACCACTGCATTCCAGCCTGGGCGACAGTGCAAGACTCCTTCTCAGGGAAAAAAAAAAAAAAAAAAAAAAAAAAGTCTATTTTCTACAGTTTGCTTTCAGTAAAATGCCTTCCAACTCTGTTTAGTGTATTCATTATCAGTGCATTAGTAGAATTGCTTTTTATTGAAAAGTTACTGTCTCTGCCCTTTAACTTAGACTTACAAAATTAAGTTAAAATGACTAGCCATTCTATTAAAAAAAAAAAATCCCTGAAGAAATCAAGAAGAGATGTCAGCTCTGTTTACTTTACTCTTCTTTTTTTCCTCCCAAACATTTAGGAGTTAATGACTTAAATAAGACATGGTAATAGCCACTAGGAGAGACAAAGTGACCATAAAGGACCAGATCAAAATCAGAAGCCAAGTGCAGGAAACATGGTGGTGACACCTCCACTGGGGGAAAGGAACTATAAAAGGGCCCTTGGGGATCATCCTGAGGTTCCAACTAAACTAAGGGTTTGGATGTCATCAACAGTTAAAATAAAAAAGGCCGGGTGTGGTGGCTCCCGCCTGTAATCCTAGCACTTTGGGAGGCCGAGGCAGGTGGACTGCGTGAGCCCAGGAGTTTGAGACCAGGCTGAGCAACACAGTGAAACCCCATCTCTACTAAAATACAAAAAATTAGCCTGACATGGAGGTGTGTGCCTGTAATCCCACCTACTCGTGAGGCTGAGACAAGAAAATTGCTTGAACCCGGGAGGTGGGGGTTGCAGTGAGCCAAGATAGCGCCATTGCACTCCAGCCTGGGCAACAGAGCGAGACTCCATCCCAAAAAAGAAAGAAAAAAAAATTAAAATAAACTAAAGGTATTACCCCTTGGGAAGAAATGCTACCATGCATACATCTTATAACACTGGGACATCTTAATAGTGAAGCCTCAACTTCAATTTAAATCTATACATCTAACTGAAGATGCAGAACTATATTAACAATTTAGGAGTTATCAGAAAATATTACTTACAGGGTTGCTTCTCAACTGCATTAATTATCTTTTCCAGTTTATCTTCAAGCTCTAATTCACTGATAGACTGAAGAGCTTCTGTGAGGTACTTAATAGCTTCACTAAGAAAAGGAAAGGAAAAATGAGGCAGGTCATTAGTAATTAAAGGCTAAAAGTTTTCTGCCAAAAAGCAGCAAATACTCATCAATCTGGCACTGAAAGGAAGAACCACTAACTGCTCTCTTCAAGTAGCACTTTATCTTTCCTGTGCTTTCTGAACAAAATCATCCTCCTATGCCTTGCTAACATAAAGCCTCAAATCACATCCTTCCTCTAAGAAGGCTTCCTAGACCAGCTCTACCTGCTGCAATCTCCCCTTTCTTCTGAAATTGTTAAAAATCACATTTACATATACCTTAGATCTGATATATTACATTAGCCTTTTATTACTTACTACCCTACATTTAAGGCAAGAGTCCATCTGTTTCAATGTCAAGCACCATATCCTGAACATAAGACACTCATATATTTAATTTGATAATGCACTTGTTCAAAGTAAATTCCAATAATCACTGTTTTCAATTGTAAAATAAGAAAAAAAATAGGCTTGGCTGTGCGCGGTGGCTCACGCCTGTAATCCCAGCATTTTGGGAGGCCGAGGCGGGCGGATCATGAGGTCAGGAGATCAAGACCATTCTGGCTAACACACGATGAAACCCCGTCTCTACTAAAAACACAAAAAATTTAGCCGGGCATGGTGGCGGGCGCCTGTAGTCCCAGATACTCGGGAGACTGAGGCAGGAGAATGGCGTGAACCCGGGAGGCAGAGCTTGCAGTAAGCCGAGATCGCGCCACTGCACTCCAGCCTGGGCGAGAGAGCGAGACTCCGTCTCAAAAAAAAAAAAGGCTTTAAAAAACTATGACATTTGAATATAATCATAGAAGCAACACTCATTAAAATCACATGAATTTGTGTTATACGAAAGGAGAGGTTGGCACTCCACTTGACAAAGATGGAAGAGGCCCTCGGGCCTGACAATACACATATGGTAAGGCACTGCCACCTGCTTCATGGAGTCTGACCATCATTAAAAAAAAAAAAAAAAAAAAAAAATCATGGCTGGGCACGCGGTGGCTCACGCCTGTAATCCCAGCACTTTGGGAGGCCAAGACGGGCAGATCACGAGGTCAGGAGATCGAAACCATCCTGGCTACCACGGTGAAACACCATCTCTACTAAAAATACAAAAACAAAATTAGCCAGGCATGGTGGCGGGCGCCGGTAGTCCCAGCTACTTGGGAGGCTGAGGAGGGAGAACGGAGTGAACCTGAGAGGCGGAGCTTGCAGTGAGCGGAGATCGGGCCACTACACTCCAGCCTGGGCAACAGAGAAACTCCATCTCAAAAAAAATAAATAAATAAAATAAAATCACATTAATTCCTTACCTAAATCCCAACAATGATCAGAATGAACATGATTAACTAGTTACATGCCACTACATGCCATTCTGTATTTGTAGCACACTTTATACCTCACATCAATATTATTGCTGATTACAATATTAAACAATTAGCTAATTACATGCCATTCTGTATTTGTAGCACACAATTTAACATTTCACATATTATTGTTATAGCCATAACACTAATTGTTCTATATATTGGGTTGCTTTATTAGTTGTTTTGTGTGTAGGTGTTGCATCTCTCAAATTTATTATAGATAACTGAGAACTGAATTATAGATAACTTTAAAACTGTAACTTAGAACTCTGTGCCATCCTTCCACAGAGTTCTAAATACACTTGAAGGTGGTCCATAAATATTTGACCACTGAGTCCCTAAAATCATATACATTTTGGTTGCATCTTGGGACAGTTCTTAGCATAGACCAAAGCCTGTAAAGCCATACAGAATCTTGCCCCTGCCAAATCCCATTAAGCTCATACCATGTCCCTGGCCTTCCTGGCACTCTCCTGCTTTAGGGTCTTTATATGGCCATTTCCTCCCACTCTTCTCTCCACCTAGTCAGGTCCTGTTCTTTCTTTTTTTTCTTTCTTTCTTTTTTGAGATGGAGTCTCGCTCTCTTACCCAGGCTGAAGTGCAGTGGCGTAATCTTGGCTCACTGCAACCTTCACCTCCCGGGTTCAAGCGATTCTCTTGCCTCAGCCTCCTGAGTAGCTGGGGTTACAGGTGCACATCACCACGTCTGGCTGGTTGGTTTTTTTTTTTGTATTTTTAGTAGAGACAGGGTTTCATCATGTTGGTCAGGCCGGTCTCGAATTCCTGACCTCGTGATCCGCCCACCTCAGCCTCCCAAAGTGCTGGGATTACAGGCGTGAGCCACTGCGCCCAGCCAAGTCCTGCTCATTCTTTAAGTCAGCCCAAACCACTTCTGCAGTGAAGTTCTTCCTTGACTCTAGGGCAGTTTATACACCTTATCATAAACTCTCATAGCCCTTCTTTCCTGGAATCCCTTTCACAATTGAGATTAAATAGCTGTAAAATAGTCATTTAATATCCATGGTAGACAGACTTCTAAGATGGCCCCTAATAATCCATTACTCCTGGTAGTTACACCTATGTAATCCCCTGCCCTTAAGTGTGGGCTGGACCTAGTAACTTGTTTCTAAAAATAGAATATAGCAAAAGGGATAGAATAACTTACTGTATTATAATTTTGAAAGTAAAATTTAAAAGTAAAAAAAATTTAAAAATAACAAGATGTCACCTCCTTGATTAGGTTGCCTCAGAGTTACTAGAAGACTCTCTCTCTTGATGAAGCCATGTTGGGGGCACACATGGCAAGGGACTGAGGATAGCCTCCAGCCAACAGCCTGCCAGGCAATCAGGAACTGAATCCTGCCAACAACTGAATGAGCTTGAAGCGAATGCTGTCTGGACAACATTTGAGATGATCCATCTTGACTGCAACCTTGTGAAAAGACCCTGAAGTTGAGGACCCAACTAAGCCACACCTGAATTCCTAACCCACAGAAAATTTGAGATAATGTGTACTGTTTTAGCCTTTAAATTGTGGGGTAATTTGTCACGCAGCAATAGAATACATTATCTGCCCCCTACAAAGCTCTTGCTCTCTATTGCACCCCCTTACCCCAGCACGGTGCTTTGCAGCTAACAGATTTAAGTATACTTATGACTGAAATAATTAATGAACAAAAGCTTAATATTAGGTCAAATTCTAAGCGAAAAGAAAGTTAATTCATCAGTTCCTCATGCTTTCAAAATGTCAAGGACCAATTGAACAAAATTCATTATTTTCTCCCAAGGCATCTCCCAAAGCACAGTTAAAAGTCCCATAAAACTCACAAAACCAACCAAAAATCTACACACACAAAAGCAATAAAAACTGATACAGAGAGGTATATCCAATCCAGCAGGTATTTCAATATGTATAAAATATTGTGTTCTAGGTCAGGCGCAGTGGTTCACGCCTGTAATTCCAGCATTCTGGGAGGCCACGGCGCGAGGACTACTTGAGCCCAGGAGTTCAAGACCAGCCTGGGCAACATAGCCAGACCCCGTCTCTAAAAAACATACAACAACAAAAAATCAGCCAGGTATGGTGGCCCATGCCTGCAGTCCCAGCTACTTCAGCCCAGGAGGTTGAGGCTGCAGTAAGTCAAGTTCGCATCACTGCCCTCCAGCTTGGGCGAGAGTGAGACCATGACTCAAAAAAAAAAAAATACATATATATATATACACACACACCACACACACACACACACACACACACACACACACACACGTACATATAGAACTCTAAAACACGGAGCAGATTTAATGAGAGAAATCTTGGGAAGGTTCATATGTTCTATAGGTCCTCAAAAACACGGATATGCCCAGGAAACCTGACTTTCACATAAATTGGCAACTGCAGACGTGCAAGTGGGCTTTCTCGGGTCTCTCATCTTATGTCTCAGCAACCTTCCCGGGAGCCTGAGAGCTGTCCAGGTCACAATGTTGATAACCGGCTGCCATAGATAGGTTGCAGCTTCTCGGGCTCAGTTTGACATGTGCAGAAGAGCCTCGGCCCGCCTAGAAGAAACATTAAACTCCTCGCATGGGTCGGGGAAACCAAAGAAGGCACGGCAGCCTCAAGATCCACCTCGCTTCTTAGAACTTTTTTTTAATGGAGTCTCTCTCTGTCGCCAGGATGGAGTAGAGTGGCACGATATCGGCTCACCGCAACCTCCTCCTCCCGGGTTCAAGCGATTCTCCTGCCTCAGCCTCCCAACTAACTGGGACTACAAGCGCGCGCCACCACGCCCAGCTAATTTTTGTATTTTTAGTAGAGACGGGGCTTCACCATGTTGGCCAGGATGGTCTCGATCTCCTGACCTCGTGATCCGCCCGCCTCGACCTCCCAAAGTGCTGGGATTACAAGCGTGAGCCACCGCGCCCGACCGCTTCTTAGAACTCTGAAATTTAAGGTCAAGCCCCCTCTCGGCGCGCGGGGAGCCGCCGCGGTGCGTCCCGCTGCCGCACCAGGCAGACGGGCCCCAGCTCTTCCCTCTCGCCCTTCAAGCTGCCCGAGCCCACTCACCCACGGAGCAGCAAGCCCCGCAACTTGAAGGCGGAGAGCGCCCGGCTCCGCAGCCGCTCCGGCGCCATATTTGCGATTTGGCGCCACCGCCGCAGCTCCGCCCCTTCCCGGGCGCGCCCCTCCCAGCTCCGGCCTCGGCCCTGGCCCGCGTGGCGCTAAACCCTGTTAAGATCCCTGCTTGGTCTCCGCTGCCTGCGCCGCAGCAACTCAGACCTTACAGTTCGCAACCCCGGACCGAGTAGGCTGAAAGTGGAGACCACCTCGCGCTCCTTTGCTGCCGGGAAACTGAGGGCCAGAGCGTCTTCCCTGGTGTCGGGCTGCGTTGAGCCAGCCACAGCGCTCTCACCGCTGCCCTAGACATTGCAGGACTGCGGCCGAGCTTCCCGGACACAGGATCCCCCTTCTTTCGAGGCCATGAGAGCTGTTGGGTTCCCTACTTCGCACAAGCTCTGGAAATACTGTGCCTCGACATTTACCGGAAGCTGTTATAAATCTCCATCGCTCCCACCTACCCCGATTTTTATTTAACTTGAGGGCTTCGTATGCGCCATGCACTGTCATAAGCACTTTAAATGTGTGAATTCATGTGTTGCTCATGACAGCCCAGTGAGCTGTCTACTGTCTTTTCCACAACAGCCTCATTTTACAGATGAGAAAACTGAGACACAAAAATGGTAAAGGACTTGCTCAAGATGAAACGACGAGTTAAATGGTGTAGTCAGGATTTGAACTCAGTTATTCTGATTTCAGGTGGACTGTCAATCTGCCACACTTCAAAACGCTTGCTCCAATGAGTTGACTAACCCGTGGAGTGCTTATAAGTAAACACGCGGCTTATAAAACAGGAGGATGATTTCACAGTACCAATATAAAGTGACCTCCAACGTATACGGGTTTTTTTCTTTTTTAAAAAAAAGCGAAGTTTAATGAAGGAAGGGAAACAAAAGTATATGTATTTGTTTTTGCATTTTAAAAACCTCTGGGCCCGGGCGCGGTGGCTCACATCTGTAATCCCAGAACTTTGGGAGGCCGATGCTGGCAGATCACTTGAGGCCAAGAGTTCGAGAACAGCCGGGCCAACATGGTGAAACCCCGTCTCTACCAAAAAAAAAAAAAAAAAAAAAAAATTAGCCAGGCGTGGTGGCGCGCGCCTGTAATCCCAGCTCCTGGGGAGGTTGAGGCAGGAGAATCTCTTGAGCCTCGGAGGCGGAGGGTGCAGTGAGCCGAGATCGTGCCACCACTCCAGCCTGGGCAACAAAGCAAGGCTCTGTCTCAAAAACAAAAAAAGCCGGGCGCAGTGGTTCACGCCTGTAATCCCAGCACTTTGGGAGGCCGAGGTGGGCGGATCATCTGAGGTCAGGAGTTCGAGACCAGCCTGACCAACATGGAGAAACCCCGTCTCTACAAAAATACAAAAAAATTAGCCAGGCATGGTGGCGCATGCCTGTAATCCCAGCTACTCGGGAGGCTGAGGCAGGAGAATTGTCTGAACCCGGGAGACAGAGGTTGCGGTGAGCCGAGATGGGGCCATTACACTCCAGCCTAGGCAACAAGAGTGAGACTCTGTCTCAAAACAACAGCAACAACAACAACAAAACAACTCTGGAAGGTTAAATCAGAGACCACAAAAATGGTTAACTACAAAGGGGTGAGGGGATAGGGATGAAAGTGAAAACTTTCTTTACAGTGAGACTTTTAATCCATGTGCATGTTTTACATATTCAAAAAATAGAAAATAAAAAGGTGAGCTTAAAATTGAATGCATACTAAAACTAATACACCTAATTGTATATTAAATTGGTAACATAACATCACAAGTGATTTTTGAACACAGTTCTCTTTATTTAGTGAAATATTTTTCAAAGACAAAAAGTACAAAGAAATTTTTAATTTTTATGTAAGAAAGGATAGGAAATACGAATAGAAAGACATATAGTTAATTCTCATTACTGTACCTGTGATAGTTAGATTTTATAAGTAGCCACCAACAAATAATTATTGAATACTAAACCATTCCTACTAGGGGAAGTACAGAATTAGGTTCCTGTGAGCCTCTGGTGACAATGTTTTCATCAACTGATCAACATATAACCTTGTTTTGTTTTTTTTTTTTTTTTTTTTTTGAGACGGAGTTTCGCTCTGTCGCCCAGGCTGGAGTGCAGTGGCGCGATCTCGACTCACTGCAAGCTCCGCCTCCCGGGTTCACGCCATTCTCCTGCCTCAGCCTCCCGTGTAGCTGGGACTACAGGCGCGCGCCACCATGCCCGGCTAATTTTTGTATTTTTAGTAGAGACGGGGTTTCACCGTGTTAGCCAGGATGGTCTCGATCTCCTGACCTCGTGATCCCCCCGTCTCGGCCTCCCAAAGTGCTGGGATTACAGGCGTGAGCCACCGCGCCCGGCCTATAACCTTGTTTTATGTGTGTTTTTATGTAAAGACATCTTTACATTGTGATTCGTTAACACTGAACTCAGGGCCAAGAGCCCTATAACTCATAGCTGAAGGAAGCTTATTTATCACATGTATTTTCTCCATAAGGCACTCCCACTCTCAAATAATTCAACAAAATGAAAAAGACAGACACACACATACCAACAAACATAAAGCTAGTATGGTAGTATTAATAATTATTAACCTGGAGTGGAAGATACACAGGTACTCTTTGAACTATTTTTTCAACTTTTTTTGGTTTGCTACTTTTTATATTAAGAAATTGGAGAGAAAATAATCAATTCCAGTTGCCCAGCTTTCTCTCACAATCTGACCTCACAATTCCCCTTTTCCCATAAATGTTCCCAATCATAATTCTCTTTCTCTAATAAATTTTCAACTTCTTCTATGGCTCCTTCACCTGGCCAGCTCATAAAGTCCCAATACTTAAATGAACAATTATATGCTGATGACTCCAAAATCCCTATCTCTAGCCCTTAGCTCTCTTAGACTTCAAATCCAACTCAATATGCCTCCAAATGAACTCACCATTAGCCCTGCCCTCCCCCAAACCTGTTCCTCCTCCCATGTTCAATAACCTAGCGAAGGGCTCCACCCACCTCCCACCCAGTGACCAAGCTGGTAAACTAGGCATATCCTTGACTCTTCCCTCTCACGAATGAAAGTTCCTTGAACAACTTCCGTTCATCATTCAGTTCTTAACTTAGACTTTACTTTCTCTCAGGAACCTTCCCTGTCTTCCCTCAATCTGAGTTAAAGGGCCTCTGTACACCCAAGGTGCCCTGGACTTTTGCTATTTTCACACTTACTGCACGGTATGGTAATTGTCTGTTTGCTGGTCTATAGACTCCACCAGACTCTACAGTCCAGGAGGACAAATGCTCCATTTCAAAAATACAATACCAATATTACTAGTAACAATAAAGTGATGGAGTGAGAATTATGATTGACATATAGTTTACACTAAGTAAAATGCACATATCTGTATGCAGTTCAATGCATTTTGATAAATGTATACACCCATGTAACCACCACCTCAATCAAGATACAGAACATTTTAATCACTCCAGAACACTTCCTGTACTCCTTTCCATCAGTCCCCTCCCCCTCCCTACTCCCAAATGACCACTTTTCTGCTTTCTATTATCATAGATCACTTTTGTCTATCTTGAATTTCTTCCTTCCTTCCTCCCTTCCTCCCTCCCTCCCTTCTTCCTTCCCTCCCTTCCTCCTTTTTCTTTCTTTCTCTCTCCCTTTCCCTCTCTCTCTCTTTCTCTCTTTCTTTCTAAGGAACCTTGCTCTGTCGCCCAGACCGGAGTGCAGTGGCGCGATCTCGGTTCACTGCAACCTCCACCTCCCGGGTTAAAGCGATTCTCTTGCCTTTGTAGCTGGGATTACAGGCATGCGCCACCACGCCCGGCTAATTTTTGTATTTTTAGTAGAGACGGGATTGCCCAGGTTGGCCAGGCTGGTCTCAAACTCCTGAGCTCAAGTGATCCGCCTACCTCATCCTCCCAAAGTGCTTAGATGAGAGGCGTGAGCCACTGCAATCCAGTTACATTTGTAAAGTTAAATATGCATTTATCCTCTGACCCAGCAATTCCACATCTAGAACTCTACTCCAAAGATAGGCTTGTACAAATACAAAATAACATATGCATAACGTTTCATCGCAGCATTATTTATGATAGCCAAAAAAACCTGGAAATAACCGATATGTCCATCAATAAGAATCTGTTTGAATAAGCTATGACACATCCAATCGGTGGAGTGCTATGAAGCTATGAAAAGGACTGAGGAGACTGCTTGCTGTATCCTGATATGGATCGTCAAGTGAAAAGAGAAAGTTAAGGAACACTGTATATACTTCCTTTTGTGTAAGAAAAGGAGCAGATACTCTGTTTATTTGTATAGTCAAAAATAAACAATAGAAAGTATCATTAAAGTGCACCAGACTTAAGTGCCTTCTAATGTGATGCAATATGAAGTATTTTCCAAAAAAAAATCTGAACTAGAATCTAATAAAGCTTTTAGATACAGCTTCCAGCCTAAAAGAAGTATGGGGAAAGGATGCACAAGTTAATGAGAAAAGACACTGAGGAACCAAACCCAGAAGGTGGTACGGCTGTAGGAAAATAAGAAAACTAATCCATATAACAAACAAATGGCACAAGAGAGAAGGGAGAGAAGCTATTCTAGAGTAAAACAGACGTAAAGTCTTAAGAGGCGTTAACAACGAATTACGGTGCTGAACAAACCAACTATAGAAAAGACATTTTGAGATAATCAAGGAATCTGACTACAGACTGACTACTAAATGAGGCTGTACTGCCAAAACACAATTCCAAGAGAGAAGGAATCTGCGCGTGGAAAGCCCAGGCCCCTTGCCCACTGCGAGGAGCCAGAACGTCCCTCCACAGCCGCGCCGCCCCTGGCTCGACTTCCCGAGCGAGAGCCGCGGGACGTTGCAGACGCACTGGCTCCGCCTTCCCACCAATCTCGACCCTCGCCGCGTTCCGTTCGTGCGTGGAGCAGTCGGGGCTGGAGGCGAGGCCGCCGGGCGGGCAGGGGTTGTGGCGCGGCAAGCGGCGGGCCAGCGACGGCGCGAATGGCGGACTCTCAGCTGTTCTGTGTGGCGGAGGAACGCAGCGGCCACTGCGCCGTGGTGGACGGAAACTTCCTCTACGTGTGGGGGGGCTACGTGGTAAGGGGAAGAGGCGGGACGGGGTAGACTCGCGCCGGGAGACCCTCGGCCTGAGCGGACGCAGCGCCCGCCACACCCGCTCCCGAGGCTGCGGCCCAGGCCTGGCGCGCCCGGCGCCTGCAGCCCCCCAGCCCCTCCGCTGGCCGCCGCCCCCACAGCCGCGCCAGGGCTTGACGTCGTCCCGCCGTTGCTTCTTCTATTAAAGCCTCAGACCCGGCTCCGGGCCTCTTACCACTCTCCGCCCCTCTTTGCCAGCAATTCAGTAACCACGGTTTGCCCAATGCAAAGGCAGTTACAGCGCGATTAATTATTATCCTTAAATACTGGCGCAGACCTAGAAGGACCCGAGGACGCCGTGCTGTATCATTTTGTATATATTTCCTTATTCCCACGGCGCGATTCGAAATAAAATATCGAAATCACTGAAGCATTTAAATATTTATTTTCTTTTCTTTTTCTTTTTTTTTTTTTTTTGAGATGGAGTTTCGCTCTTGTTGCCCAGGGCTGGAGTGCAATGGAACGATCTCAGCTCACCGCAACCTCCGCCCCCCGCCCCGGGTTCAAGCGATTCTCCTGCCTCAGCCTCCCTAGTAGCTGGGCTTACCGGCATGTGCCATCATGCCTGGCTAATTTTGTATTTTTAATAGAGACAGGGTTTCCCATGTTGGTCAGGCTGGTCTTGAACTCGCGACCTCAGGTGATCCGCCCGCCTTGGCTTCCCAAAATGCTGGGATTACAGGCATTAGCCACTGTGCCTGGCTTGCATTTTAAATATTTCTAAGCTATTTTTAGTGGCGTTTCTTTACTAATGACTATTTTTTCTAGTCTCAAAATAGACGCATGTTAGCAATAATATGCTAAGAAATATTATGCTTTAAAATTCTTACTACAATGGAGGTTTGAGCGTATGTGTGTGTTGTGTGTCCATAATCACAGAATTATAGAAGCAAGAATGGTAAAGCTGGAAAACAGGAATACTATATGCCAACCCTCTTAGTTTACAGATTTTTTTTCTTAAGCCATCTGGAAGTTCTACTGATAGTAGAACCTACATCTTCTGTCTCCCTACCATTATGTGACAGACCTGTAACGTGACTGAATCATATTGAAATGACCAACATACAGGCATACCTCGAAGTATTGCAGAATACTTCGTATGACTGCAATAAAGCGAGGTCATACGAATTTTTTTGGTATCTCAGTGCATATAAAAGTCATGTTTACATTGTAGTGTGTTAAGCATGCAATAGTATTATGTGTAAAAAAAAAATGTACATACCTGGCTGGGCGCGGTGGCTCACACCCGTAATCCCAGCACTTTGGGAGGCTGAGGCGGGTGGATTACCTGAAGTCAGGAGTCCGAGACCAGCCTGGCCAACATGGTGAAACCCCGTCTCTACTAAAAACACAAAAATTAGCCGGACATGGTGGCGGATGCTTGTAATCCCAGCTACTCGGGAGGCTGAGGCAGGAGAATCACTTGGACCCGGGAGGCGGAGGTTGCAGTAAGCCAAGATTGCGCCATTGCATTCCAGCCTGGGCGACAGAGCGAGACTCCGTCTCAAAACAAAAAAACAAAAAACTGTACATACCTAATTTCAAAATTATTGCTAAAAAATGCTAAGGATTATCTGAGCCTTCAGCGAGTTGTATTCTTTTTGCTCATGGAGGGTCTTCCTCTATGTAGTTGGCTACTGACTGATTAGGGTGGTTGTTGCTGAAGGTTGGAGTGGCTGTGGCAGTTTCTTAAGACAAGACAATGAAGTTTGCCACATTGAGCCTTCCTTTCACAAAATATTTCTCTGTAACATGCAATGCAGTTTTGATGTGTGTGTGTGTGTGTGTGTGTGTGTGTGTGTTTTGAGACAATCTCTCCTGCAACCTCTGCCTCCCAGGTTCAAGCGATTCTCCTGCCTCAGCCTCCTGAGTAGCTGGAATTACAGGTGTGCACCACCATGCCTGGCTAATTTTTGTATTTTTTACAGGCGTGAGCCACCGTGCCCAGCCATGAAATGTATTTTCTTAAATAATAAGACTTGAAAGTCAAAATGATTCCTTGATCCATGGGCAACAGAATGGATATTGTGTAGCAGGCATGAAAAGATAAATCTTGTAGATCTCCCATCAGAGCTCTTGGGTGACTAGGTGTGTTGTCAATGAGCAGTGAGTGAGATTTTCTGAGCAGCAGTTCTCAACAATAAACTACTCAGTAAGCCATGCTGTCAAAGAGACATGCTGTCATCCAGGCTTTCTTGTTCCGTTGTTAGAGCACAGGCAGTGTAGATTTAGCATAATTCTTAAGGGCCCTAGGATTTTCAGAATGATAAATGAACATTGGCTTCAACTTAAAGACAGCTACTACATTAGCCACTAACAAGAGAATTAGCTGGTCCTTTGAAATTGGACATTGACTTCTCTCTAGCTATGAAAGTCCTAGATGGCATCCTCTTCCAATATAAAGCTGTTTCATCCACGTTAAAAAATCTATTGTTGGCCGGGCACGTTGGCTCACGCCTGTAATCCCAGGACTTTGGGAGGCCGAGGCAGGCGGATCACAAAGTCAGGAGATCAAGACCATCCTGGCTAACATGGTGAAACCCCGTCTCTACTAAAAATACAAAAAAAATTAGCCAGGCGTGGTGGCAGGCGCCTATAGTCTCAGCTACTGGGGAGGCTGAGGCAGGAGAATGGCGAGAACCCAGGAGGCGGAGCTTGCAGTGAGCAGAGATCGCACCACTGCCCTCCAGCCTGGGCGACAGAGTGAGACTCTGTCTCAGAAAAAAAAAAAAAAAAATCTATTGTTTAGTGTAGCCACCTTCATCAGGTATCTTAGCCAGATCTTCTGGATAACTTGCTGCAGGTTCTACATGAGCACATGCTGCTTCACCTTGCACTTTTTTTTTTTTTTTGAGACAGAGTTGCCCAGGCTGTGGTGCAGTGGAAAAGTCTTAGCTCACTGCAACCTCCGCCTTCTGAGCTCAAGCAATTCTCATGCCTCAGCCTCCTGAGTAGCTGGGATTACAGGTGCGTGACACTACACCTGGCTAATTTTTGTATTTTTAGTAGTAATTTAGTAACTTTTGTATTTTCACCATATTGGCCAGGCCGATCTCGAACTGACCTCAGAAGATCTGCCCACTTTGGCCTCCCAAAGTGCTGGGATTACAGGTGTGAGTCACCGTGCCTGGCCTTACCTTGCACTTTTATGTAATGAAGAACAGCTTCCTTCCTTTAAACTCATGTTAGCTTCAAACTTCTGCAGTTTCTCAATTCTCTCAGCCTTCATAGAATTGAAGAGAGTTAAGACCCTCTTCTGAGTTAGGCTCAGGCCTAAGGGAATGTTGTGGCTGTATGATCTTGTATCCAGACCACTAAAACTTCCTCCATGTCAGGAATAAGGCTGTTTTGCTTTCATATTACTCATTTTTCATTAGAATAGCACTCTTGATTTCCTTTAAGAACTTTCCGTTTGGATTTACAACTTGGCTAACTGGCACAAGAGGCCTAGCTTTTGGCCTGTATTAGCTTTTGACATGCCTTTTTCACTAAGCTTAATTTCTAGCTTTTGATTTAAAGTGAGGGACAGTCCACTCTTCCTTCACTTGAACACTTAGAGTCCATTGTAGGGTTACTAACTGGCCTACTTTCTTTTTTTTTTTTTTTTAAGACGGAGTCTCGCTCCATCGCCGAGGCTGGAGTGCAGTGGCACAATCTTGGCTCACTGCAAGCTCTGCCTCCTGGGTTCACACCATTCTCCTGCTTCAGCCTCCCGAGAAGCTGGGACTACAGGCGTGTGCCACCACACCCAGCTAATTTTTTTGAATTTTAATAGAGATGGGGTTTCACCGTGTTAGCCAGGAAGTCTAGATCTCCTGACCTCGTGATCCGCCCGCCTCGGCCTCCCAGAGTGCTGGGATTATAGGCGTGAGCCACCATGCCTGGCAAGGCCTACTTTCAATATTGTTGTATCTGAGGGAATAAGGAGGTCCAAGGAGAGGGAGAGAGAGGGGGGAATGGTTGGTCAGTGGAATAGTCTGAACACACACATTTATCAGTTAAGTTCACCATCCTATACGGGCACAGTTTATGGTGCCCCAAAACAATTACAGTAATATATCAAAGATCATTGATCACAGATCACCATAACAGATATAATAATAATAATGCAAAAGTTTGAAATACTGTGAGAATTACCAAAATGTGACACAGACACGAAGTGAGCATCACTTGCTGTTGGAAAAATGGTGCCAATGGACTTGCTCAATGCAGGGTTGCCACAAACCTTCAATTTATTTAAAAAATGCAATATCTGTCAAGCACAGTAAAGCAAAGCACAATAAAATGAGGTATGCCTATACTGTGTGTGTTAAATAATTCTCAGATTCAAGTTGGTTTTTGTTGTTGTTTTGTGTGTTTATTTTTAATTTGGTTCAGTACCAGTAGGGGAAAATTAGAACTAACTTTTGAGTGCTTACTACATCTGGCATGTGCTAGTTACTGTCACATCCCTAATCTTATATATTCTTACTATATTCCTGTAAAGTACGTAATATCCCTATTTTATAAATAAGGAAAAGGAGTCGATTAGAGTAAGTAACTTTAATGGACATTTCACCTCAGGGGCAGCAGATACCAACAGACGTGTATAGGATTTCCAAAGGCAACTTTTTAGTGATAAACTAAATTAGGTGATTGTGCTTTATGAGTGTCTGATATTTCCACCGTTTATTCTTGATGCAAAGAGTCTAGATATAAAGGTGGCTATATGCACAAGAAATAAATTTTGATTGTTTTGAGTTCTGCCACCTGTAGAGGTGTCTGCTCTATTCTTGATGTTGTAAAAGTTAAGTGAAAAATTCACTTAAAACAGCAATCTGTAATATATCTGTATAGATTTCTTTTGAGCCCATAAATGAAAATATTTTTCCCCTGAGACGGAGTCTTGCTCTGTCGCCCAGGCTGGAGTGCAGTGGCACGATCTCGGCTCACTGCAACCTCCGCCTCCTAGGTTCAAAAGATTCTCCTGCCTCAACCTCCCTAGTAGCTGGGAGTATAGGCACACACCACCACGCCCAACTACTTTTTGTATTCTTAGTACAGGCGGGGTTTCACCATGTTGGCCAGGCTGATCTCAAACTCTTGACCTCGTGATCCGCCCACCTCAGCCTCCCAAAGTGCTGGGATTACAGGCCTGAGCCACCGCGCTCGGCCTTTGTTTTTTGTTTTGTTTTGTTTTGTTTTTTGAGACAGAGTATCTCTCTGTTGCCCAGGCTGGAGTGCAGTGGCACCATCTCGGCTCACTGCAACCTCTGCCTCCTGGGTTCAAGCGATTCTCCTGCCTCAGCCTCCCAAGAAGCTGGGATTACAGGCACATGCCACCACGCCCAGCTAGTTTTTGTATTTTTAGTAGAGACGGAGTTTTGCCATGTTGGCCAGGCTGGTCTCAAACTCCTGACCTTAGGCAGTCAGCCCACCTCGGCCTCCCAAAGTGCTGGGATTTCAGGTGTGAGCCACTGTGCCTGGCCTAAATGTCTGAATTTTTTGCATCTCGTTTTATTCTTGAAAATTGTGTAATTGATAAGATCATACTTCTTGACGAGCGTGGTGGCTCACGCCTGTAATCCCAGCACTTTGGAGGCCGAGGCGGGTGGATCACGAGGGCAGGAGATCGAGACCATCCTGGCTAACTCGGCGAAACCCCGTCTCTATTAAAAATACAAAAAAATAGCCAGGCGTGGTGGCACGTGCCTGTAATCCCAGCTAATCTGGAGGCTGAGGCAGGAGAATCGCTTGATCCCAGAAGGCGGAGGTTGCAGTGAACCGAGATCGTGCCACCGCACTCCAGTCTGGGTGATAGAGCAAGACTGTCTCAAAAAAAAAAAAAAAAAAAAATCACAGTTCTTCAGGTGGCAGTTATTGAATTGAAATACTTCTTTTTCTCCTGTTTATTAATTCAGTCAGTAGAGATGCTGTAAGAACCACTCTGGAAAATACAACACAGATGTAGATCCTGAGTCTACTACTTTTTTAAATTCCAGGGATTATCAGCAGTCAAGAAGTGTCTAAGGCATAAGTGGAAGGAAAGGGAGACTAGGAGGCAAAAAAGAAGCCATATGGGTAGTATAGGCTTTAAAAAAAAAAAAAAAGAGGACATGGCATATCCGGAGAAAAAGTAGAATTCTTCTAACAATTATCTTATTCCGATCGTTCTAAACAAGATAGTTAAAAGGCCCTGGGATCTGGTGGTATTCCAGTACTCAGTAGTTAAGTATAATGATCAGATAGTTCTAGATTATATATTCCAGTCACAATTTTCCTCTTCATTGATACAAACAATGTATTAAAATGGACAAACATATGTTCTAAAGCTCACCGATATCTGTCTAAATTACTGATTTCTCCATTGTCAAACATATTCTGAAGGCCATTATATTAGTATCTGAAAATAGGCACCCCCAGAGGTAAGAGTGATAATATCAAAAAAGTAAATGGTCGATTCTAATTGGTATCAGAATATGATTTTCCTCTTAGTTCTACATCCTTTCCACATTACAGAAATTCACACAGACTTTGGTGCTACTGCAAGGAACATTAAAAGTTGTGAATAGCTTTTCCAAATTTAGGGGAAAAACTCGGTATCTTGGCATGTTTGCAGGTAGTATGGTTTTCCTATCATGGCCCTAATCATTTGAACAGTATTATTTCTGTAATACAATTGATAATATGTTTTGCTGTGAACCTTTTTTTTTTTTTTTTTAGATGGAGTCTCGCTCTTGCCCAGGCTGGAGTGCAGTGGCGCGATCTCGGCTCACTGCAACCTCCGCCTCCCAGGTTCAACCAATTCTCCTGCCTCAGCCTCCCGAGTAGCTGGGACTACAGGTGCTTCCCACCATGCCCAGGTAATTACTGTATTTTTAGTAGAGACAGGGTTTCACCATGTTGGTCAGGCTGGTCTCGAACTCCTGACCTCAATTGATCCACCTGCCTCGGCCTCCCAAAGTATCTTCACAGGCTGGGTGTGGTGGCTCAGGCCTGTAACCCTAGCACTTTTGGAGGCCAAGGCAGGAGGATTGCTTGAGTCCAGGAGTTTGAGACCAGCCTGAGCAACATAGCAAGACCCTTGTCTCTGCTGGAAAGAAAATAATTAGTTGGGCATGGTAGTGTGCTTCTATGGTCCTAGCTACTTGGGAGACTGAGGTGGGAGGATCACTTGAGCCCATGTGTTCAAGGATGCAGTGAGCTATGATTGTGCCATCGCACTCCAGCCTGGGTGACAGAGACCCTGTCACTTAAAAGAAACAAATATCTGTATACATATGCTTAACTACATATTTCTGCTATGGATATGGATTTAAAGGGAAGAAGGATCAATTTAGAAAATGTTTGAAAAGAATGAAGGTGGAAGGCTTACCGTGTCAGATATTAAAACATGTCACAATACCATAATAATTAGTTGACTTGATGCAAGTAGAGATAGTACAATGAAATGCGAAAGGAATTATGGAAACAGCCGGGCACAGTGGCTCACGCCTGTAATCCCAGCACTTTGGGAGGCCAAGGCAGGCGGATCACCTGAGGTCAGGAGTTCAAGACCAGCCTGGCCAACACGGTGAAACCTCGTCTCTACTGAAAATACAAAAACATTAGCCAGGCGTGGTGGCACATGCCTGTAATCCCAGCTACTCAGGAGGCCGAGGCAGGAGAATTGCTAGAACTTGGGAGGCAGAGGTTGCATGAGCCAAGATGGCGCCATTGCATTCCAGCCTGGGCGACAGAGTGAGACTCCATCTCAAAAAAAAAAAGAAAAAAGAAAAAAACTACAAAAACAGCCAAGCATATAAGGAAAAAAAATAAGACTATTTTGTATTTAAAAGGTAGCATTTCAAATCTGGGAAAATGATCACTTATGCAATAAATGATCCTAGGATAGCTAGAGGAAAATATTCTTGGTGCCTTAGGATTGAAGGCTTAAATACAGAAAAATTAAGCTATATAATACTGGAAGAGAATATATGACTTCTAAAATCTTGAGGAAAAAACTATAATGGAAAAAATTGGCAGATCAGACTTCTAAAAAACTGATTTTTGGCCAGGCACAGTGGCTTACGCCTGTAATCCTAGCACTTTGGGAGGCCAAAGTGGATGGATCAACTGACATTGGGAGTTCGAGACAAGCCTGACCAACATGGTGAAACCCCGTCTCTACTAAAAATAGAAAAATAGCTGGTCGTGGTGGTGCATGCCTGTAATCCCAGCTACTCAGGAGGCTGAGGCAGGAGAATTGCTTGAACCCGGAGGGTGGAGGTTGTGGTGAGCCGAGATTGCGCCATTGCACTCTAGCCTGGGCAACAAGAGCGAAACTCCGTATCAAAAAAACAAAAACAAAAAAATACCAAAAACTGATTTTTAAACACCAGAAAACGAGGAGGCAAATGGCAAAGGAGAAAATATTTGTAACCAGGGTCGGGTGTGGTGGCTCATGCCTATAATCCCAGCACTTTGAGAGGCCTAGGCAGGCAGATCACCTGAGGTCTGGAGTTCAAGACCAGCCTGACCAATATGATGAAACCCCATCTCTACTAAAAATACAAAAATTAGCCGGGCGTGGTGGCTCACGCCTGTAATCCCAGCACTTTGGGAGGCCGAGGCGGGCAGATCACCTGAGGTCAGGAGTGGGAGACCAGCCTCACCAACATGGAGAAACCTCGTCTCTACTAAAAATACAAACGTAACTGGGCATGGTGGCACATGCCTGTAATCCCAGCTACTCGGGAGGCTGAGGCAGGATAATCGCTTGAACCTGGGAGGCGGAGGTTGCAGTGAGCCGAGATCACACCATTGCATTCCAGCCTGGGCAACAAGAGCGAAATTCTGTCTCAAAAAAAAAAAAAAAAAAAGATAACATCCCCATTGAAAAATGAGCAATGGATAAGTGCAATTTACAAAATAAATACAAATATACAAACAAAGGAAACCCAGGTAAAAATTACAATGAGGTTTTTCTTCTCCAATTTGCAAAGATGAGAAAGAATTCTGGCAAAGAGTGTGGAGAAATGAATTACTAGTACACTGGTAATAAGAGTACAAGTTTGTGTAACCTTTTTGAGGAGAAATTTAGCAATGTGTATCAAAAATGTAAGATGTGTTTTCTCTTTAACCTAATAGTTCTACTTTATATATTCATAAATGATCACATTGGTCATCTATGTTATATGGAAGACATTTATCATTCTTTTTAAATGACCAGAATATAAACCACCTTTCTCTATTTGTGGTATTCCCCTAGTGAGTGAATATTGTCAGGGTATTTATTCTAGTTGTCTCCTACTTATCCTCATAAAATATAAGATATGTAACTTGTTCTCTGTTGTATCCTCAATGTCTAGAACTGGTTACAGCTCATAGTAGGTGCCCAATAAAAATACCTGAAAGTCAGGTACTAACTTTTCCTGCCTTACTTGCAGCTAGGTTGCAGGCAAGTGGCTAGGACTCCATTGGTTAGATGAATCTGTGCTAGATTTGGACTTCGGAATAAAGATATAAAAAACCACGACCTCTAGAAGATTCTTAGCCTGCAATACAGTTTAGGAAGATCAAGTTTCCTTGCATAAAAGGCAGCAGTGTGGTGTGCACCAGTGACCACAGACCTGCTCTCTTGGCATGGTTTCACACCTCACTCTTCCTTGCATCGACCAGAGGCTGGTTCTCCAGCCTCCCTGATGATTCTGTGAGCTACTTAATATTCGTTTCTTAAAATTTTATTTACTTAATTTTTGAATTTGAAATATATATACAATAGAATGTATAAAATAAGTATTATTTAAATATAAACAACTGTTTACTTTCCAGATTAAGAAATAAACAATACCTTTATTGTTTATTATGCAGGATAAAAGCTTCCTTTTATCCTGCATTGATTACATTGCTCCCACTACCCCCACTCATACAGGTTACCACTATCTTAAATTTCTTTTCTCTATAATTTTACTTCACATACATCTCTAAACAATATATTATTTGGTTTTGAATCATAGCATATGTTTTCTTTCATGAATTTTTTTTTTTTTTTGAGACAGAGTTTCGCTCCTGTTGCCTAGGCTGGATTGCAGTGACATGATCTTAGCTCACTGCAACCTCCGCCTCCTGGGTTCAAGTGATCCTCCTGCCTCAGCCTCCCAAGTAGCTGGGATTACAGGTGCCCGCCACCACACCCAGCTAATTTTTGTATTTGTAGTAGAAACGGGGTTTCACCATGATGGCCAGGTTGATCTTGGACTCCTCACCTTAGGTGATCCACCCACCTCAGCCTCCCAAAGTGCTGGGATTACAGGTGTGAGCTCAGCCTCTTCCATGAATTCTTTTAGTTTTCAGATTCATACATTGCTTATAGTCAACTGGTGTGTGCTTGTATGGCTGTACCTGTTGTTGTTTGGCATCTATTCTGATTGGTCAATGCCTGTGCTGCCCAGTTGTTAAATAATTTGAAAATCATCATCTCTAGATCCATTCATTTGATGTATATCCTGTATAACATTCTACTCTATGAGTTTACTGCAATTTATCCATTCCATTATTGGTGAATATTTGAATGTTTCTAATTTTTTGCTATTGTAAGCATTCTTATAACATGCTTCCTATTGTATATTCACAAGGGCATGTACATTCCCTAGGGAATCTACCAATGAATGAAATGTTGGATCACTTGATATGCACATCTCCAAAATTATTTGGAAATGTCAGACTGTTACCAAAATATTTGTATCAATTTACACTCCCACCAGCCATTTCCTTGCCCCATATCCTTGGCAACACATTTGGTACCATCTGGCCTTACGTTTTTGCCGTTCCAGTGAGTGTGACATGATAGTTCATTGTGGTTTTTGTTTTCATTTCCCTTGGTTACTGATAAAATTGAGCGTCTAACTTTATGGACTATTTGTGTCTTTTGTAAAAATGCTGGCTCATGTCTTTTGCTCATTTTTCTGTTGGATTATTTGCTTTTTTTAACTAATTTATACAAGTTTTAAAATACAAAATTGTGTGAGTTGAATATGTCTTCAATTTATAGCTTGTCTTTTTATTTTTTTTCCTTTTCTGTTTTTTTTTTTTTTTTTTTTTTTTGAGACAGAGTCTCGCTTTGTCGCCCCGGCTGGAGTGCAGTGGCGCAATCTGGGGTCACTGCAACCTCTGCCTCCCAGGCTCAAGCAATTCTCGTGCCTCAGCCTCCTGAGTAGCTGGGATTACAGGCACCCGCCACCATGCCCAGCTAATTTTTTGTATTTTTAGTAGAGGCCAGAGTTTCACCATGTTGGCTGGGCTGGCCTTGAACTCCTGACCTCAGGTGATCTGCCCACCTCGGCCTCCCAAAGTGCTGGGATTACAAGCATGAGCCACTGTGCCTGGCCTTGTCAAACATATTCTAACCATTCCTAGAAACAGGAAGAAAAGGAGTCAAGGGAGAATTCTTTTTTTTGAAAGGTGAGATGAGACATGTTTGTATATTAATAGGAATAATCCAGTAGAGAAGGAAAACTTGGACTGGGCGCAGTGGCTCACTCAATCAATAAATATTTTATTTGTCTTTTATGTGTGAGGCACTGTAGTAGGCTCTGGGAGCGTAACAAGATAGACAAGATCCCTGTACTCATGAAGCTTACAGTTTAGCAGTATTGGTGGTGGTGAGGGTGGGTGTGATACAAAGAACTTCAAAGGGAAAGTACAGGACTATGAGGGCCTCTAATAGGGGACCTTAATACTTTAAGCTATTTTAGAGAATAGGTTAGAGAAGTACATTTAAGCTGATTCCCAAAAAAGGAGGAGTTAGGCAAACTCTGAAAGAGTACTATAAGAGAGAAAAGAGAATAGATGAATGGTCCTATCATAGCAAGGAACTAGGAGATGTTTAAGTACTGAAGGCGTACTGTGTGTGAAAGGCAACTTGAAGTTTCGAGGGATAGCAGCTACCATATAATACAGAATCATAAACATTTTAGACTATGCTAAAAGCAATAGGGAGCCATTGAAAGGACTTAAACAGAGTAATGACAATTCACTTTCATAATATTTCTTTCTTTCTTTTTTTTTTTTTTTTTTTTTGAGATGGAGTCTTGCTCTGTCACCCAGGCTGGAGTACAGTGGCATGATCTCAGGTTACTGCAACCTCCGCCTCCCAGGTTCAAGCAATTCTCCTGTCTCAGCCTCCTGAATAGCTAAGACTATAGGCGCCCGCCACCACACCTGGCTAATTTTTTTGTATTTTTAGTAGAGACAGGGTTTCACCATATTGGCCAGGCTGCTCTCGAACTCCTGACCTTGTGATCTGTTCGCCTCAGCCTCCCAAAGTGCTAGGATTACAGGTGTGAGCCACTGTGCCCAGCCTATAATATTTCTTTTGTAAAGGAGTACACATGAGGCTACTGGAACCTAATGCCATTAAACCTTAGACTCATACAGTAGCTCCCCTTCTTATAATTATTTGTTTACTTAGCCATTTAATATGGATTCCTCAGTCAGACATGAGTGTAAGTTTATGTTTTTTCACTGATTGAAAAATTTTTTTAATTTTAATTTTTGTGGGTACATAGTAGGTGTATATATTTATGGGATGCATGAGATATTTTGATACAGGCATGCAATGCATAATAGTCACATCATATAAAATGGGGTATCTGTTCCCTCAAGTATTTATCCTTTGTGTTACAGACAATCCAATTATATTCTTTTATTTTGAAATGTACAATTATTATTGACTATAGTCACCCTATTGTGCGATCAAATACTAGGTCTTATTCTTTCTAACTATTTTTTGGTACCCATTAGCCATCCCTACCCACCCACTCCCACCTCCCACTAACCTTACCAGCTTCTGGTAACCATCCTTCTGCTTTCTCTCTCCATGAGGTCAATTGTTTTGATTTTTAGATCTCATGTAAGAACATGTGATGTTTGTCTTTTTGTGTCTGGCTTACTTCATTTAGCTAATGACCTCTAGTTCCATCCATGTTATTGTAAATAACAGGATCTCATTCTTTTTTATGGCTGAATGGTGCTCCATTGTGTATGAGTACCACATTTTCTTTATCCATTCATGTGTTGATGGACACAAGTTGCTTCGAAATTTTGGGTATTGTGAACAGTGCTGCAACAAACATGGGAGTGCAGATATCTCTGCGATACACTGATTTCCTTTCTTTCGCATATATACCTAGCAGTGGGGGTGCTGGATCATATGGTAGCTCTATTTTTAGTTTTTAAAGAAACCTCCAAACTGTTCTCCATAGTAGTTGTACTAATTTACATTCCCACCAACAGTGTATGAGAGTTCCCTTTTCTTCACTTCCTTGCCAGCATTAGTTACTGCCTTTCTTTTGGATAAAAGCCGTTTTAACTGAAGTGAGATAATATCTCATTGTAGTTTTGATTTGCACTTATTTGATGATCAGTGATGTTGAGCACCTTTTCCTATGCCTGTTTGCCATACTTATGTCTTCTTTGGAGAAATGTGTATACAAGTATTTTGCCCATTTTTAAATTAGATTGTTAGATTTTTTTCCTGTAGAGTCGTTTGAGCTCCTTATATATTCTGGTTATTAATCCCTTGTCACATGGGGAGTTTGCAAATATTTTCTCCCATTCTGTAGGTTGTCATTTCATTTTGTTGATTGTTCCCTTCACTGTGCAGAAGCATTTAAACTTGATATGATCCCATTTGTCCATTTTTGCTTTGGTGGCCTGTGCCTGTGGGGTATCATTCAAGAAATTTTTGCCCAGACCAATGTCCTGGTGAGTTTCCCCATGTTTTCTTGTAGTTGTTTTATAGTTTGAAGTCTTAGATTTAAGTCTTTAATCCATTTTGATGTGATTTTTGTATATGGTGAAAGATAGGAATCTAGTTTTTTTCTTTTGCACCATCTATTGAAAAGACTCAGACATGAGTGTAAGTTTAATTTCCTTGGAACTAATACAACGCTTTTCTATTTTTATGTGTGTGTGTGTGTGTGTGTGTGTGAGAGAGAGAGAGAGAGAGAGACATGGTAGACAAGATATTCTTTTTTTTTTTTTTTTTTTTTTTTTTGGAGACAGAGTCTCCATTTGTTGCCTAGGCTGGAGTGCAGTGGCACAATCTCAGCTCACTGCAGCCTCCACCTCCGGGGTTCAAGCGATTCTCCTGCCTCAGCCTTCTGAGTTGCTGGGATTACAGTCATGCACCACCACGCCCAGCTAATTTTTGTATTTTTAGTAGAGACGGGGTTTCACCATGTGGGCCAGGATGGTTTTGATCTCTTGATCTTGTGATCCACCTGCCTCTGCCTCCCAAAGTGCTGGGATTACAGGCGTGAGCCACTACACCTGGCCCTTTTTTTTTTTTTTTTTTTTAAGAAGCAGGGTCTGCCTCTGTCGCCCAGGCTGGAGTGCAGTGGTACTATCATAGCTCACTACAGCCTCGAACTCCTGAGCTCCAGTGATCCTCCCACCTCAGCCTCCTGAGTAGCTAGGACTACAGGCATGTGCCACCAGGCCTAACTAATTTTTTGGTGTTTTTTTTTTTAGAGACAAGATCTGGCTATGATGCCCAGGCTGGTCTTGAATTCCTGGATTCAAGCAATCCTCCTGCCTTGGCCTCCCAAAGTGCTGGGATTACAGGAATGAGCCACTACACCCGGCCTATTTTTAAATTTAAAGAACATACAATGAGAAACAGCTAAATCTTCTTAGCATGTTAATAACTTATGTATTATATAGTTTTAGAAATTCTTAAAGTGCTATTTTAAAACTCTAGCTTTTTTTTTTTTTTTTTTGAGACAAATTCTCACTCTTTTGCCCAGGCTGGAGTGCAGTGGCACGATTTCAGCTCACTGCAACCTCCGTCTCCCAGGTTCAAGCGATTCTCCTGCCTCAGCCTCCTGAGTAGCTGGGATTACAGGCATACGCCACCATGCCTGGCTAGTTTTTTTTGTATTTTTAGTAGAGGTGGAGTTTCACTATGTTGGCCAGGCTGGTGTCAAACTCCTAACCTCAGGTCATCCACCTGCCTCAGCCTCCCAAAGTGCTGGAATTGTACTGTGCTGGGATTACAAAATGCTGGCTGAGCCACTGCGCCCAGCTGGTTATTTTTGAACTATTATATAGATTCTGAGAACTATGGCAGATTTATGTAAAAATTTATTTTAACTCCTAAGCTTGTTTAAGCTCAAAATAAGTAAGATTGTTATACAAGTCTTATTTATCTTTTCATCAAGAATGTCAGAATGTGCTATTCTATTTGTGATCAGCTTCTTTAGAGATTATCCAAGTTCTGAGTTCTCATTTTGACTAGTTAAATATATTGTGATCCTTATATTCTAGATTTAATGAACAACTAATACTATGCCTTGCATATAGTAGGCACTCAAAAAATATGTTCAGTGAATTAAAGTTCCTGAGATATCTTAATAAGATATTTAATTGTATCTTTAAAAAATTTCCTCCATTAATACTTCCTGTCACCCAAAATGTATTGTCCTTTTTTTTATTTTTTGATGATCTTTTTCTTCCTGGCTTTATAATCTTTAATATTCTGCTCTAAATCTTATTGTTTTGCTATTTTCTTTTACATAAAGCCCCTTTTAAAGGTTTAATTGCCCTAATTATTTTCTTGAGACTTATATACTCGCTATGTTTTATTTTGATCCTTTATTGTTTTCCCACTTTCTCTTAGAAAATCTTCTTTCCTTTTCTTTTGATATATTTTATTTTATATTGAAAAAGATCCTTGAGCCTTCTTTTGTGTTTTATAGTATTTTATTAGCAATTTTTCTCATCCTGAGAAGCTGTGTAACTGTTTGCTGTGTAACTGATAAACATAATTTTATGTATTCTGTATTTTTAGTCTATTGAAGACAATGAAGTATATTTGCCTAATGATGAAATTTGGACCTATGATATTGATAGTGGGTTGTGGTAAGTAATTTTAAATTGCATACTGTCTGATCTTAATATCTATTATAAATGTTTCTGTAGACTCTAGGGAATTTGAGACCATACTTTGAACATACTGCAACATTTTTGAAGTCTCCCTTTCCTTTCCTTTCAATGCTTTTATTTTCTGACTCTTTCATTCCCCTACTGTCTTCCCTGCTCCACTTTTTGTCTTTTAGTATTTCTCTCAAGACCAGTGCTGTCTCTGAAGATTTTGTTTTATTCTGCAAATTTCCAGTTCTAGTGACGTGTGAAATTTTTGTGATTTTTTTTTTTTTCCTAGCAGATTGAAAAAGTTTTACCCTGGATCTTCTTAGAGTTTTTACATTATTGGCCACCATTACATTGTAACTGTAATTGACAGTGACAGTTTTCACTGACAAAAGTACTCATGGAGTTTAAAGAGAATTTTAATTTGCCTTTCTGGAAAGTTATGGGATTCCATGTTATTCTTGCTGCAGGAGAATGCACCTCATGGAAGGAGAACTCCCAGCCTCCATGTCAGGAAGCTGTGGTGCTTGCATTAATGGAAAGCTGTACATTTTTGGAGGATATGATGACAAAGGATACAGCAATCGAGTAATAATTTCTTTAATTCAAGAGTGCAGCAAAATGTAATATTTAATGCATCATTTCATCTCACAAGTTACAAATATTTTAAAAAGAAGATATATATAGAAAACCTTAAACTTGTAATTAAATATTTTAAAGCTGGGTTGAAAATGCAGCAGTCCTGCTCTTCTCTTCTTCTGTGTCTTTCTGCTTCAGAATTAACTGCATATTTAATTGATATTCATAGGATAAGAGCAGGATGTGACTCATTTTAATATGTTTTATATATCATTTTTACTCCTAAAACAGTCTCATTTTTATTCTCCAATTTTTAAATTTTAATAGGTAACAAGCTTACCTATTAAAAAGAAAATAATAGTATTAATTCTTGGATCACATTCCCTCTGATATAGATTTAATTTTTAAATGCCCTGTCTGCTAATAGTGTTCTCATCTTTTAAAGCTTTATTTTGTTAATTTACGAACAAGAGATGAAACCTACATTTGGGAGAAAATCACCGACTTTGAAGGGCAACCACCTACACCACGTGATAAACTTTCCTGCTGGGTATATAAAGACAGGTAATGCAGCAGTTGCACTTAATGCATTATGTCTACCTAAGCAAAGATAATAGCTTTGGCTAAAATACAGAATGCTTAAAGGTATGAGTTTTTTTCAGGATTGCAATTGATTTTCTAAATAATCAATATCTGACAATGCCCGTTTTATTTCTTCCTTTCTAATCTTTAAACTTTTTGTTGTCTTACTGGACTGGGTAGGACCTTGAGTAAATCCAGTGCTTATATTTATACTTTCATATATTACTCATTCTTTTTCTCTGAACAATATCTATCATTCCCCTACTCTGAGCATCAATAAAACTAGATGGTAGCCTCTTCATCCCTCTCTCCTTCCCATTCCTTCAACGCTAGTTTTTGTGAGTTATGTTTTTAATCCTTCTGTTCCATTTTTGGGAAGAAGGGGAACTTTAGTTATGAACATTTTAGCTCCTCACTCCCTGCTTATCATTTCTTGCTAATTCTTTTTAACTATTTTTTGTGGTTTTTCACATTTTTATTCTTTATGTCCTTTACTGTATTTTCTGTGATAACTGTCTCTTTGCTATTTGTAACATTGTCTTCATTTCTGAAATGAGTTTTTCTCCCCTTTTATTTCTTTCCTAATTTTTTTTGTTTGTTTTTTGTTTTTTTGGAAATGGAGTCTCACTGTTGCTCAGGCTGGAGTGCAATGGCACGATCTCTGCTCACTGCAACCTCTGCCTCCCGGGTTCAAGCGATTCTCTGGCCTCAGCCTCCTGAGTAGCTGGGATTACAGGTGCCTGCCACCATGCCCGGCTAATTTTTGTGTTTTTACTTTATTTATTTATTTATTTGTTTGTTTATTTATTTATTTATTTTTGTGACAGAGTCTCGCTCTGTCGCCTAGGCTGGAGCGCAGTGGCGCAATCTCGGCTCACTGCAACCTCCACCTCCCAGGTTCAAGCAATTCTCTTGCCTCAGCCTCCCGAGTAGCTGGGACTACAGGGGCATGCCACCACGCTGGCTAATTTTTTTTTGTATTTTTATTAGAGACAGGGTTTCACTGTGTTAGCCAGGATAATCTCGATCTCCTGTGCTTGTGATCCGCCCGCCTCGGCCTCCCAAAGTGCTGGGATTACAAGCGTGAGCCACTGCACCTGGCCCTAATTTTTGTATTTTTAGTAGAGATGGGGTTTCACCATGTTGGCCAGGCTGGCCTCGAACTCCTGACCTTGTGATTTGCCTGCCTCAGTCTCCCAAAGTGCTGGGATTACATGTGTGAGCCACTGCGCCTGGCCTTCTTTCCTAATTTCTAACAATTCTGTTTCAGCTCCTCATATTTTCTGGCCATCAACTCTGTTATTTGAGTTCTTATATTTTTGTTTTAAGGGTTTTCTTCATTGCTAATTATTAAATTTTATTTGTGTTTTAAAATATCATTCACTATTTAATTTCCAGTTTTCAGATTTGCTTGTTTGTCTCTTAAATGTTTTTAAACAATTTGTTCAGTAGGGGACTAGATAAGGTCTATACGTTATAATCGATTTATATGTCTTTCTTTTTTCTTTTTCTTTTTTTTTTTTTTTTTTTTTTTTTTTGAGGCAGAATCTCACTGTCACCCAGGCTGGAATGCAGTGGTGCCATCTCGGCTCACTGTAACCTCTGCCTCCCAAGTTCAAGCAATTCTCCTGCCTCAGCCTCCCGAGTAGCTGGGACGACAGGTGCATACCACCATGCCTGGTTAATTTTTTTGTATTTTTAGTAGAGACTGGGTTTCACCATGTTAGCCAGGATGGTCTCGATCTCCTGACCTCGTGATCCACCCGCTTCAGCCTCCCAACGTGCTGGGATTACAGGCATGAGCCACTGCACCCAACCAATATGTCTTCCATATATATAGTTGCTTTTATTCTAGAGATTTCCTTTTGGTCTTTTTTGTTGTTTTGTTCTTGAAATTTATTTGATAAAGAAACCATGTCATTTGGCTATAGAATCCCAATAGTCTGCACTGTGTTGGTTGTATCTCTGTGATACCATTTAACATATTCATCTACACCTTCTATTTTCTGTAAATTGGTAGTTAGATCTAGAAAGTTAAGCAAATTCATGTTCTTGTGTTAGCTGTTGGTTTGGGAGCAAATAAAAAGTACTTCATAGATTTTCTTTTTTTTTTTTTTTTTGAGACGGAGTCTCCCTCTATTGCCCAGGATGAAGTGCAGTGGTGGAATCTCGGCTCACTGCAACCTCAGCCTTCTGGGTTCAAGTGATTCTCCTGCCTCAGCCTCCCGAGTAGCTGGGACTACAGGCATGTGCCACCATGCCTGGCTAGTTCTTTTTGTATCTTTAGTAGAGACGAGGTTTCACTATATTGGCCAGGCTAGTCTCAAACTTTTGATCTCGTGATCCACCTGCCTCCACCTCCCAAAGTGCTGGGATTACAGGCATGAGCCGCCACACCCGGCTTAATTTTTGTGTTGTTCAGTAGAGACAGGGTTTCACCATGTTGGTCAGCCTGGCCTTGAACTCCTGACCTCAGGTGATCCACCCACCTTGGCCTCCGAAAGTGCTGGGATTACAGGCGTGAGCCACCATGCCCGGCCCATAGCTAACTTTTTTTTTTTTTTTTTTGAAATGGAGTCCTGCTCTGTCACCCAGCCTGGAATGCAGTGGCGCGATCTCAGCTCACTGCAAGCTCTGCCTCCCAGGTTCACGCCATTCTCCTGCCTCAGCCTCCCGAGTAGCTGGAACTACGGGCTCCCGCCACCACACCCGGGTAATTTTTTTTTTTGTATCTTTAGTAGAGACAGGGT
Organism: Homo sapiens; assembly: GCF_000001405.40. Lineage (NCBI taxonomy): Eukaryota > Metazoa > Chordata > Mammalia > Primates > Hominidae > Homo > Homo sapiens. The sequence goes on from NC_000014.9 coordinate 49,713,150, forward strand.
TTCACCGTGTTAGCCAGGGTGGTCTCGATCTCCTGACCTCGTGATCCGCCCGCCTCAGCCTCCCAAAGTGCTGGGATTACAGGCATGAGCTACCGCGCCCAGCCCATAGCTAACTATTTTTAGACATTAGTAGGCACATAATGTTTGGTTGTCTCTGTATGTTAGCAAGCACCGATGATTGCTGCCTAGATCCATTTTTGTACAAGAAGATGCAAAGTGATGATATTCTAATTCTATTATTTGTTCTTAATTTATTAGTGGAATACTTCTATAAAAAGAAACTTTCTTTAACTGTTTATTAACCCTAAGATACTGTTTGTATAGGAAAATCAGGATAAATGCTTGATTCTTTCGCCTTTAGAATCAATTGAGTCATTTCTCTAGTATCCTTCAAAGTGGTCAGTAAGGTTTTAAATTACCATTTTAAAATCATGGATTTGAAATATTTGATGTCGGCCTGCCCTAGTGGCTCTTGCCTATAATCCCAGCATTTTGGGAGGCTGAGGTAAGAGGATCGCTTGGGGCCAGAAGTTTGAGACCAGCCTGGCCAACATGACAAAACCCCATCTTTACTAAAAAGACAAATCGTTAACCAGGTGTGGTGGCGTACGCCTGTGGTCACAGCTACTCAGGTGGCTGAGGCAGGAGGTATATATATATATATATATATATATATATATATATATATATATATATATATATTTTTTTTTTTTTTTTTCCTGAGACAGAGTCTCACTCTGTCACCCAGGCTGGAGCACAGTGGCACGATCTTGGCTCACTGTAACCTCCGCTTCCTGGGTTCAAACAATTCTCATGCCTCCCAAGTAGCTGGGATTACAGGTGCACGCCACCAAACCTGGCTAATTTTTGTATTTTTAGTAGAAACAGGGTTTCACCATGTTGGCCAGGCTGGTCTTGAACTCCTGGCTTTAAGTGATCCACCCGCCTTGGCCTGCCAAAGTGCTGGGACTATAGATGTAAGACACTGTGCTCAGCTAGAATATATAAATATGTTTTAAATAAAGTTTAAAAATCTAGGCTGGGCTGGGCGTGGTGGCTCACACCTGTAATCCCAGCACTTTGGGAGGCCGAGGCGCGCAGATCACACGGTCAGAAGTTCGAGACCAGCCTGGCCAGCATAGTGAAACCCTGTCTCTACTAAAAATACAAAAAATTAGCCAGGCGTGGTGGCAGGCACCTGTAATCCCAGCTACTTAGGAGGATGAGGCAGAACAATGGCTTGAACCCAGGAGGTGGAGGTTGCAGTGAGCCGAGATCGCGCCATTGCACTCGAGCCTGGGTAACAGAGCGAGACTCTGTCTCAAAAACGAAAAAAAATCTAGGCTGGTTGTGGTGGCTCATGCCTGTAATCCCAGTACTTTGGGAGGTCAAGGCTGGAGGATCCCTTGAGGACAGGGGTTTGAGATCAGCCTGGGCAACACAGTGAGACCTCATCTCTACAAAAAGTAAGAAAAAAAAATACCCAGGTGTGGTGGCATGCTATGCACCTGTGGTCCCAGCTACTTGGGAGGCTGAGGCAGGAGGATATGTATAGTATAGTATTTGAATCATATACTCATGTATAATATATTATTTGACTCAAATACTCTGACTCATATACTATACTATACTATAAATGTATGGTATATGTTATATAACATATACTTTAGCATATACTTAACACATAGTATATATAATATAAAATATGTCTTTATATATTATATATACTTTTACATGTATACTTAATATATATTTATATATACTTTATTTCCATATATATGGAAATTACATATATACTTTATTTTCATATATATGGAAATTATATATATACTTTATTTCCATATATATAGAAACTTATTTTTATCTATTTTATATTTTATGTATACATATATACTTAATATATATTATATATGTTTTTTGTATTATACATACTTTATTATATTAAGTGTATATATATTCATATATATTTTACTTTATTATTTTTTTTTTCTGAGACAGAGTCTCATTCTGTCACCCAGGCTGGAGTGCAGTGGCATGATCTCGGCTCACTGCAACCTCTGACTCCCTGGTTCAAGCTATTCTCCTGCCTCAGCCTCCCGAATAGCTGGGATTACAGGCACACACCACCACACCCAGCTAATTTTTGTATTTTTAGTACAGATGGGGTTTCACCATGTTGGCAAGGATGGTTTTGATCTCTTGACCTCATGATCTGACCGCCTCAGCCTCCCAAAGTGCTGGGATTACAGATGTGAGCCACCGTGCCCGGCCTACTTTATTATATTAAGTACATATAAAAGTATATATAAAATATAGGCCGGATGTGGTGGCTCACGCCTGTAAGCCCAGCACTTTGGGAGGCCAAGGCGGGCAGATTACTTGAGGTCAGGAGTTCGAGACCAGCCTGGCTGACAGTGAAACCCCGTCTCTACTAAAAATACAAAAATTAGCTGGGTGCAGTGGCAGGTACCTGTAGTTCCACCTACTTAGGAGGCTGAGGCGGGAGAATTGCTTGAACCTGGGAGGCGGAGGTTGCAGTGATCTGAGGTTGTGCCATTGCACTCCAGCCTGGGTGACAAGACTCTGTCTCAAAAAAAAAAAAAAAAAAAAAAAAAAATATATATATATATATAATAAAAGATAAAACATAGCCTTACCTTTTAAACCTAGATGTTTATGAGCAATGAATATTGATTTTTATTAAATACTTTTTCTTTTGAAGTCGTTTGAGGTTTGTTTTCTCATTTAAATACTGATGTCATTAAATATTTTCTAATATGATATACTCGTGTTTCTGATATAAATCTTACATGGTTGTAACGAGTATTTCAACATATTGTTGAATTTCATTCACAGGTGTATACAGAATTTTTTAGGAGGAGTAATTGATAGCTTTGTTGATTTGCCTCCTGGTTACACTTAATTTTTTGTCATTTTGGTTTGCAAAAAGCATTTTAAGGGCTAGAGGCAAACATAGGACTGAACTCTGTCTCTGAACCTAGCATAGGCTCGTATAAAGGGAGTATCTTTGAATGCTTATGGCAATGACATGTGTTTCTGTAAACCACTATGGTTTTCTGCCTTTGTTTTTCCAGGTTAATCTACCCTGTAAAGTATTTTTGGACCTTTAAAGGTTTTTTGTTGTTGTTAGTATGTAAAAGAAACCAGTAACAATGATTGCCCTAGGCAAGGGAATTAAGTGACTGAGAGTAGGAGGGAGACTTACCTCTTGCTACGCTTTTTTTTTTTTTGAGACAGAGTCTCACTCTTGTTGCCCAGGCTGGAGTGCAATGGCGTGGTCTCCACTCACTGCAACCTCCACCTCCCTGGTTCAAGGGATTCTCCTGCTTCAGCCTCCCAAGTAGCTGGGGTTACAGGTGCCTGCAACCATGCCCAGATAATTTTTGTATTTTTAGTAGAGGCGGGGTTTCACCATGTTGGCCAGGCTTGTCTCAAACTCCTGACCTCAGGTGATCCGCGCACCTCAGCCTCCCAAAGTGCTGGGATTACAGGCATGAGATACCACGCCCGGCTTGCTATACCTTTTTGAAAGGTTGTGGTAAATACATAAAACATAAAATTTTTCATTTTAACTATATTAAGTGTACAATTCAGTGGCATTAATTACCTTCATAATGTTGTGCAACCATCACCAGTACCTACTTCCAAACTTTTTAATTACTCCAAACAGAAACTCTGTGCCCATTAAGCCATATCTCCCCATTCTCCCTTCTTTCCAACCCCTGGTGACCTCTAATCTTTCTGTCTATAATAATTTACGAATAAGCAGATAATAGGTATTTCATAAAAATTGAATCATAAAATGTTTGTTCTTTTTGTCTGCCTTATTTCACTTAACATAACGTTTTCAAGGTGCATTATGTTGTAGCATATAGCATTCCTTTTTATGGCTGAGTAATATTCCACTGTATGTATATACCGCATGTTGGTTAGCCATTTATATGTTGGTAGATGCTTGGGTTGTGTCTACCTTTTCGCTATTTGTGAATAATGCTGCTATCAATGTGGCATATAACTTTGTGTGATTCAGTTTTCAATTCTTTTGAGTATATACGTTAAGAATAGAACTGTTGGGTCATTTGGTGAGTCTATGTTTAAGTTTTTGAGGAACCACCAACTATTTTCCATAGTGACTATACCATTTTATATTCCCACCAGCAAGGAACAAGGGTTCCAGTTTTGCCACATCCTCACCTATGCTTATTTTGGGTGTGTGTGTGTGTGTTTTTAATAATAGTTATACTAGCAGATGTGAAATGGTATTTCATTGTGGTTTTGATTTGTATTTTCCTAATGACTAATGATGTTGGCTTATTGGACATTTGTACATCTTCTTTGGAGAAATGTCTATTCAAATCCTTTACCCATTTAAAAAAAATGAGTCGTCTGTCTTTTTGATGTTACGTTACGGTAGTACTTTATGTATTCTGGGTGTTGATCCCTTATCAGATATATTTAATTGTATTTTATTTGTCTTGCTTTGGTATCAGGGTAATGCTAGCCTCAAACTAATTTAGGAAGTATTCCCTCCTCACTTTTTTTTTTGGAAGAGTTTGAGTGGGATTGGTGTTAATTCTTTTTTAAATATTTGGTAGAATTCGCCAGTGAAGCCATTCTTGGGCTTTTCTTTCTTGGGAGCGTTTTGATTACTGATTCAATCATCTTACTTGTTATAGGTTTATTCAGATTTTCTATTTTTTCTTGAGATATAATTTATTTTTGTTTTTATAAGAGTCAGGGTCTTTCTTTGTTACCCAGGCTGGAGTGCAGTGGTGCTTTCATGGCTTACTGCAGCTTTGAACTCCTTGGACCCTCAAGCAGTCCTTCCACCTCAGCCTCCTGAGTAGCTGGGACTACAGGCACGTGCCACCATCCCTGACTAAGATTTTTATTATTTGTAGGGATAGGGTCTCATTATGTTGCCAGGCTGGTCTCAGACTCTTGGCTTCAAGTGATCCTTCCACCGCAGCCTCCCAAATTGCTAGGATTACAGGCATGAACCACTGTGCCCAGCATTGAGGGTGTGGGTCTTTCCAGGAAGTTTTCCATTTCATCTAAGTTATCCAACTTGTTGATATACCCTTCTTCATGGTATTCTGGTGGTTTTGTTGTTGTTGTTTGTTTGTTTTTGAGACAGGGTCTCACCTTTGCCCAGGCAGGAGTGTAGTGGCACTGTCTTGGTTCACTGCAGCCTCTACCTCCTAAGCTCAGGTGATTCTCCCACCTCAGCCTCCCAAGCAGCCGGGACTACAGGTGCACACCACCAGGCACAGCTAATTTTTTTTGTACTTTTAGAGACAAGGTTTCACCATGTTGGCCAGGCTGGTCTTGAACTCCTGGACTCAGGCAATCTGCCTACCTCCGCCTCCCAAAGTGCTGGGATTACAGGTGTGAACCAGCATGCCTAGCATAGTATTCTTTTGTCATCCTTTTTATTCTGTAGTATCAGTAGTAATATTTCTTCCTCACTTCTGCTTTTAGTAATTTGAATCTGCTCTCTTTTTTCTTAGTGCAGCTGTCTAAGCATTTGTCAATTTTGTTGATCTTTTCAAAGAATCAACTTTTGTTTTGTTGTTTTTCTTTTTCTTTTCTTTCTTTCTTTTTTTTTTTTTTTTTTTTTTTTTGAGTCGTAGTCTCACTCTGTTCACTTTGTTGCCCAGGTTGGAGTGCAGTGGCGCGATCCTAGCTCACTGTTTCCTGGGTTCAAGTGATTCTCCTGCCTCAGCCTCCCAAGTATCTGGGATTACAGCCGCCTGCCACTACACCCACCTAATTTTTTTGTATTTTTAGTAGAGACGGGGTTTCACCATGTTGGCCAAACTGGTCTCTAACTCCTAACCTCAAGTGATCAGCCTGCCTTGACCTCTCAAAAGTGCTGGGATTACAGCCATGAGCCACCCCGCCCAGCCTGTTGTTTTTCTTGATTGTTTTTCTATTCACTATTTTATTTTGCCTCCAACCTTTATCATTTTCTTCCTTCTGCCCTCTGTAAGTTTAGTTTGTTCTTGTCTAATTCCTTAACTTGTACAGTTATGTTATGGATTTGAGATTTTATTTTTAATGTAGGCATTTACAGCTATAAATTTCCCTCTGAGCCCTGCCTTCGCTGCATCTCGTAAGTTTTGTTATGTTTTTATTTTCATTTATCTCAAGGTAATTTCTAATTTCCGTTATGATTTCTTTGACCATTTGGGTTGACAGGATTTTTTTTCTTTCAGCACTTTACAGGTTTTATTTATTTATTTATTTATTTATTTTTATTTATATATATTTTTTGAGACAGAGTCTCGCTCTGTTGTCCAGGCTGAAGTGCAGTGATGCGATCTGAGCTCACCACAACCTCTTCCTCCCGGGTTCAAGTGATACTCCTGCCTCAGCCTCCTGAGTAGCTGGGACTACAGACATGCACTACCATGCTCGGCTAATTTATTTTTATTTTTTATTTTTTGTAGAGACAGGGTTTCACTATGTTGGCCAGGCTGGTCTCGAACTCCTGACCTCGTGATCCACTTGGCCTCCCAAAGTGCTGGGATTACAGGCGTGAGCCAGCGTGCCCAGCCTACAGGTTTTGTTACATTGCTTTTTGGCCTCCATTTTTCTTTCTCTTTTTTCTTCCCTTCCTTTCTTTTTATTTCTTTCCTTTATTTATTATTATTATTATTTTGTTATAGAGATGGTCTCACTCCATCACCCACCCAGGCTGAAGTGCAGTAATGCAGTCATGGCTCACTGCAGCCTCAAACTCCTGGGCTCAAGCGTTCCTCCTTCCTCCTCTCAAGCAGCTAGGACTACAAGTGCATGCCACCACACCAAGCTCATTTTTTTTTTTTTTTTGAGACAGTGTCTCGCTCTGTTGCCCAGGCTGGAGTGCAGTGGCGCGATCTTGGCTCACCACAACCTCCACCTCCCAGGTTCAAGCAATTCTCCTGCCTCAGCCTCCTGTGTAGCTGGGATTACAGGCATGCGCCACCAAACCCGGCTAATTTTGTATTTTTAGTACAGATGGGGTTTCTCCATGTTGGTCGGGCTCATCTCAAACTCCTGACCTCAGGTGATCCGCCTGCCTTGGCATCCCAAAGTGCTGGGATTACAGGCGTGAGCCACAGCGCTCAGCCTTTTAAAATTTTTTGTAGGGATGGGGATCTCACTATGTTGCCCAGGCAGACCTGAAACTCCTGGGTTCAAGCACTCCTCCTGCCTCAACCTACCACATTGCTGGTATTGCAGGTGTGACCCACTGTGCCCAGTCTGGCCTCCATCTTTTTTGTGACAAATTTACTCTCATTTGTGTTTTTGTTTCTCTGTATGTGTCTTTTTTTTTTCTTTATCTGTTCTATATTTTTGCCCTTAAATAATTTGATTAAATATGCATTGGTGTGTAGTTCCTTTGTATTTATCTTACTTGGAGTGTGCTGAGCTTCTTGGGTTTGTAGGTTGATAGCTTCCATCAGTTTCTCAGTAATTATATTATCAAATATTTCTTCTCCATCTTTCTTTGTCTCCCCTTCTGTGACTCCCATTACATGCATGTTAGGCCATTTTGATACTGTTCCACAAAGCTTTGGCTACCTATTTCTTTTCTTCCCATTCTTTCCTTTTCTTTATGTTTTAATTTGGATATTTTTTGTGAATCTATTGACTTGTCTTCAAGTTTACTGATGTTTTCCATTGCTGTGTCAAGTTTGCTGTTAATTACCAAGTTCCAGGAAGGAAATTTTTTTTTAAAGTTTGCTGTTTAACCTATATAATGAATTCTTTAGTTCTGACATATTATTTTCTATTTTTAGCATTTCCATTTAGTTCTTTTTTATGGTTCTATCTCTTTGCTGAAATTACCCATTTATTCCTGCATGTTGTCCACATCTTTCTGCTATTAGTATCCTCATCATAGTTTTTTTAAAGGCCCTGTCTGATAATTCCATTGTCTAGACCACCTCTGAGTCTGTTTATATTAAGTCTTTTCTCTCATCATCATGGGCCACTTTTTTGTGCCTTTTGTGTATTTTGTAATTTTTATTTTTTTAAGACAAGGTCTCACTCTCACTCAGGCTGGAGTGCAGTGGTGTGATCATAACTCAGTACAACCTTGAACTCTGAGTTCAAGCAATCTTCCCACCTCAGCCACCTGAGTAGCTGAGACTACAGGTATGCACCGCCACACCTTTCTTTCCTTTTTTTTTAAATTTTATTTCTTGTGGAGACAGGTCTCCTTATGTTGCCCAGGCTGATCTCAAACTCCTGCCCTCAAGCAATCCGCCTGCCTCAGCCTCCCTGTAGTTTTTAAATTATATGCCAGATCTTCTGTCTGAAAGAACAGTAAAGATTGGAATAAATTATATTTATCTTCAGAAAGTGACATGCCCTTTCTTCTTTTTTAGGTTGCTAGAGTAAGAGTTGAGTCAGTCTAATTCGTAGGTGATTTGTATTTGGGCTTTGTTGTAGCTTTAGTTTGATTGAGTTTTACCTCTGGCTTCAAATGTTTTGGGACAGTACTTTTCCTTTACTAGGGCCCCCTATTTGGACACTGAGATTTTCTAGAGATTTGCAGCTGTGCTTCACAGCTGCGTTCCTACCTCTCAGAACTGTGGGAGATCTCTCCATGTTTTATAGTCCAGTTGGTAGGTCATTGGCCACGAGGGAGTTCTCTTTGCTCTCTGATCCCACTTTATGCTTTCTGCACCCTGGAAGACCTCTTTCAGCCTTGCATCTCCTCCCCTGGCCTTTGGAGGGCAGGTACTCTATAGGGTGTAAATATTTGGCATGCCCCTGAGGTGTTTCTTTCAGATCTCCTGTTTGCATCACAAACTTTAGTAGTCCAAAGCTCAGATTGCCTAAAGGGGATTTTCTCAGCTCTCCTCTGCCTCCAGCTGTTGGTGACTGACCCTGATCCCTCCCTGAAGATTATGCGAAAGAGTTAAGGAGTAGGTTAAATTCCGTCTATGGCTGGGTTTCCTTTTTTTTGTTGTTATTATTATACTTTAAGTTCTAGGGTACGTGTGCACAACGTGCAGGTTTGTTACATATGTATACATGTGCCATGTTGGTATGCTGCACCCATTAACACATCATTTACATTAGGTATATCTCCTAAGGCTATCCCCGACCCCATGACAGGCCCCGGTGTGTGATATTCCCCTTCCTGTGTCCAAGTGTTCTCATTGTTCAGTTCCCACCTATGAGTGAGAACATGCGGTGTTTGGTTTTTTGTCCCTGTGATAGTTTGCTGAGAAGGATGGTTTCCAGCTTCATCCATGTCCCTACAAAGGACATGAACTCATCCTTTTTTATGGCTGCATAGTATTCCATGGTGTGTATGTGCCACATTTTCTTAATTCAGTCTATCATTGATGGACATTTGGGTTGATTCCAAGTCTTTGAGGCTGGGTTTCTAAAGATGCTAATTTGGGGCCAGGCGCCATGGCTCAAGCCTTGTATTACGCCTTTTTCACACTGCTGATAATGACATACCAAAGACTGGGCAATTTACAAGAGAAAGAGGTTTATTGGACTTACAGTTCCATGTGGCTGGGGAGGCCTCACAATTATGGCAGAAAGTGAAAAGCAAGTCTCACATGGCAACAGATAAGAGAAGAGAGCTTGTGGAGGGAAGCTCCCCTTTTGAAAACCATCATATCAGCGGGTGCAGTGGCTCACGCCTGTAATCCCAGCACTTTGGGAGGCCGAGGTGGGCAGATCACTTGAGGTCAGGAGTTCAAGACCAGCCTGGCCAACATGGTGAAACCCTGTCTCTACTAAGAATACAAAAATTAGCCAGGCGTGGTGGCAGGCGCCTGTAATCCCAGCTACGCAGGAGGCTGAGGCAGGAGATTCACTCGAACCCGGGAGGCGGAGGTTGCCTTGAGCAGAGATCACGCCACTGCACTCCAGCCTGGGCAACAAGAGTGAGACTCTGTCTCAAAAAAAAAAAAAAAAAAAAAAAAAAAGAAGAGAAAACCATGAGATCTCATGACACTTAATCACTATCATGAGGTCAGGGAAAGACCTGTCCTCATGATTCAATTACCTCCCATTGGGTCCCTCCCACAGCACATGGGAATTCAAGATGAAATTTGGGTAGGGACACAGCCAAACCATATCGCGCCTGTAATCCCAGCACTTTGGGAGGCCAGGATAGGAGGATAACTTGACCCCAAGAGTTCAAGACCAGCTTGGGCAATATGGTGAAACCCCATCTCTACAAAAATACAAAAATTAGCCAGGCATGGTGGCACGCACCTGTAGTCACAGCTACTCAGAGGTCTGAGGCAGGAGGACTGCTTGAGCCCGGGAGGTGGAGGTTGCAGTGAGCTGAGATCATGTTCATGCCACTGCACTCCAGCCTGGGTGACAGAGGGAAACCATGTCTCAAAAAATAAATTAAAAAAAATCTAATTTGCCATGCCAATATAAATGTAGCTGTTAAAAATTTGGGTAGTTTCTTCTTACAAGCCCTGTATGTGCTGGATTCTTCCTCTTGCTGTTACACAAGGGATGAAAGCAGCTATGGGTCTCTTCTTTCCCATTGAGAGCTCATCACTTTCTGGAATTGGTTTATTTAGGTCTCTTTGTTCCCTCAGCTCTTTATTCTTTTTAAACTGTGATTTTGTGTTTGGGTTGTTAAGGTGAGAGGATCTTTTTCAGCTTTCTATGAACAAACTGGAAACAGAATTCCTAAAGTGTGTCATTTCGTATTTGTTTTTCAGACTAATATATTTTGGTGGTTATGGGTGTAGGAGACACAGTGAACTCCAAGACTGTTTTGATGTTCATGATGCATCTTGGGTAAGATAGTAATCACTGTTTACATTTTCCTCCAAGTCAGTATAGCCTTAACATCTTAGAAATAATGAGTCTAGTCTTTCTCATTTTTGGAGCTACCAATTTGTCGTAATTGACGCTATGAAAAAAATGTGTTTTCTCTCTTTAACATTTGGATCCATTTGGCAAAAGGTATCTCTCTAGTGGTATTAGCCTTCATGGCTATTGGCAGAGTAATTTCTTTTCTTATATCGTTAATCACAGATACCTGCTTCTGTTAGACAGGTAGAGGCTTTAGCACAACTTGGAAAAATTATGTTCATATTTAACCGCAAAAGCTATTGTTGACATACACCTCTTTTTAGATATGTCCACTAGAATTATTCATAGGTCAGACTGGCCTCTAGATAAGAGTCAGTTGGTAGTGATACTAATTTTTCTACTTATTCTTACTGATTAGACAATAAATCATTATTAATGAAAGAAGTCATGAATTACAAAAATGAAATTTTTAAACAGATAATTTAAAAAACCATTGATCCTACCACCAAGATGCAGTCTTATTAGTTTTACCTTCTACTAGCGTATATTATTCTACATTAGTGTAAATACATATATATGTGTATATATATATATACACACACACACATTTCATGTATATTGCTTTGTATATGGGTATTATTGAAAATTCCCCATGTTTCTATGTTGTTTTTGAGTTTTAAAAATGACATATCATTAAAGCTTTGCTACTTAAAGTATTGCTGAGAATTTTCAGGAATATAACTTCTATTTATATCTAGTTATTTTTATTCATCAGTGAAATAACTCAATTTTTTTCTCCTACAATACAGTTACTAAGCTAATTATCATGTCCTGAAGTTTCTGGAACACAAATGGTATTTTTTTTTTTTTTTCATTTAGACTCTAAATGAGCTGGGTGTGGTGGCACATTTCTATAATCCCAGCTACTAGGGAGGCTGAGGCAGAAGGATCACTTGTACCAAGGAGTTTGAGACCAGCCTGGGTAACATGGCGAGACCCTGTTTCAATTTAAATAAAATTTAAAAATAGATTCTAAACTAAGTAAATTGTTTAGCTTATTTTACTTGCTTGACAAGGCCTGACAAAAATAAATGATGTCTTTCTGACACACAATATAAAACTGGCACAGAGATCATCTAGAGTAGTGATAGAGGATTTCAGCACCCTGGGAGATGCTAAATATGGTATAGCTGCTAAGTCTTTTCTTTGCTGACAAAGAATTTTATATCTTAGGAGATAAAGAAGAGAGTGGTCATAAGTTTAATCTGTAAGAACAAATTGCTTGGTGAAGTAGAAGTGATTGGAAGTTTTTGGGAACAGGAACCATGACCCACCCCCTAAAGTTTATTACAGCAAAAATGAGGAGTTCTGAGCATGTACTTTAGGGAAACAGATTTTAAAATGTAAACATCATTCCACCCTCTGCAATTTTAAAAAAGATAATCCTTAGAGAAAATTGAAAGATTGTCAACAAGTAAAATTATGATTCACTGCAAACAATACTATGAGAAGAAAAGTTGCCAGGTGGTGCTGCTACTGGTCTGGGGACCACGCTTTGGGAGGTACCCGTGTATCCGTTGGCTTTGTGACTATGGTAACACTTAACTCTATTTTTGTAAGGTGTCTGTTATTTTACCAGTAAATATGTGATAAAACTGTAATAATAATGTAAAAATTATTAAAGCTTTGAGATATTTAAAACATTTCTCTTTTAGGAAGAGCAGATATTCTGGGGATGGCATAATGATGTCCACATATTTGACACAAAGACACAGACTTGGTTTCAACCAGAAATTAAAGTAAGTGTGGTAAAAAGTCATCTTTATATATTTGTATTTAAAAATAAATTTTTTACTGTGGATTTTGGGTTTTTTTTTGTTTTGTTTTGTGTTTTTGAGACAAAGTCTTGCTCTGTTGCCCAGGCTGGAGTACAGTGGCACAATCTCAGCTCACTGCAACCTCCGCCTCCCGGGTTCAGGTGGTTCTCCTGCCTCAGCCTCCTGACTAGCTGGGACTACAGGCGTGGACCACCATGCCTGGCTAATTTTTGTATTTTTAGTAGAGACGGAATTTTGCCATGTTGGCCACGCTGGTCTGGAACTCCTGACCTCAAGTTATCTACCCACCTTAGCCTTGCAAAGTGCCCGGATTACAGGCATTATAGGTCACCACACCTGGCCTGTTATTTGGATTTTTGTAATTAGGTTTGTAATCACATACCAAGTAGTTCTCTTGAGTACTTTCATTAATAGCATTAAGAAAAACATCAGAACCGTAGATGGCACTTGTAGTCCCAACTACTCAGGAGGCTGAGGCAGGAGGATCACTTGAGTCCAGGAGTTTGAGGCTGTAGTGTGCTACAATCACATCTGTGAATAGCCACTGCACTCCACTGCATTCTAGCCTGGGCAACATAGTGAAACCCTGTCTCTCAAAATAAACAAATAAAACAAAAAAATGCATATTCTTCTCCATGTCAGCTAAGGTTTTCTAGAAAAAAGTCTTTTAATGAGGTGCCATCGTCATTCTTTACCCACAAGTGTCATGCCCTGATTTAATAAAGGTCTATTTTTAAAAATCCTTTTATAACAAAGCCCATGTTTTATATACCCTTGAATTCAGAGGTACATGCAATTATGGCATGACAAAAAATACATTATCAGTATTCTTTCATTTGTTAGTGACCAAACACAAATTCAAATTAGTTTAAGCAATAATGAATTCTCACATAGCTGGAAATCATATTGGAATGGCACACAAAGTAGAAGGAAGAGCCACAGGGACCATAGCCTCAGGAACCGGAGCAGGTTACTCAGCATCCTCACAATACTTTCTGTCTTTCTGTCTGCTTTTCTCTGCTTCTCTTTGTGTGCTTGTTTCATTCCGTCTATGGCAGACACACTGGCTCATTTAGGAGGGAATATGGTCCTGGTTACACACACAGTTATTTGTATTGTACTCTCTCAACGTCTATATATTAGTCTTAGAAAAGGGCTGGGCTTGCTGGCTCATGCCTGTAATCCTAGCACTTTGGGAGGCCGAGGCAGGCAGATTGCCTGAGCTCAGAAGTTCGAGACCAACCTGGGCAACATGGTGAAACCCTGTCTCTACTAAAAATACAAAGGAAATTAGCTGGGCGTGGCGGCATGCGCCTGTAGTCCCAGCTACTCGGGAGGCTGAGGCAGGAGAATTGCTTGAACCTGGGAGGCGGAGGTTGCAGTGAGCGGAGATTGCTCCACTGCACCACTCCAGCCTGGGCAACAGAATGAGACTCCGTCTGTACCAAAAAAAAAAAAGAAAGAAAGAAAAGGACTCTGCCTCTACTTGGGCATGTTCCTACCCTTTACAGCAATTCCTGATGCCAAAGGGATGATTGGCCAGTCTTGAGTCACATGTTCATTGCTAGGAACAGGAGGCTATTGTGACTGATAAGCTTACCAGAATTGAACAGAGTGGAATGCTAAGCAGGTCGTATATGCACAGTTACATACATGTCTACTAATACACATATATGACCAGAATTCCTTACAGTCCAACTTCTGTTCATGGAAATGATGGGAAGGTCTATACAAAATCGTAAGTATTAGAGTTTGGCCATTCTCTGGATTCTCTTTTTCCAGGCAATAAATTTCAGATTTCCAGTACTCTTCTATTCTCTTCTATATAGTAGAAGAATTCTTCCAAAATTTCAGATCAAGCCTGGGGTAATAATAAAAATTTTGTTTTGCTGGAAGGGCTGGGAACCAAAATTCTTAAGTGGTTCTCATTTAAGTGTTATATAGGTAATATCTGAATTATGTCTTACCAAGTTGACCTCAGCACAGTTATTCAAATAAGCCTGAAAAGTTTAGGAAGTTATGATATTGGATGCAGAGCTTTAATTTCCTATACCCACTTTGAGTAGCCAGTGAGCTGAAAATGTCAGGTTCTTTCAGAACTTGGAATTAAAATACATACATAAAGGCACCCACCATGAAAATATGGAAATTATGCAGAAGATTTTTCCCTCAAACCTTATTCATTCATCTACCCATGATACTCACTTTTTCCACCAATTAAAAACCTCCCTAGGGTGGCGTAATGGCTCACGCCTGTAATCTCAGCACTTTGGGAGGTTGAGGCAGGCAGATCGCTCGAGGCCAGGAGGTTTGAGACCAGCCTGGACAGCAGAGCGAAACCTCATCTCTACTAAAAATACAAAAATTAGCCGGGCCTGGTGTTGCACACCTGTAATCCCAGCTACTGGGGAGGTTGAGGCAGGAGAATCGCATAAACCCGGGAGGTGGAGGTGGCAGTGAGCCGAGATTGTGCCATTGCACTCAAGCCTTGGCAACAGAGCAAGACTCTGCCTTGAAACAAAAAACAAAACTTCTCTAAAGAAAAGGTCTGCTATATTTATTCAAAATAAAGTGTAGAGAAGTGTTATCAATTAATGTTAAGAGTTTTAGTAAGAGAGAGAGCACTGTCTGGCTTAAGCCAAGAGTGAACTTCTTATTGTAAATTTGAGGCACCAAGAGTTTTGGGGCCATTTTTAATTTTACAGAGTTTCTGAGATAATCGCAATATGCACTGCTCACTTCTAATGGGAACTCTGTGTGTGTGAAAGAGAAACAGAGGAGAGAGGGAGAGAGAGAACATTTTAAAATTTGATTTTAAAATCTTTATACAGTATTTCAAACAAAAATTTACATGAAACCTTATTTTGCTAAATAGTGTCAGACATATAAGAAAAACATTTTCAAAAGTAAAGATCAGGGAGAATAAAATGTATTCTGACAAATAGTATTTGTCTACAATTAGTACTATTTAGAATAAACTTTTGCATTAGCGTTTTTAATTGAATTACATAGGTAATGATAACTTAGTGATTAAGACTTTCACATACTGAGCATAGGAATGTAACTTTATTACAGATATTTCAAGTCTTTGCAGTCTGTTCTGATTTCTACTTGCAGGGTGGAGTTCCACCACAGCCACGAGCCGCGCATACATGTGCAGTTCTTGGAAATAAGGGTTATATCTTTGGCGGACGTGTTCTGGTTAGTGTTTTTAATGGAAATGGTATTTTTATGTGCAATGCTCCTTATAAAAATTTATCCTCTGATTTCGTGGAATAATTGAACATTCATGTAATCTAGAGATTAAAATGGCATTCAATACTAATTTTATTTATCTTCTAATTCATAAACAGACCATACATGAACAATCATAGATGATTATAAATCATATTTTAATGAGGAGAATCTTTCAGTGCAGTATCAGAAAAAATTAATTTCTTGTCATCTAAAGCCTGTGAATTTAAACCTATTTCTTCCTATTTTTTCCTTTCCCCTTTGACACATTGATTTGGGAGCTCTGTGTCAGTCTTATTAATGCTTAGCATTGTTTTCCAATAGTTAAACATCTTATGTGAAGTAAAATAGAGATAGTCTATTTTTAATCTGAACTTACTTTAAAAGAAAAATTTTAGCTGATAAAAGATGTGAAATACTGACCAATGTAACACACTTTTCTTTTAGCAAACTAGGATGAATGATTTGCACTATCTAAACCTAGACACCTGGACTTGGTCTGGAAGGTAAGTTTGAAGTCTAAGTACGTTTTAATCTATAGGCATGTGTATGTGTCTGTATGTCACCATAATCCAAATGTGAGTCTTTAAAACTGGACTGGTATTTTTTTCCTTCAGATCGTATGTCTAAGCAAGGACTATATAGATTTAAATAGAGTTTGTTCCTTAACCAGACAAGATAAAACATGAAAATACTAACAGTTGAAATTAGATTATATAAAAGTACTGGTTTTATACTAAGTAGTTTTTGAGGATTGATCAGTAGAAGAAATGAAGAAGTGGTTGAATGGGGTCATCTCAGGTGAACAGGTAATGGAGTAAAGTCGGATTTTATTTGTAGCTCATAATATGTATTTAACAATAGAACAAATATATTTAGCTATCAACTTAGCAATTTGTATAATGAGATGGAATCAGAGCTATATATTATTCCAAAGTATAAGTACCATTAAATACCATAAAACCATGAAAGTCTCAGAAGAAAATATAGCAGATTATCTTTAAAATGTTGGCATGGAGAAAGCTTTGTAAAGATGATATGAACTCAAAATTCATAAATGAAAAGACTGATCGATAAGACTACTTAAAAATTAAATATTTCTCTGTAGAAAAATGTACCACAAAAAATTAAATGGCAAATTGTAAAATGCAAACAAAAAACTGGAAACAATATTTGCAGGTTTTTTTTTTTTTTTTTTTGAGACAGAGTCTTGCTCTGTCACCAGGCTGGAGTGCAGTAGCATGGTCTCAGCTCACTGCAACCTCGCCTCCCAGGTTCAAGCAATTCTCCTGCCTCAGCCTCCGGAGTAGCTGGGACTACAGGCGCGCACCACCACGCCCAGCTAATTTTTGTATTTTTAGTAGAGACGAGATTTCACCATGTTGGCCAGGATGGTCTCGATCTCTTGACCTTGTGATCCGCCCACCTTGGCCTCCCAAAGTGCTGGGATTACAGGCATGAGCCACCGTGCCCAGCTGACATTTGCAATATTTTTAAAAGAGAGATGTCAGGGCAAAGATCCACAAGAACTCAGTAAATCAGTTTTAAAAAGGCAAATAATCCAATAGAAAAGTGGACAAAGAACATGCATAAACAACTCACAGAAGAAATAATAGGTAAAAATTATTTTTAAAAGATGTTCAACCTAGGCTGGGTGCAGTGGCTCACACCTGTAATCCCAGCACTTTGGGAAACCGAGGCAGGTGGATCACCTGAGGTCAGGAGTTTGAGACCAGCCTGGCCAACATGGTGAAACCCCAGCTCTACTAAAAATACAAAAAAAGCAAGGAGTGGTGGTGGACGCCTATAATCCCAGCTACTCGGGAGCCTGAGGCAGGAGAATCGCTTGAACCCGGGAGGTGGAGGTTGCATTGAGCCAAGATCGTGCCACTGCACTCCAGCCTGGGCAATAAGAGTGAAACTCTGTCTCAAAAACTAATAATAAAAATAAAACCAGGCAGGTGCAGTGGTACACGCCTGTAATCCCAGTACTTTGGGAGGCTGAGGCTGGTGGATCACCTGAGGTCAGGAGTTCTTAACCAGCCTGACTAACATGGTGAAACCCCGTCTCTACTAAATACAAAACAATTAGCCGGGTGTATTGGCGCATGCTTGTAAACAGAGCTACTTGGGAGGCTGAGACAGGAGAATTGCTTGTACCTGGGAGGCGGAGGTTGCAGTGAGCTGAGATCACGCCATTGCACTCCAGCTTGGGAAACGAGCAAAACGCCGCCTCAAAAAATAAAAAAAAGTTTCTTATAAACAACACAAACAGTAAAAATATTTCCGTTTTGTAAAAAACAAATTGTATCTTCCAAAAATGTCCTGTGTTATTCTGGAACATTCCAGACTGTGGAAGAATGGTATCTTCTCACCTCCTAAATTAAATTCTTTTGCTTCTAACTTATGCTTTTTTATTTTATTTTATTTATTTATTTTTTTTGGAGACGGAGTTTCGCTCTTGTTGCCCAGGCTGGAATGCAATGGCGCGACCTCGGCTCACTACAACCTCCACCTCCCAGGTTCAAGTGATTCTCCTGCCTCAACCTCCCTAGTAGCTGGGATTACAGGCACATGCTACCAGGCCCAGCTATAACTTATGTTTTTATTTTTCATGCCCCGTCTCTTTTAAGTGTCCCTTTTATTATTATGATTATTCTTGTTGTTCTGTTTTCTTTTGTTTTAAGAGACAATGTCTCTATTTTGCCCAGGATGGTCCGTCCAACTCCTGGGCTTGAGCAATCCTCCTGCCTTGGCGTCCCAAAGTGCTGGGATTACAGAAGTGAGCCACTGTGCCTGGCATTGTTTTTATTTTTATTTTTTTGAGAAATCCTTAGAGGTTTACCCTGTATCTGGAATGGCTTTCATGCTTTTATTTTGAAGTTAGAATAGCTAGCATTTTCAGAGGAAGATAATGTTTTGGGAAATTCTAGAAGTAGATCAAAGTAAAAAACAACAATATAAAAACCCATAATATCCTTGGGGAAATCAGCTAAAAACACAAAATTAACCATGAAACAACAGTAAAAAGTTACAGACATGAAAAAAATTGTGTTGAAAAACTAAGGAAGCAGCTGATTAGCCAATAAGAATGATGCTGAGTATGCATTGTGCATTAACGGAGAATTGACTTTTTTTTTTTTTCTTGGAGAAGCAGTCTCTCTCTGTCACCCAGGCTGGAGTGCAGTGGTGCAATCTTGGCTCACTGCAACCTCCACCTCCCAGGTTCAAGCAATTCTCCTGCCTCAGCCTCCCGAGTAGCTGGGACTACAGGCGCATGCCACCAGGCCCAGCTAATTTTTTGTATTTTAGTAGAGATGGGGTTTCACCATGCTGCCCAGTCTGGTCTCGAACTCCTGAGTTCAGGCAATCCACCCGCCTTGACCTCCCAAAGTGTTGGAATTACAGGCATGAGCCACCGCGTCGGCTGAGAATTGACTTTTATTTTCACTGTGTAGCCAGGTGGAATGGTCATTAAATGGAAAGATTTTTTAAATTCATCTAAGAATTTAATAATGTTTTTCAAATATTCATGTAGGTGGGACTAGTAAAAGTTTTTTGGAGCAGTGAGGGCAGATTTTTTTTTTAAGATCTAAGATGATTAAAAACCTTTTATTTTGATTAATATAGTACCTAGACTTTCTTTTTCTCCTTGCCACAGGATTACTATTAATGGAGAAAGCCCAAAACATCGGTCATGGCATACTTTAACACCTATAGCTGATGATAAACTTTTCCTATGTGGTGGACTAAGTGCAGATAATATCCCATTAAGTAAGTTGATTAAGGTTTAGCCTATAATTATTATCTCATTCTTTTTTCTTAATTGTATTTCATACTTACAGTGAAGTAAATCTTCCTTTTTTCCTGTTTTTCTGGTTTGCCTTTATCCTCAATTATTTTCTTGCATGAATTATGATCTCCTTGCTTTTGTACCCTTGGCTCTCCACGTTCCCCTGTTTTCTAGGGAAAGAGAAGAGGAAGGGTGATTGAAGCTAGATGAAACAAAGCCCCTTTATACTACTATATTCTGTGATTCTGTGTCCGCTGATTTTTGATCCAGATGCTTGTACTGTAGGGTAGGATGCTTGCACTGTTCGCTTTTGCTGTACTCCAGGCTAGGGGATTGGAAGAGCAGCCTTTCTTAGAAGGCCCTGGAAATACAAAGTGGGAAGCCCAGTTGCTTCTCTTTTTGTTCCAGAGCTGTAGAGGAAAGTGTTTAGCTAGGTTTTTTAAACTCCAGTCATTGCTGATCCCAGTGGCTATGGGTTTTGGAATGCAGTTTTTCTTTCAGCAGTAGAACTGTGGCATCAAGATAGACAGATGACCACGAATATTGACTTCTTAATTTGGCATGTTAGATGTTTTATGTTTTCTATTTTCTTTTCTTTTTTTTTTTTTTTGAGATGGAGTCTTGCTCTGTGGCCTGGGCTGGAGTGGGATGGTGCAATCTCGGCTCACTGCAACCTCCACCTCCCGGGTTCAAGCGATTCTCCTTCCTCAGGCACCTGAGTAGCTGGGATTACAGGTGCCCACCACCACGCTCAGCTAATTTTTGTATGTAGAGGTGGGGTTTCACCATGTTGGCCAGGCTGGTCTCGAATTCCTGACCTCGTGATCCACCCGCCTCAGCCTCCCAAAGTGCTGGGACTACAGGCGTCAGCCACCGCACCTGGCCATTTTCTGTTTTCTTAACCCAGAAGTTTTCTCTGGCTAGAGATGTTTTCATTAAGAAACATTATACACTATTACAACATTTATATAATTATATATTAGGGTCTGGAAACAACTGTTTTTCAACAAAAGTTTATTGAGCATCAGCTGTGTGTCTGGCAGTCAGACAAATTCCAGAGGTTAGTTGGAGAAACAACAGTTCCTAGTAGGAGATGTTAGTTATTCTTGCACATTATTATACTTCTCCAATTTGTGAGATTTTTATTTAAAAGAGATTTGGAATCTAACCAAAAACTAACATCTGTACATTTCACTAGGGGCTGTTTAATATCATATCTTCATGATCTCTAGTGTTTTTAGTTCCTGTTTTCTGTTTTTGGTCATTGACCTATGGGAAATTAAATGTCCTAACTCATAAGCTAGTCAATTTCCTCCCTTAAAGATTCTGTTTCAGTCTAAGATTTGGTCATATGGATATTAGATGATCCCAAGACTTTTTTTTTAGTTTGGTTGACTGTGATAATGGCATTGTGGTTATGTAAAAAATGTCCTTTTATTTTCAGTAATGCATACTGAAGTATGTATGGAGAAAATGATGTGAGATCTAGGATTTCATTTAGAAAAATTAAGCAATAATAACAAAAAGATAAGTGGAGCACATGTAGCAAAGTCTTGATAGTTGTTGAATCTGCGATATATGGAAGTTCATTGTCATGGTCACTCTATTTTTGTAAATGTTTGAAAATTTGTATGATAAAATAGGTGCACTCAGAAAAGATAGTCATTTAAATGTAGCATGATAAATTGGGGGGAAAATTAAAATTGTATCCCAGAGACCTAATCTTAATTTCTGAACTGTCATGATATTGCAGGTGATGGTTGGATTCATAATGTCACAACAAATTGTTGGAAACAACTTACACATTTACCTAAAACAAGACCTAGGTAAGTCAAGAAATTGACAAATAGTAAAATAGTTAAGAATTTTTAAAGTATTAAAATATAGTACTGAATTTATAGTGTTTGCCATTGAAACCATAAGCCATTGAGAAGGATATCTTTCAAATGAGCTTGATGTTACCTAAATAATTTAATTATTATTTTAATTATATCTGATTGTTAGAAATGATCTATCCAGTTTTCACCCATACTTGCATATTTGAAAATGTTATTCTTTTAGGTAAATGCATAATCTTGCCTGATAACTGTGAAGATTAAGATAATTAAAAGCATCATATGAGATTAATGTTTTTAATGTTAATAATTTTAATAAGCAGACAAAAATGGGGTTGGCTTTAATAGTAGTTATTTGTTTTTGGAAGAGGTTTAAAGCAAGTTAATCAGGAAATTTGCTTCCATGTTGATCCAATGGATGGCAGGTTATTATTAATCTCTGTTAACTGCATGATGTATTCATTGATGGGAATTTTTTGAAAAAGAAAATACGTTATTTATGGTATATTATAGAATTAAAAATTTTAGAAATTATATACTATTATTAAACTACAAAGAAAACCACATTTGTACTATAATTCTTGTTTTTTTCTAATTTTATTGAATAGTGTAATAATATCTTCATAGGAAATTCAGATTCAGCACATTATGATCATTATAATTGGTAATTCTTTTTTACGCTATGTATTTTAGAATTTTAAAAATACAGATTATTTATGCTAGTGTGTAATCAATTTAATGATATATATTTTGTTATTTAATAAATGACAGCTTACTTGAGAAAAAGGCCTGAAAATATTTATATTTATTTTGGTATATGTATCTATATTAATATTCACAGTACGTTTAGAATTCATAATTGCATTTGTGATTCTTTTGTCTTCATGTATAAAAATTCATTGGAATGTATTACTTTAACATTTCTGGCTCTTTTGAAATTTTTTTTTTTTAATGTAAAGAGTTTTGTACTGAGACATGGGAGCCAAGAGTTCTAGTCCTTGCTCAGCTACTACCTACTTTTTTGGCTTTGAAAAGTCACTTAAGGAAACTGAGCATTGGCCAGGTGTGGTGGCTCACGCCTATTAATCCCAGCAATTTGGGAGGCCAAGGCAGGAGGATCACTTGAGTCCAGGAGTTTGAGAGCAGCCTGGGCAACATAGTGAGACCCCATTGCTACAGTTTTGGTTTTTTTTTAATGGCCGGGTGTGGTGGTGCACACCTGTAGTCCCAGCTACTCAGGAGGCTGAGGTGGGAGGATCACTTGATCCCAGGAGGTTGAGGCTGCAGTGAGCTGAGATTGTGCCACTGCACTCCAGCCTGGGCAGCAGAGCCAGACCCTGTCTCAAAAAAAGAAAGAAAGAAACTGAGCATCGATTTTTTCATCGGTGAAATAAGAGAGTTGGACTAGATAATCTCTTAGTTTATTCCAGTTGTTTGATTGTATGAATGCATTATAGACCAAAGTATTAGTAAAAATGTTTAATTTTAAAATTGCTCCTATTTTATATTTCAACCCTTAATGAGTAGAGCAACACAACTATTATCTATAATATACTGTTAGTTAGAACTAGAGCTATGTAAAGAGATTTCTTTTAATTCAGCTGATGTGTCATGTAAATAATATGCTTTATTAGAATGTTTAGGTGATAAGTTTAGAGCAGCTGTGAAAGGACATAAACTATCAGTCTGTAGAAAAAACATCAGGTTGCAAGCTAGATGTCACCAAAATCAAGGCAGGAAAGGCTTTCCAGTGTTCTTCGATGATGAAATGGCCAGAGTTTCCCTAAGGCAGATAAGACAGAGGCAGATCTACAGGTATGAGGTGAGGAGAAGAACAGGTGGGATACAGTTGAGTGTAAGGAGAACATATATATGTGTCTATATATATACTAATTTTTATAAAAGTGACAATTTAGCTAAGATCTATAAGCATTTTGTACAAATTTTTCAAGTTGTAATTTGAAATGTAAGCTGCCCAATTCTCCTCTTAGAACTCTACAGCTAGGTTTCTCAACCTTGGCATTACTGACATTTTGGACCACATAATTCTTTGTCATGAGGGTGTCCTGTGCATTGTAGTATGTTTAGCAGCATCCCTGTCCTTTACCCAGTAGATGCCAGTTGTACTACCTTTTCTCTCCCCAACTTATGACAACTAAAAATATCTCCATATACTGTGAAATGCCTCTTTAGGGGACAAATTGCCCCTGGTTGAGAACGACTGTTCTACAGTGTAGCACTCCTATTCTCTGAGTCTCACCTTAGATAAACCTATGGCTGAAAAGCCATATATGTAGCCAGATCTGATAGCCTATATAGTTGGCTATCAGCAAGGACCCTTTTTTATGTGTCTGAAAAAGATGTTAGAGAAAATATTAGTGTATAGAGCCCCAAGTACTGTTGGATCTCGTGAGTATCGCCAAGGTTACACATAGCCTTCTCTCCAGGAAATTAATCTGTTCCTTCCCATGTATGAGGGCATTTTTTGTATTCTCTCTCCTTTACCTAACCCTCTTCCAGTTCCCATCCTTGACCCCACCACGTAATCTGGGTTCTTGTTGAAGATTTATATCAATGTATCTTCTATAAGAGTTGGAGAACTGGGCAGAGTATTTCCCAAACAACATCTCTAATGACTTAGTTCCATTTTGGGCCACAAGTGCATTTGTCATTGAATGTGTACACGATTGTTTGAGGAAAGTATTTGGTTTAACGAATTGTGCATAATTCCACTGTTTGCACTTGTGAAATTTAAGTAAAAGGGATTAATGTACTAAAAATTAGTTATGTGTCCCAGTTCCTGGGAAGTAGAAAAAATAAAATAAGTTGTGTGGTAATAAAATAAGTTATGATTTATAATTGTTTTAGGTATCTGTTGCTTCAACAGTTGGTATATTAAGAAAAGTAATCAAGGCCAGGTGTGGTGGCTCACACCTGTAATCCCAGCACTTTGGGAGGCCAAGGTGAGAGGATTGCTTAAGCCCAGGAGTTCAAGACCAGCCTGGATAATACAGTGAAACCCCATCTCTGAAAAAAAAAAAAAAATTAGCTGGGTGTGGTGGCGTGTGCCTGTAGTTCTAGCTACTCAGGAGGCTGAGGTGGGAGGATCACTTGAGCCTGGGAGACAGAGGATGGAGGAACCAGAGATTGTGCCACTGCACTCCAGCCTGGGTGACAGAGCCAGATCCTGTCTCAAAAAAAAAAAAAAAAAAAAAACAAGGAATCAAAGTACTCTAAAAGTCAAAGCAATGACTATGTAAAAATCCCTAATTTACCCTCTAAAATTGGGAAATTTTTTTGAGAGTTCTCTTACTCTGGAAATATTCAACTTTGTTAAACCATAAAATTAGTATTTGGGTTTTTTTGTTTGTTTTTTGAGATGGAGTCTCGCTCTGTCATCAGGCTGGAGTGCAGTGGCATGATCTCGGCTCACTGCAACCTCCGCCTCCTGGGTTCAAGCGATCCTCCTGCCTCAGCCTCCTGAGTAGCTGGGACTACAGGCGAAAATTATTATTTGTTAATAATGTGATATTGGAAATAGACATGAACTATCAGACCACTTCCAAAAGAATATTAGATGCTCTACTCCTTTATGAAATAATTTGTATATCTAATGACTGAATATATTATGTTGTTTTTTTCATGTTCTCTTTTGTTTGGTTGGTTTTTTTGTTTTTTTTTTTTTTGAGTCAGAGTGTAGCTCTGTCACCCAGGCTGGGGTGCAGTGGTGTGATGTCGGCTCACTGCATCACTGCAACCTCCACCTCCTGGGTTTAAGCAGTTCTCCTGCCTCAGCCTTCTAAGTAGCTGGGATTACAGGCATGCGCCAACAAGCTCGGCTAATTTTTTTTTTATTTTTAGTAGAGATGGGGTTTCACCATGTTGGCCAAGCTAGTCTTGAACTCCTGACCTTGTGATCTGCCCACCTCAGCCTCCCAAAGTGATGGGATTACAGGCTTGAGCCACCGTGCCCAGCCTCATGTTTGCTTTTGTTAATCACAAGTTTTTGAGCAGCTACTGGGTACAGAACACCACATGAGGCATTTTTAAGAAGCCATAAAATTAGATTCCCCAGGTTCCCATGGTGTGCTGTTAATGGCCAACAAGCACTCTCCAGAGTGGGAGGATGCCCTAATTTGTAGCATTTGCCGATTTCCAAGGTGTAAATACTCCTACCATGGCCAATTTCAAGCTTCCAACGTGATGTCACTGCACGTGGAGTTGGATGCAGATATGTACAATCAGCTTCTGCTAGCCAGTAAGCCAGTTTGAGCACACCACTGTGACAATTTCTTAACTTAAGGACCTCATAATCTTAGTTAGCTAGTCAAACAGCTAAAGTAGCATGCAGAGCAGTTCTTCTTCAAATGTAAGTGAGGCAAGTATAAAATGAGCACATAAACATTAAAGGGTGCTGAATAGAGATGGTAACAGAACCAGTTTTGGGTGGGTATTTGGAATACTTCCTGGGTGTTTGGAGCCTGTTTTTAAGGCCCAGTAAGAATGGCTTATTACTCTAAGCATAAGAAACAGAGTGAACAAAAGCCTAGAGATAGATGATAAGCTTTTCTCATAGGGGAAGCAAGGGAATGAATTTAGCTAAGTAGAGGGCTCATTTGGGAAAAGCCAAGAATTAAGATTTGTGGGAAAAAGAAACTGGTTGATCACAAATATTAGGCTAGGAAAACAGCCATTGGTAGTGCAGATGCTTCATCATCAGGAAATTTCCATGGTTAGAGGCAATATTTGAAAAATATTTGTTATTAGCCATATGTAGCTGAGGGAGATGAGAGACTGAAAAACTAGGAACATATTATGGTGTTCTGTACTCAGAGTGATGAGTAGTGTGACAATGGAAATGTGAAGGAGTGCCAAATTGGATTTGTTGGGTGATGGGGAACATAGAGTAGGAAAAAAGGCAAAAATTATAAGAACAGTAACATCGCAGATAGTAATAAGAAAACTGGGGAAAGTGCTTGTTTCAGCAATAAGGTGATCAGTTCCTTTTTAATTTATTTCACTGCAGGGATAATATGTATGAGAGAAAAAGGTTATAAAAATATTGAAGGATATAGTAGAGTTATTAAGAGTCGTCTCTGGCTGCGTGTGGTGGCTCATGCCTATAATCCCAGCACTTTAGGAGACCGAGGCAGGAGGATTATCTGATCCCAGGAGTTCAAAACTAGCCTCATCTCTTTAAAAAACAAAAACAAAAAACAGAGAGAGAGTCATCTCTTTAATGGTGTGATTTAATGAACTCTAGAGGAATCTTTATAACCCTTTTTAGGATATTCCAAAGGTTCAAGTTCAATCGTGTCTCTTTTAAATAGATTACATTTTAGAGTATGAAATTTAGAATTGATTTATATATAATGTACAGTTTCTCCCATGACAGTGTTTCACTCTGTTTATAATTTTCAATCATAGGTTATGGCACACAGCCTGTTTGGGAAAAGAAAATGAAATAATGGTATTTGGTGGGAGCAAAGATGACTTACTTGCCTTGGATACAGTAAGAAAATCTTATATCTAAATATTTCCTCTGAGTAGTTGTGTTATTCACACTAAATGGCTATTCAGCAAGAATGTTGATATTCTAACATTGCAAAATATGAAGGGCCTGAAATGTTACTCTGTGGTTTAATTAATCTTCAGGATGACTGGCTTTTTTGTTTGTTTGTTTTTGAGATGGAGTCTTGCTCTGTCCCCCAGGCTGGAGTGCAGTGGTGCGATCTCGGCTCACTGCAAGCTCTGCCTCCCAGGTTCACACCATTCTCCTGCCTCAGCCTCCCGAGTAGCTGGGACTACAGGCACCTGCCAACATACCCGGCTAATTTTTTGTATTTTTAGTAGAGAGACGGGGTTTCACCGTGTTAGCCAAGATGGTCTTGATCTCCTGACCTCGTGATCCGCCCGCCTCAGCCTCCCAAAGTGCTGGGATTACAGGCGTGAGCCACCGCACCCAGCAAGGATGACTGGCTTTTATGAAGCCTTTCTGGATATTTTGGATTTACAAATCAAAATAGGTCTATTAGTTTGATTAGCAAAATTATTAAGAAGACCTTTTAAAGGATGACTCCTCTTTCTCTTTTCTCTTACATGGGTTTCTCTAATATTATTGAATTAAAATATTTGTATGTAGGCTGGGTGTAGTTGCCCACGCCTCTAAATCCCAGCACTTTGGGAGGCCAAGGCAGGCAAATCACTTGAGGCCAGGAGTTCGAGACCAGCCTGGCCAACACAGCAAAAACCATCTCTACTAAAAATACAAAAATGACCCAGGTGTGGAGGTGCATGCCTGTAGTCCCAGCTACTTAGGAGGCTGAGGCACGAGAATCACTTGAACCCAGGAGGTGGAGGTTGCAGCAAACCAAGATCATGCCATTGTACTCCAGTCTGGGTGACAGAGCGAGACCCTGTCTCAAAGAAATATATATTTTTATCTAATATTTGATACATAAAAAGAATATTAATAATGTAGATGCTAAGTATAATAAATACCCATGAATTTTGTTAGCTAATTTTAGAGTTAGAACATCATCAGTACTGTTGAAGCCACCTGATTATTCCTTCTGAATCTTACCTACTAGCTTGCCCCTTCAAGAGGAAACTACTTTGTTGAAATATTCCAAGTATATTATTATTTTTTTTTTTTGAGACAGGATTTCGCTGTTACCCAGGCTGGAGTGCAGTGGCATGATCTCGGTTCGCTGCAGCCTCCACCTCCTGGGTTCAAGCGATTCTCCGGCCTCAGCCTCCCAAGTAGCTGGGATTACAGGCGTGTGCCACAACGCCCGGCTAATTTTTTGTATTTTTAGTAGAGATGAGGTTTCACCGTGTTGGTCAGGCTGGTCTTGAACTCCTGACCTCAAGTGATCCACTCACCTCAGCCTCCCGAAGTGCAGGGATTACAGGCATCAGCACCGTGCCTGGCCTATTCTCTTTTTTACTATATATCTTTTACCACTGCTTTACTCAGCTGTTTTACATTTAAGTTTAAAGCATTTCAATTTTAAAATTTGATAAAACTAAGGTCAGAGGCATAAATGAGTAGCATTTGGAGAGTATGGTTCTTTCACTCCTAGCACCCTGGGAAATTCAGAGCAGGGCGGCCATATTTATACACTATACACAATGGGACAGGAGTTCAGGAATGATTGATGTGGTTTTGTGTAGGACACTCAGAAATAGAGGATTCTGAGCCATCAGGGATGGGGTATGGTGAGCCAGAGCCTAACCCAGAGGGCACTAGCTCCCTTTCATCTCTTGAGGCACAGTTATCTCCAGAGCTGCTCCTATGGAGTGGCAAACTCCAAAGCAGGATGGCTTCTCTCCATGGAATTTGCTTTATTTTGTAGTTATGAAGCCCCTAACTTAAATGTTTTGTATATTGAAAGTTTTAGAGCTTTCTTTGGCTGAGAATTCAGTGCTTCACTAAAAGATTAAAACTACAACTTCGCATTTATTAAAAAAGCAAATTTTGTGGTTTGTCTTCTCTTTCTTGGCACTAGAAATCTTCATTTAGGATACAAAGTTTATCATGAAAGTAGGAATTCTGATTAAAAGCATGATCATAAATTATGAAATTCTAAAGACCTATTTGAAAGGATTAGATACATTTTCTGTGACTTTTCTACCACATTAACTTTTAGATGAGAGACTCATTATTCAAATAATCTTCCAGATCTTGACTTTCAAATTAAGAATTCCCGGGGAGGGCTGGGCGTGGTGGCTCACGCCTGTAATCCCAGCACTTTGGGAAGCTGAGGTGGGCAGATCACCCTGAGATCAAGAGTTCCAGACTAGCCTGGCCAACATGGCAAAACCCCATCTCTACTAAAAATTACAAAAATTAGCCAGGATGTGGTGGTGTGCACCTGTAATCCCAGCTACTCAGGAGGCTGAGGCAAGAGAATCACTTGAACCCGGGAGGCAGAGGTTGCGGTGAGCCGAGATCGCACCACCGCACTCTAGCCTGGGCAACAGAGCGAGACTCCGTCCTAAAAAAAAAAAAAAAAAAAGAGAATTCCCGGGGAATCTTGAGACCACCTGGAAAAGGAGGACAAGGTAAAGAGGAAATTTTTACATATGAGTTATTTGAAAGAAAAAGTTCAGCTTAAAAACAAAAAAAGTGCCAGGCGTGGTGGCTCATACCTGTAATCCCAGCACTTTGGAAGGCTGAGGCCGGCAGACTGCTTGAGCTCAGGAGTTTGAGACCAGCCAGGGCAACATGGTGAAACCCTGTCTCTACACCAGCTGGACGTGGTAGCCTGTTCCTGTGGTCCCAGCTACTTGCGGGGCTGAGGTTGGAGGATGGCTTAAGCCAGGAAGGCAGAGGTTGCAGTGAGCTCTGATTGCACCACTGCACTCCAGCCTGGGCAAGAGAGCCAGACCCTGTCTCCAAAAAAAAAAAAAAAAAAAAAAAGGTTTGAAAACCACTACTGGGCTGGGTGCGGTGGCTCACGCCTGTAATCACAACACTTTGGGAGGCTGAGGCAGGTGGATCACCTGAGGTCAGGAGTTCGAAACCAGCCTGGCCAACATGGCGAAACCTTGTCTATACTAAAAATACAAAAAAAATTAGCAGAGCATGGTAGTGGGCGCCTGTAATTCCAGCTACTCAGGAGGCTGAGGCAAGAGAATCGCTTGAACCTGGGAGTTGGAGGTTGCAGTGAGTGGAGATTGCACCACTGCACTCCAGTCTGGGCGACAGAGCAGGACTCCATCTCAAAAAAAAAAAAAAAAAGAAAAGAAAACCACTACCGTTATTTTTTAACTCACTTCTCGGTGAAGAATGTATTTCTTATTTTCAAATTTGCAATTATGTAGGCTATTGGTTAGGTTAAAATTTGGTCACTGAAAATTGGAAACCACAAACTCAAAGTTTGTAGGTAGCAGGTATATGTATGTACATGTATGTTTATGTGTGTGCATGAATTTATGTGTGTGTGTCAACAGCTAGAAAGATTTATTTGCTGCCTTATACAATATCTTTTACATTTATAAAATTAAGAAACATTCAATTATTAACTCATTGTTATTTTTATCAAAAACTTAATAATGCCTTTTTTGTGTTGATTAGGGTCACTGTAATGATTTATTGATCTTTCAAACACAGCCTTATTCACTACTCAGGTAAGCAAATTTAATATTTTCTATATATTTGCTATGAGTATATGATAATTTCTTTCTCATTTTTGGGAAGCATTGAAATATTTTTCAGGTTGCTTATGACATGAATTCAAGAATATGTTCACATCTTCCTAAGAGTATAATCAAATTTATAATGGTGAACTATACACCAATGTGAGTTTTAAAAATTAAAATATACATGCGTGGCGTGATGACTTACACCTGTAATTGAGTGCTCTGAGAGGACAAAGCAGGAGGATCACTTGAGGTCAGGAGTTCAAGACCAGTGTGGGTAACATTGTGAAACCCACGACTCTACAAAAAAAAAAAAGTAGCTGGCATGGTAGCTCACGTGTGTAGTCTTGGCTACTGTGGCTACTAGGGAGGCTGAAGTGGGAGGATGGCTTGAGTGCAGGAGTTTGAGGCTGCGTTGAGCTATGATCATGTTTCCTGTACTCCAGCCTGGAAATAGACTGAAAGCCTGTATATATGTGTGTGTGTGTGTGTGTGTGTGTGTGTGTGTATGTACACATACAATACAGTCACTGTTTTGTTTGTAAAATTGCCTTTAGTTTATATGGTAATATTAAACATACTATATTTCCTTAATTCTAAGCCTGACATTTTTCACATTTTAACTTTTTGGAAATTAGAGTGTGCCTAATAATATATATCATATATATGTTATATAGTCATTCCTTGGTATTTGTGGGGATCGGTTCCAGGAAAACCCCCACTTGGATACCAAAATTCATGGATGCTCAAGTCTCTTATATAGGGTGATGTAGTATTTGCATATAAACCTATGCCTATCCTACTATATACTTTAAATAATCTCTATATTACTCATAATTCCTAATACAATTTAAATACTATGAAAATAATTGTTACACTGTATTGTTTAGGGAATAATTACAAGAAAAAAAAAGTCTGTACATGTTCAGTACAGATGCAACTGTCATAAGCCTAACTATATTTTCAATCTGCAGTTGATTGAATCCACAGAGGAGGAACTTACAGATACAGGGGGCTGACTGTATATACACACATACACAGATATTTAATATAGAAGAATTTCTTTTTTAACCCCAAAGCTAGTATTAAGTTGGTGT
The DNA here is from genome assembly GCF_000001405.40 of Homo sapiens. Taxonomy (NCBI): domain Eukaryota; kingdom Metazoa; phylum Chordata; class Mammalia; order Primates; family Hominidae; genus Homo; species Homo sapiens. Next base: position 49,744,915 of record NC_000014.9, read on the forward strand.
TATGACTTGTAGTGTCTTAGTTCATACATTCTTACTCTAAAAGGAGTCTGTACAAAGTTTAGTGGGAGGATTATGGAAGAAGCCCCTATTTCTACCTGTGAGAGTTGGGAGGAAGGAGGCAGGATTTGAGAGATGTAGAAGTTGCCCAGTGAACAAGTGTGGGAATTTTATGCAGAGGGAATAACATAAGTGAAGACATATGAGAAAGAGAGAGATAAAGAGAGGGGACAAGTTATATTTCAAGGAGTATACTGTGACATTTAGATGTTCTATAACATGAACCACCTGAAAACCATTAGACTAGCTCAAACTGGACCTTTCTGACGTCTTTCTTAACTACCCCTTCTCTTAGCACAGTAGTTCTCAAACTAAACTCTCATGAGGGGCTTCAAAAAAATTAATGCCTGTGTTCTGCCCCTACAGATGATGATTTAATTAGTCCAGGGTGTGGCCTGCACTTTGGATTGCAAGTTCCTCATATGCAGGGATCAAGAAACACTTGAGTGCCTACTTGGGAAGGCACTGTGCCATGAAATAAGAAGGCATGGCCTTTCCCTAACATTGCTAATAATATAGAAGGTAGACTTTCAAGCTTCCAGACTTTTTCTACAATAGAAAAAGGAAATTGCCTTAAGAGAAACATATACAAAGTTTATGAGAATACTGGAGAAGAAGGCCTTTTGTCTGTCTATGATTAAGATGGCAAAGGTTAGGGAAGTCTTTGCAGAAGAAGGATTTGAGCTAAGAATTTGCCATGAACAAACAGTGCAAGGGTGTTAGTGTAAAGATATATACAAAAGCATAGTATGTTCTGGATACTGAATTCTTGAGCATTCCTGGAATGTAGTATGAGGCAGAGAGTTGCAAGAAATGATGTTGGACAAGAAATCAGAAATCATATGTCATCTAGAACTTTATCTCTCTTTTACAGTATCTGGTGTAAAGAGATCAAGAGCCATTGAAAAATTTGGAGCAAGAGAATAAGATGATCATATTACAAGTTAGACAATTCCTCTGGCAACAGAGTGGACGAAAAATTGAAGGGATATGTGACTGGGTAAAGAAAATTGGTAAAGAGACTATTACAGTGGTCAGGTACAGAGTGAATGTCTGATCTGGAAAGTATCAATGGGGCTGGAGAAGGAAGGGAGATGGAGATATTTAGGAGGGAGAATGGACTTGGTAGTTAAATAGATGCCAAGGAAAAGGAGTGGGGAGAATTAATGATAGGAGGAATATGGAGAAAGGCAGCAGTCTGAAGATGGCATAAGGGTAGAAATGATGAGTTTGGTTTTGGACGTGCTAAGTGTTTATGGGAACTGTAGTGGAGCTATCCATTAAATGCTTAAATATATGGAAAGAGGTCTGGGCCAGACATAAAATTTCATAATCATTGGAGAATTAGTAAGTGTGGATTAGCTCTGGCCAGGAGGAGTTTTAGAAGTAAGGAGAAAGCCAGCAACTCAGCATTAGGACCTTACTACATTTGAGGGGGAGGGAGAAGAAAAGGAGGCAGCAAGAGAGTGACCAGAGAAGTTGAAGGCTAGCCAGGAGATAATGGTAGCACAAAAACCAAGAGAAGGGAGATCTGAACAAGGAAAGACTAAAGAGATCCTAGAACATTTGGATTGAAAAGCACTGTGGATAGTACATATTTTCCCTCATCTCCATTTTCACAGTCAAGGATCCAGTGTCTGTAGTCTCACTTCTCACCACTGCTTCCAGGTTACATCATTTCACATGCAGGTGTTGCCATCTACTAACCTCCAGCTCATTTTCCCCCAGTCACTGAGGACTTTGGCCCTGGCTCACCACAGTCCCTTTTCTTGACTGATTTTAGCATCTGTGTGGAGAACTCTTTTCATTCTTTATGACCTTGCTCAGCACAGTTCCACCTGTGAAATCTTAAACTCCCATCCTCCTCTTGGACCAGAAACCTCTTATCCTGTTAATTCTTACACTCCCTTACTCCTTGGACTCTTCTCGGTTCTCCAAATAATAAGACCCTTCCACCCTTCCAGTTTTAGCTTTCTCTCTTTTTTTTTTTTTTTTTGAGACGGAGTCTCATTCTCACCCAGGCTGGAGTGCAGTACGCGATCTCAGCTCACTGCAAGCTCCACCTCCCGGGTTCACGCCATTCTCCTGCCTCAGCCTCCCGAGTAGCTGGGACCACAGGTGCCCGCCACCACACCCGGCTAATTTTTTGTATTTTTAGTAGAGACAGGGGTTTCACCATGTTAGCCAGGATGGTCTCGATCTCCTGACCTCGTGATTCACCCGCCTCGGCCTCCCAAAGTGCTGGGATTACAGGCGTGAGCCACCACACCCAGCCTTAACTTTCTTTCATATCCAGCCTAGTTCACCTGTACTTCTTTCTCTTGCCAGCAATTTTAATCCCCTTCTCCACCATTTCTCTGTTAGTGAAGGGTGACTTCTGGGGAAGAGCACCAAGACCGAGGGAGGATGAGTATGTTTGTTTATATGCCGGTTGGGCAGGAGAAGCCAATGGAGAGTAGGTTGTTAGAAACACAAGAAAATGCAGGAAAAGCGGGTAGAGCAGTGTCTTGAGAAGGTGATTTTAGCAAACAGATTTTTAAATTAGTCCTTGACTGGAGAAAGGATTCTTTTCTTTAAAATAGTGGAGAAAGAAGGAAGTATGGATATATAGATAGAAAACTTTTTTGGTTGGGGTGGGACATTGAGAAGTTCTAGTTGATAGTGAGGTCATCTGATAAGAGAAAAGAGAGGTGAGGATAAGAACTTAAGATGAATGGTGAAGATTTGAAGTAGCTGCCTAGGTGACTGCAGGAAGATGCTGACGTCTGTCTGCGGGATATATAACAAAGTAGCACGCAGCTGAGGTAGAATATCATCAATATGTAGTGGCACCATAGCTGAGAAACATGGCTTTCCCCAGTAGCACTAAACAGCTGGGTCGCAGGTGCAGAAAGGAGATGACTGGCTGAATTTATCCATCATTGCAGTTTGGCTGGGATGGGTAACAAACGGTGAAGGGGATTAAAATTGCTGGCAAGAGAATGAAGTGCAGGTGAGCTAGGCTGGATACAAAAGAAAGTTAAAACTGGAAGGGTCTTATTATTTGGAGAACCGAGAAGAGTCCAAAGAGTAAGGGAATGTAAGAATTAAAAGGATAAGAGGTTTCTGGTCCAAGAGGAGGATGGGAGTTTAAGATTTCACAGGTGGAACTGTCCTGAGCAAGGTCATAAAGAATGAAAAGGTTTCTCCACACAGATGCTAAAATCAGTCAAGGAAAGGGACTGTGGTGAGCCAGGGCCAAAGACCTCAGTGACTGGGGGAAAATGAGCTGGAGGTTAGTAGATGGCAACACCTGCATGTGAAATGATATAACCTGGAAGCAGTGGTGAGAAGTGAGACTACAGACACTGGATCCTTGACTGTGAAAATGGAGATGAGGGAAAATGTGTACTATTTTCTCAAGAAAGCTGCACACACAACAATTTTCTTAGATTTCAGAAAGTCAGAGGAAGCAGGGGTGTTTATAGAACATACAGCTGGTGTTCCAAAAAGCAAAAAACCCAGGTTTGGGAGGGGAGATAAGCAATGATGCAGAAGATGAAAAAGTGTAGAAATGATAGGAAGTGGCTTATATCGTCTAGTAGATTTGTGGGATCATGTTCATCTTACCTTTGGATATAAAAGAATATTATAAGAAATTAAAAGAAATAGCTATATTGTTCTGATTGTAAAAAGATGTATTTACCAAGAAAATTCATACGATATGAAAAGTATATAGTAAAAAAATCACCTATGAGCCATCGTAGGGGGTATATATATACATGTATTAGTAAAATTATAAAAATTGTACATGTATATATATGTATATATATACTGAGAGAAATTTTTTTTCTTTTTTTTTTCTTTTGAGACAGAGTCTCACTCTGTCACCAAGGCTGGAGTGCAGTGGCGCAATCTTGGCTCACTGCAACCTCCGCCTCCTGGGTTCAAGCAATTCTTCTGCCTCAGCCTCCCGAGTAGCTGAGATTACAGGCACGCACCATCACACCCGGCTAATTTTTGTATTTTTAGTAGAGATGAGATTTCACCATATTGGCCAGCCTGGTCTCGAACTCCTGACCTCATGATCCTCCCGCCTCGGCCTCCCAAAGTGCTGGGATTACAGGCGTGAGCCACCCCGCCCAGCAGAGAGAGATTTTATATATAAATCATTTATATAATGATCAATATATAACCCTATATACATGATTTTAATGATTTTATTAAATGATTAGAGTGAACTTAATCATGCTAAGAGGTCATTGGAAACCTCAGCAAGAGCAGTACACATATATGTATATGTGAATGTATAAAGGATCAAATTATGCAGTCTGTTTTGTAATATCTTTCATGTAAATAATCATTCAGTATAATAAATCTATACTTAAGTTAGTAATGGCTATATAGGTTCTATCTCGTGGAAATACAGTTTATTGGCTAGGTGCAATGGCTCAAACCTGTAATCCCAGCACTTTGGGAGGTCAAGGCAGGTGGATCACCCAAGGGGCAGGAGTTCGGAGTTCAAGACTAGCCTGGCCAAGGTGGTGAAACCATGTCTCGACTAAAAATACAAAAAAATTAGCTGGGCATGGTGGCATGCGCCTGTAGTCCCAGCTACTCGGGAGGATGAGGAGGGAGAATTGCTTGAACCTGGGAGGCAGAGGCTGCAGTAAGCCGAGATCACATTACTACACTCCAGCCTGCGCAACAGAGTGAGACTCCGTCTCAAAAAAAAAAAAAAAAAAAAGAAATACAATTTATTAACTAGTCTATTATATTTAGGATATCTGCAATTTGGGAATTTGGGGCTACTATAAAAATTAGGCATCAGGCTGGGCGCAGTGAGGCCTGTAATCCCAACACTTTGTGAGGCCAAGGTGGGCGGATCACCTGAGGTAAGAGTTCAAGACCAGCCTGGCCAACATGGCAAAACCCCATCTCTATTAAAAATACAGAAATTAGCCAGGCGTGGTGTGGCACACACCTGTAATAACAGCTACTCAGGAGGCTGAGGCAGGAGAATCGCTTGAACCCAGGAGTGGGAGGTTGCAGTAAGCTGAGATCAGGCCACCACACTCCAGCCTGGTTAACAGAGAAAGACTCCATCTCAGGAAAAAAAAATTAGTCATGAAATATTCTTATATATTACTATGGAAAACTGATGTATCACATGTTGTATTGTGATGATTCCTGCTTGGCTCGCACTGCCAGAGACAAACAGCAGATTCCTTCGCATGGTCCTCAGGGCCTCCATTTATCTGTCTCACCTCTGGCCATGCCCCACTCGCGCTCTGCCCTCCAGCTGTATTTAGACAATAGAAGTGCAGTTTCTGTAATCTTATTTCTCGTCTCTAGGGCTTTGCAAATGTGGTTCTTCTAGCTGGAATACCTTTGTTTCTTTAATTTGTTGAGGACCTCAAGGTCTCAGCTTGGACCTCCATCTGGAGAGTTTCCCCTGGCTTGCTAAGGTTGTCTTAGTTATTCTTCTCCTCTGATTCCCACAGAACCCTGTACCTCTACTTCAACCTCTCAGGACATTTTAACTCACTTCTTGTTTAGAGTTGTTCCAGAGTGGAGGGAAAAAGCTTCAAAGAGTAGAGAAGAACATCTAAATCTCTAGAGTATAAGTGCTTGTAAAAATGACAGCTAAAGTTACCCACAGCAGAATCAAATGAGTCTGTTAAAAAAATTTTTAACACTTATTTTTTTGAATTAAAGTTTATTAATTGAAACAGATGCTTTTTTGATAGTTCTTAAGTTTCTTGTGGTTTTAAAGTACAAAATGCTCTTCAAAATAGCATAAGATTAAAAAGGGCATTGTACTTGGAAGGATACTGCCCTCTAGTCTAATGGAATCAAAGGGGAAAAGAAATGAACACCCACGCCCCCAGAAGAGTAGAAACCCAAGTGGTCTCTTGGCACTTCCTGTATCGCTCCATTCCTGTCTTTCACCCTGCTCTCTCTGGGTCAAATAAGTCAAGTGTGTAACCCCCGTGCAGTTGTTTATGGAAGAAACATGGAGCAGATATAAAAATAGATGTTTCATCTTGAGGTGACAGAAGCAAAGGACAGTTCTGTGAGAAGGGTATATGGTTATTGGGCTGACTGAAAGGATGACATAAACAGGAGCTGCCATAGACTCATCTGGTTTGAAATTAAGTCTGAATCATTTTTACTTAAAGAACATTATGCATGGTAAGCCATATATTCTGTTTCCATTGGATTTTGGTCAGATTTAGTCTCTATGCTATAAAAATATATGATTATTATGGTGCTCTGGGAAAAAAAAATCCTATCATGTTCCAAACAAAACAAATGAATGCATTGCCATGTAAAATTTTTATGATGATTTTAAATTTTAGGAATACTTAACTATAACAAAGGATAAATGTTTGAGGGGATGGATACCCCATTTTCTATGACATGATTATTATGCATTGCCTGTCTGTATCAAAACATCTCATGTACCACATAAATATATGTACCTACTATGTACTGACAAAAATTAAAAATTAAAAAAAGATCTGTGAAAGTCCAATACTACAATGTTAAAAAAGAAAGAATTCTTAACTATAAATATTTTATATTATAACCTCAGGTTCAAGACTAATAATTCTGTTATGTTTTATTTACAGGTCATGCCTTGACTGCATTGGTAAAAATTCTATCATGTTAGAAAGTCAGATATCTTTATTACCTCCTAAACTTCTGCAACAAGTACTCAAAAAAATAACATTTTGGGCTGCAGCTAATCACCGAGAAGAACAAAGAGTCCAAAAAGAAGAAACAGAAAATAAATATCAGTGGATCAGTAGCAATTAAATTGTTATATACTTTACATATTTAGTATGTTTTAACTTTTTAATCAGACTATACATTTACACTCCCAAATTGCAGGCTTTATTTAAAGGATAAAATTTAAAGGATAAAAAAACAGTCACTCTGTTAAGTGACTATATGCCATGGGATATATGGAAAAAAGATATTAATGCAGATTAATTTATATTTGTAAACAAATTTCCTTACAAACTGCAGAACAAATATTCTTTCTGAAAGTAAGTACAGTTATAACAGATTTTAAATCAATGTGTATTCTTTACTGGAAAGATTACATACATTTGAGAATAAGAAATTACTCTCAAGAACTTCAGAAATCTGCAACATAATTTTATAAATATATAAATACATGTATGTATGTCAAAACACTACATATACACTTTCAGAAAGAATAAACTTTCTCAAGTCATTTTAAAGTTACCTAACGTTCTTCTTGAATAACTAATACAGTGGGTCAAATATTATAAAATAGGCAAACACCAAAATGGTATTAAATATTGAACTCCTGACCTTTTCGACACTTACCTAGTAAAGTATTCTTAGGCATCATCATAACTTTTCCTCACCTTTATTCGAATAGAGGAATAAATGTCTTCAGTTGTCTCTCCATTACCCCTAAGTTATTAGTTTGTCTAGTTTATATATAAAGACCATGTTTTAAAGTACATAAAGTGGAGGTTTATTTATCATACAGGCTTTGAAACATTAAGAAGCAGTATTTTTATTAACTTTTTGAGACATATTAAAATACATTTTGCCTTAGAAGACTGCTTCTAAAGTAATTTTTGTAAGTAATGAGATGGGATGGTAATCTAGTAATTTGACTTTATAGAAATCCCTCAGTTTGGCCCCCACCATTCTACAGAGTTGTACTCAAGACAGATACTGAAAAAATCTAATACCTTCCCTTGTATTTTCAGCATTACCATCTATACAGAAATGGAACACTGTATCTTTATATTCCTAAAAATGGTACTTTTGGCATAATTAAGAAATTTTTCTTCATATTATCACAATCATGCCCTTCCATTGAATTATTAATTACAATTAATTACTAAAAAGCTTGGTATGTAAAATTATTCTCCACAATATTACCATGCAAGTTATCTCTGAAATTTAAAATGTTAAAGAAAAACATTTCTATATTGAAATATATATAATTTATAATGAAAATTATAGTAGTTTGTAGTATTTCATTGAATTTTAGAGAGATATTTCATATATATGTACTGTATTTTGGATGTGTAAAGCTTCTATGTATTGAAATATTTTTTTACGTTTTATTTATTGTACAAAGTGTATATAATTACTGTTTTCTTTTTTGTCAGTGTAAAGCAGTCATTAGAATTGATTATACAAAAAATATTTCATTGTCAGTTTTCATTTTTCTATTTTTAGGCTGAATAACAGATTTAGAAAATGAATCTCACAAATAATTCACATCTTGGAAATAATTACCTTATTATGCTGTGGTGCTGATGAATTTAGCATCAGCCTTTTATATTTAAGGCAAAAATATATCAAAACCTAATTAGACACTGATAGATGACATTGAGCAGAAGGAACACCGTTTTAAAATGGCTTCTGGATTATGTGAATGCCTTGTCCCGCCTCTTAGAAGAGCACCTCTATTTTTAAATGATGTATTTGGAACATTAAAAGTTGGATTAGCCCCCTTAAAATACACACTCTCATGGGCTTTAAGAGAATGAAAATCTGGTCAGGTGCAGTGGCTAACGTCTATAATCCCAGCACTTTGGGAGGCTGAGGCAGGAGGCTTGCTTGAGGCCAGGAATTCAAGACCAGCCTGGGCAACATGAAGAGACCCTATCTGTTAAAAAAAAAAAAATCTCAGAATATTCTTACCATTGCCAGAAAGGATTCTTTTAAGGTTATTGTTATTTTTAATGTGATAAATAACACATCAAAATTAGTGTACCTTTTTTCCAAATAGTATTTTTGCAAAAGCACCTGTAAAAATACTTTTTAGAGGCCAGGCATGGTGGCTCATGTCTGTAATTCCAGCACTTTGGGGGGCTGTGGTGGACAGATCACTTGAGGCCAGGAGTTCGAGACCAGCCTGGCCAACATGGTGAAACCCTTTCTCTACCAAAAATTAAAAAATTAGCTGGGTGTGGTGGCATGCACCTATAGTCCCAGCTACTCGGGAGGCTGAGGCAGGAGAATCACTTGAATGTGGGAGGCAGAGGTTGCAGTGAGCCAAGATTGAACCACTGCATTCCAGCCTGGGCAACAGAGTGAGACTCCGTCCAAAAAAAAAAATATATATATATATATATATACACACACATACTTTGGAACTTTGTACTGTCAGCTGACACAGTGATGTTTTCACCAATGTGGGTTTTTTTTGTTTTTTTGGGTTTTTTATTTTGAGACAGAGTCTCTGTCGCCCAGGCTGGAATGCAGTGGTGCGATCTCAGCTCACTGCAACCTCTGCGTCCCAGGTTCACGTAATTCCTGTGCCTCACCCACCTGAGTAGCTGGGATTACAGGTGCATGCCACCACGCCCAGCATTAATTTTTGTATTTTTAGTAGAGACGGGGTTTTGTCATGTTGGCCAGGCTGGTCTCGAACTCCTAACCTGAAGTGATCCGCCCACCTTGGCCTTCCAAAGTGCTAGGATTACAGGTGTGAGCCACCACGCCCGGCCACCAGTGTGTTATTTGTACATGTATTTGAGAGAAATAAAGTCACCATGATAGAATAATTGTCAGGGTAGTGCATACTATTGATGAATTAAAATTTAGATTTCAGAATTTCTGGGAGGAAAAGAAGCAATTTTAAGGAGCAGATGATCCCCCTACTCACGTTTTTTTGCCTCTCTTTCCATTGTATTAATTTAATTCTTTTGGAATTTCCAGTTTGATGAAGTTGCCATACAGTCCAGCATGTGGGCACAGCATGATTTTTTCAAATGATTCAATGTCTGTTGTTTACATTATGGCTCATTCTTGGTGTTGTATATTCTATGGGTTTTGACATGTATATAAGGACATGTATTCACCAGTGTAGTATCATACAAAATAGTTTCACTGCCCTAAAAAATCCTCTGTGCTCTGCCTGTTCATTCCTCCCTCTTCTCTAACCCCTGGAAACCACTGACATTTTTACTGTTTACATAGTTCTGTCTTTTCCAGAATGTCGTATAGTCATACTGGCTTCTTCACTTAGCAGTATGTATTTACGTTTCTTCCATTTCTCTTCGAAGCTTGATAGCTCATTTCTTTTTAGCGTTGAATAATATTCCATTGTCTGACATACCACAGTTTATCCATTCATCTACTGAAAAACATCTTGGTTGCTTCCAAGTTTTGGCAATTATGAATAAAGCTGCTATAAACATCTGTGTGCAAGGTTTTGTATAGACATAAGTTTTCAGTTCATTTGGATCAATACCAAGGATCAAGATTGTTGGATCATATGGTAAGAATATATTTAGTTTATTAAGAAACCACCAGACTACCTTCCAAAGTGGCTATACTCAATGAATGAGAGTTCCTGTTGCTTCACATCCTTGCCAGCATTTGGTGGTGTCAGTGTTTTGGGTTTCTTTGTTCTGCTAGATATGTAGTGGTTCATATTGTTTTAATTTGCAATTTCCTAATGACATATGATGTTGACATTTTTCATATGCTGACTTGCCGTCTATATACTTTGGCGAGGTGTCCAGGTCTTTTGCCCATTTTTTTCAATCAGGTTATTCATTTTCTTATTGTTGAGTTTTAGGAATTCTTTGTAATTTGTAGATAACAGCCGTTTATCAGCAGTGACTTGCAAAATTTTCTCCCAGTCTGTGGCTTCACTTAACATTGTCTTTGACAGAGCAAGTCCATCTCATCAGTTCTTTATTTCATGGACTGTGCTTTGGTGTTGTATCTGAAGTCATCAACAAACCCTAGATTATCCAGGTTTTCTCTTCTCTTCTACAAATGTTACAGTTTTATGTTTTACATTTAGGTCAGTGGCCCATTTTGAGTTAAGTTTTTTTAAGGATGTAAGGTGTTTGTCTAGATTCGTATTTTTGCATGTCGATGTCCAGTTGTTCCAGCACCATTTGTTGAAAAGACTATCTTTGCTTCATTAATACTGCTTTTTCTCCTTTATCAAAGATCAGTTTACTATATTCACGTGGATCTATTCCTGAGATCTCCATTCTGCTGCATTTGTTTATTCTTTTGCCAGTACTATGCTGTCTTTAATACTGTCACTTTATGGCAAGTCTTGAAGTTGTGTAGTGGCAGTCCTCTGATGATGTTCTCTTTCAATATTTTAGATCTTTTGCATTTCCATATTAATTTTAGAATCAGTTTGTCAATATGTACAAAACAACTTGCTGGAATTGTTATTGGGATTGCATTGAATCTGTAGATCAAGTGAGGAAGAACTGATATTTATTTATTTATGTATTTATTTATTTATTTATTTATTTATTTGAGATGGAGTCTCGCTCTGTCGCCCAGGCTGGAGTGCAGTGGTGCGATCTTGGCTCACTGCAACCTCTGACTCCCAGTTTCAAGCGATTCTCCTGCCTCAGCCTCCCGAGTAGCTGGGATTACAGGTGCGCACCACTATGCCTGGCTAATTTTTGTATTTTAGTAGAGACGGGGTTTACCAGTTCGAGATCAGACTGGTCTCGAACTCCTGACCTCTTGATCTGCCCACCTCGGCCTCCCAAAGTGCTTGGATTACAGGCGTGAGCCACTGCACCCAGCCAGAACTGATATCTTAACAGTAAATCTCCTGTCCGTGAATATGGAATATATCTCCAATTATTTAGATGTTCTTTGAAGATTTTCATCCAAGTTTTATGCATATTTTGTTAGACTTATACCTATGTAATTTTGGGTGCTGCTAACATAATGCTAATGTGTTTTTAATTTCAAATTCCACTTACTCATTACTGATATAGGAAAATGATTGGCTCTTGTATATTAATTCTGTATCCTGAAACCTTGCTATAATTGCTTATTAGTTCCAGGAGGGATTTTCTGGTCAGATTTTCTACATAGATGATCATGTCATCTGCTAACAAAGACAGTTTTATTTCTTCCATCCCAAACTGTATAAAATTTCCTTTTCTTGTTTTATTGCATTAATTAGAACTTTCAGTATGATATTAGAAAGCAGTGGTGAGAGAGGGCATCGTTGCTTTGTTCCTGATCTTAAGGGAAAGCTTTGAGTTTCTCACCATTATGTCTTATGTTAGCATAGGTATTTTGTAGATGTTCTTTATTAAGTTGAGGAGATTCCTGTCTATTCCTAGTTTGCTGAGAGTTCTTATCATGAATGGGTGTTGGATTTTGTCCAGTGCTTTTCCTGTATCCATTGATGTGCTCATGTGATTGATTATGTAAATTGATTTTTTTTGTTGTTGTTGTTGAGACGCAGTCTGGCTCTGTTGCCCAGGCTGGAGTGCAGTGGTGTGATCTCGGCTCACTGCAACCTCCACCTCCCGGGTTCAAGTGATTCTCCTGCCTCAGCCCCCAAGTAGCTGGGATTACAGGCTCCTGCCACCATGCCAGGCTAATTTTTGTACTTTTTAATAGAGACAGGAGTTCACTACGTTGGCCAGGCTGGTCTCGAACTTCTGACCTCAAGTGGTCTGCCCACCTTGGCCTCCCAAAGTGCTAGGATTACAGGCATGAGCCACCGCACCTGGCCGTTAATTGATTTTCAAATGTTAAACCAGCCTTGCATATCTGGGATAAATCCTACTCAATTGTGGTATATAATTCTTTTTGCACAGGATTTGCTAATACAGATGTTCCACAACTTTTGTTGGTGTTAAGTCCCAATAAGCCCATTGTAAATTGAAAATATAAATCAAAAAATGCATAGTACACCTAACCTACCAAACATCATAGCCTAGCCTACCTTAAACAGGCTCAGAATACTGGCCAGGCATGATGGATCATATCTGTAATCCCAGCACTTTGGGAGGCCAAGGTGGGCAGATCATAAAGTCAAGACATCGAGACCATCCTGGCCAACATGGTGAAAACCTGTCTCTATTAAAATGCAAAAAATTAGCCAGGTGTGGCACCGGGCGCGGTGTCTCACGCCTGTAATCCCAGCACTTTGGGAGGCCGAGGCGGGTGGATCACGAGGTCAGGAGATCGAGACCATCCTGGATAACACGGTGAAACCCCATCTCTACTAAAAATACAAAAAAATTAGCTGGGCGTGGTGGTGGGTGCCTGTAGTCCCAGCTACTCGGGAGGCTGAGGCAGGAGAATGGCGTGAACCCGGGAGGCGGAGCTTGCAGTGAGCTGAGATCGTGCCATTGTACTCCAGCCTGGGCTACAGAGCGAGACTCCGTCTCAAAAAAAAAAAAAAAAAAAAAAAAAAAATTAGCCAGGTGTGGTGGCCTGCTCCTGTAGTCCCAGCTACTCGGGAGGCTGAGGCAGGGCAATCGCTTGAACCCGGGAGATGGAGGTTGCACTGAGCCAAGATTGGGCCACTGCACTCCAGCCTGGTGACAGAGCAAGACTCCGTCTCAAAAAAAAAAAAAAAAATGCTCAGAATACATATATTAGCCTATTGTTGGGCAAAATAATCTAAGACAAAGCCTATTTTATAATAAATCGTTGAATACAGTATAGTACAGTATTGGTTGTTTACCCTCATGATTGCATGGCTGATTGGGAGCTGCAGCTTGTCACAGCTGCCCAGCATAAGCGAGTATGATATTGCATATAACTAGCCCAGGAAAAGATCAAAAATCAAAATTTGAGGTACAGTTTCTACTTAATGGTTATTACATTCATATCATCATAAAGTCAAAAAATCCTTAAGTAGAACCATAGTAAGTTAGGGACTGTTTGTATTTTGTTGAGAATTTTTGCATCTATATTTATGAGGGGTATTAGTCTGTAGTTTTTTTTACCCTGTCTTTGCCTGGCTTTGATATTAGGGTAATGCTGGCCTCATATAATTAGTTAAGATATATTTTCTCAGGCTGGGCACAGTGGCTCACACCTGTAATCCCAGCACTTAGGGAGGCTGAGGTGGGTGGATCACTTGAGGTCAGGAGTTCGAGACCAGCCTGGCCAACATAGTGAAGCCCCGTCTCCACAAAAAATACAAAAAATTAGCCAGGTGTGGTGGCAGGCGCCTGTAATCCCAGCTACTCAGGAGGCTGAAGCACGAGAATTGCTTGAACCCAGAAGGCGGAGGTTGCAGTGAGCCAGGATCACATCATTGCGCTCCAGCCTGGGAGACAAGAGTGAAACTACATCTCAAAAAAAAAAAGGAAGAAGTATTTTCTCTGCCTCTAATCTTCTGAAAGAGATTGTAGAGAATTGGGGTGTTAAAGTCTCCAGCTATTTTTGTATTGGGGGTCTATCTCTCTCTTTAGCTCTACTAATATTTGCCTTAAACATCTGGGTGCTCCAGTGTTGAGTGCATAGATATTTAAAATTGTTGGCCAGGTGCGGTGGCTCATGCCTGTAATCCCAGCACTTTGGGAGGCTGAGGCAGGTGGATCACCTGAGGTCAGGAGTTTGAGACCATCCTGGCCAACATGGTGAAACCCTGTCTCTACTAAAAATACAAAAATTAGCTGGGTGTGGTGGCACACGCCTGTAGTCCCAGCTACTTAGAAGGCTGAGGCAGGAGAATCACTTGAACCTGGGAGGCAGAGGTTGCAGTGAGCCGAGATGGTGCCACTGCACTCCAGCCTGGCGACAGAGCAAGACTCCATCTCAAAAAAATAAAATAAAATTGTTATATCCTCTTGCTGAATTGACCCTTTTATTATTATGTAATGACTTTGTCTCTTCTTACAGTTTTTGTCTTGAAATTTATTTTGTCTGAATAAGTATAGCTTCTCCTGCTCTTTTGTTTGTTTGTTTCCATTGGCATGGAACATCTTTTTCCATCCCTTTATTTTCAGACTGTGTGTCTTTATAGGTGAAGTGCATTTCTTCCAGGCAACAGATCATTGAGTCTTGGTTTTTTTTTTTAATTCATTCAGCCACAACATGTCTTTTGATTGGAGACTTTAGTCTATTTACACTCAATATTATTATTGATAAGTAAGGACTTACTCCTGCCATATTGTTATTTGTTTTCTGGTTCTTTTGTGGTTTTCTCTTCCTCCTTTCCTTCTTGTCTTCCTTTTAGTAAAGATGATTTTCTCTGGTGGTATGATTGAATTTCTTGCTTTTTATTTTTTGTGTTTCCATTATATGTTTTTTTGATTTGAGGTTACCATGAGGCTTGCAGATACTATCTTAAAACCTATTATTTTAAGCTGATAGCTACTTAACACTGCTTGCATAAACAAACTAACAAGCAAAAAGTAAACTAATAAAACCTCTACATTTTAACTTAATTCCCCAGCTTTTTAATTTTTTGTCATTTCTATTTATTATTGTCCTATATATGTCTTGAAAATTTGTTGTAGTTATTTTTGACTAGTTCATTTTTAGTCTTTCTACTTAAGAGTAGTTTGCACACCACAGTTACAGTGTTATAATAGTCTGTGTTTTTCTGTGTATTTACTATTACCAGTGAGTTTAGTACTTTCAGATGATTTCTTACTGCTCACTGACATCCTTTTCTTTCTGATTGAAATACTCCCTTTAGCATTTCTTATAGGACAGGTCTGGTACTGATGAAATCCCTCAGCTCATGTTTGTCTAGAAAAGTCTTTATTTCTCCTTCATGTTTGATGGATATTTTCACTGGACATACTATTCTAGGGCAAAAGTTTTTTTTCCTTCAGAATTTAATTTTGTTTTATTATACTTTAAGTTCTGGGGTACATGTGCAGAACGTGCAGGTTTGTTACATAGGTATACACGTGCCATGGTGGTTTGCTGCACCCATCAACCCGTCATCTACATTAGGTATTTCTCCTAATGCTATCCCTCCCCTAGCCCCCCACCCCCCAACAGGCCCTGGTGTGTGATTCCCTGTGTCCATGTGTTCTCACTGTTGAACTACCACTTATGAGTGAGAACATGATGGTGTTTGGTTTTCTGTTCTTGTGTTAGTTTGCTGAGAATGATGGTTTCCAGTTTCATCCATGTCCCTGCAAAGGACGTGAACTCATCCTTTTTTATGGCTGCATAGTATTCCATGGTGTATATGTGCCACATTTTCTTTATCCAGTCTATCATTGATGGGCATTTGGGTTGGTTCCAAGTCTTTGCTATTGTGAATAGTGCCGCAATAAATGTGTGCATGTGTCTTTATAGTAGAATGATTTATAATCCTTTGGGTAGATACCCAGTAATGGGATTGCTGGGTCAAATGGTATTTCTGGTTCTAGATCCTTGAGGAATCGCCATACTTGTCTTCCACAATGGTTGAACCCCGGAGGTGAAGGTTGCAGTGAGCCGAGATTACGCCACTGCACTCTAGCCTGGGTGACGGAGCGAGACTCTCGTCTCTCAAAAAAAAAAAAAAAAAATTTATTCTTCTGTTTCCTCTGTGTATTTTCAAATAGCCTGTCTTCAAGCTCACCATTTATTTCTTCTGCTTGATCAATTCTGCTATTAAGAGACTGATGCATTCTTCAGTATGTCAGTTGCATTTTCGAGCTCCGGAATTTCCGCCTGATTCTTTTTAATTATTTCCATTTCTTTGTTAAATTTATCTAATATTATTCTAAATTCCTCTTCTGCATTATCCTGAATTTCTTGAATTTCGTTGAGTTTCCTCAAAACAGCTATTTTGAATTGTCTATCTGATAGTTCACATATCTCTGTGTCTTCAGGATTGGTCCCTGGTGCCTTATTAAGTTCATTTGGTGTGGTCACGTTTTCCTTGATGGTCTTGATACTTGTGGATGTTCATCAGTGTCTGGGCATTGAAGAGTTAGGCATTTATTGTAGTCTTCACAGTCTGGGCTTGTTCGTATCTGTCCTCCTTGGAAAGGCTTTGCAGCTATTCAAAAGGATGTGGGTGTTGTGATCTAAACTGTTATCTGCATTGGGGGGGATTCCGTGCCCTGTGAACTGTGGTTCTAGCAGACTAATAGAGGTGCCACCTTGGTTGTCTTGGATAAGATCTGCAAGAATTCTTTGGATTAACAGATAGAGACTCTTGTTCTCTTCCCTTACTTTCTCCAAACAAATTGAGTCTCTCCGTTCTGAGCTACCTGGAACTGGGGGTATGGTGATGCAAGTACTCCTGTGGCCACCACCACAGGGACTGTGCTGGGTCAGACATGGAGCCAGCACAGCACTGGATGTCACCCAAGGCCTACTGTAACCCCCACGTGGCTACTGTATAGGTTTCCTGAAGGCCCTAGGACCCAGGTGGCATGGTCAGCCAGGCTTTTGTCCTTCTCTTCACAGTGGACCTTTCTCTCTTTCTAACCCATTACACTTAGGTTACACCTTTTGTGATTGTGCCACAGTTATTGGATATTCTAGGGGAGTCTGAGGTGCCTTTTTTTTTCTTTTTGGTCTTTTTTCTCTTTGCGTTTCAGTTTTGGAAGTTTTATTGACATACCCTCAAACTCAGAGATTCTTTCCTCAGCTATGTCCAGCCTACTAGTTAGTTCATCAAAGGCATTCTTCATCTTCGTTACAGTTTATTTGATCTCTAGCATTTCTGTTTGGTTCTTTCTGAGAATTTCCATATCTTCTCTATTTACCTTACCCATCTGACTTAAGCAATCCTCCCACCTCAGCCTCCTGAGTAGCTGGCTGGTTCCACAGGCGCATGCCACTATGGCCGGCTAATTTTTGTATTTTTTGTAGATAACAGTGTTTTGCCCTGTTGCCCAGGCTAGTCTTGAACTCTTGGGCTCAAGCGATCTGCCTGCCTAGGCCTCCTAAATTGCTGGGATTATAGGGGTGAGCCACTGTGCCTGGCCATTACCCATCTGTTCTTGCATTTGACTACTTTTTCCATTAGAGGCTTTAGCATATTAATCATAGTTGTTTTAAATTCCTAGTCTGATAACTTCAACATTCCTGTCTTATCCGAGTCTGCTTCAGATGCTTGCTCATTTCTTCACACTGTGTTTTTTGTTGTCATTGTTTTTTTTGAGAGAGTCTCACTCTGTTGCCCAGGCTGGAGTGCAGTGGTGCGATCTTGGCTCACTGCAACCTCTGCCTCCCAAATTCGAGTGATTTTCCTGCCTCAGCCTCTGGAATAGCTGGGATTACTGGCATGTGCCACCACACCCGGCTAATTTTTGTATTTTTAGTAGAGACAGGGTTTTGCCATGTTGGCCAGGCTGGTCTCAAACTCCTGACCTTAGGTGATCCACCCGTCTCGGCCTCCCAAAGTGCTGAGATTTCAGGCATGAGCCTCCACACCCAGCCCACGATGTTTTGACTTTTATTATGCCTTGCAATTTTTTGTTGAAACCTAAACATGATGAGCTGGGTGAAAGAAACTCTGGTAAATAGGCCTTCTGTGGTGTGGTAGTAAGAAGTGTGGGGAGGGAAAGCATTCTGTAGTCCTATAATCATCTGTCTTTTTAGGAGCCTGTGCCCCTGGACTATCAACTTCACCCCAGTTCTCAGTTTTTCCCCCACTTAGGTGGAACAGAATGGCTAGAGGCGGCTGGAATTAGGTATTTTCCTTTTGCCAGGTAGAGTAGGCTTTGATAAAATAGTTTCTCCTGAGGCAGCCCTTGTTAAGAAGAACTAGCATATTTCAAAATGGTTCCTTTTTCCTTACCCTTGCTGGAAGCATGAGATAATTTTTCTCTGATATTTACTGTAAGAACCTAAGAGACCTCCTGGAGGTAAACTCAAAAAAGTGTGAGGATCGTCCTATGACTGGGTCCCCCGGAGTTGTGGTTTTGTTTATTTGTTTGTTTTTTTGATACAGGGTCTTACTCTGTTGCCCAGGCTGGAGTGCAGTCATATGATCTCAGCTCACTGCAGCTTCCTGGATATAAGCAATTCCTGTGTCTCACCCTCCCTAGTAGCTGGGACTACAGGCAAGTGTCACCAAACCCGGCTATTTTTTATATTTTTAATAGAGATGGGATTTCACTATGTTGATCAGGCTGATCCCGAACGCCTGACCTCAAGTGATCTGCCCACCTAGGCCTCCTAAATTGCTGGGATTACAGGCATGAGCCACCACACCCAGCCCCCTGGAGTTTTTAAGTCTAAAACGTGTTCACACTGAGCCTCCAACAAGTCATCAATTACTGTAAAGTTTTTATGCTCCCAAACTGGTAGCTCAGAAGGTTTTTGCTCATGGGTTTCTGCTTTGGTAAATTGTGATTCTCTGTATTCACCCATCTGTCTCTGCAGTTTGACAGGCAGTGGTTTGCACTGTGACCTCACTTCTCTGATTGATCTAAGAACAGTTGTTGATTTTTCAGTTTGCTCAGCTTTTTGTTTGTTGTTAGGATGGAGTGGCAGCTTCTAAGCTGTTTACATGCCAGACTAAAAACTGGAAGTCTTGGGCAGGGCACAGTGGTTCATGCCTGTAATCCCAGCACTTTGGGAGGCCGAGGTGGTGGATCACTTGAGTTCAAGAGTTCGAGACCAGCCTGGACAACATGGTGAAATCCCCCATCTCTACCAAAAATACAGAAAAGTTAGCCGGTGTGGTGGCACACGCCTGTAGTCCCACCTACTTGGGAGGCTGAGGCGAGAGGATCGTTTGAGCCTGGGAGGTGGAGGTTGCAGTGAGCCGAGATCACGCCACTGTATTCCAACCTGGGTAACACAGTGAGACCCCACATCAAAAGGAAGAAAAAAAAGAAATTGGAAGTCTTACAAGAGTATTTTTTTCAGCAAAAGATTTTTTTGCACACATTCTGGATTATGATTATAATGATAGCATTATCAATCATTGAATTTCAAATGACCTATAGTGGATTTTTAAGAATTTTATTATCTTTACAAAGAGACTTTTATTCTTAAACTAACTTCAATTGTCTCTTCTATTTTTATTTGATAAGATGTACAATTTATAGGCAGTGATTAAAAGGTTGGAGGTCCTTTGTTGTTTTTGTTAAGATAATTGAGGGATATTAAAATGAAGGAAGTGAAAATGTCTGAGTATCAATATAGATACACATACAAAGTAGGATAAGTAATGTACTCTAAAGTTGTCAAAGGCCTTGAAATTTTTTTGATTCTATCCCATTTAGGTCAAAATTAGAAAATTTTCCTCAAAAGAAAGTGATTCTGAAAACAATATGCTTTTGCTTTTTTTTTTTTGAGATGGAGTCTCACTGTATTGCTAGCTAGAGTGCAGTGGTATGAGCTCAGCTCACGGCAACCTCAGCCTCCCAGGTTCAAGCGATTCTCCTGTCTCAGCCTCCGGAGTAGCTGGGACTACAGGTGCAGGCCACCACGCCCAGCTAATTTTTTGTATTTTAAATAGAGATAGGGTTTCACCATGTTGGCCAGGATGGTATCAATCTCCTGACCTCTTGATCTGCCCGCCTCACCTCCTAAAGTGCTGGGATTACAGGCGTGAGCCACCGCGCCTGGCCACAATGTGCTTTTGCTTTTTAAAATTAAGTTGCTGATTGTATGCCAGCCATGATCAGAGATGGCTGTTAGCTTGAGAACTGTTTAGTTTAGGACCCCTTTACACTCTTAAGAATTATTGAGTTCCTCCAAGAGCTTTTGTTTATGAGGATTTTATCTATAGATATCTGCCATATTAGAAATTAACACTAATTTTAATTTAGTTTAATGTTTAAATTTTTTAATTTATTACAAAATAACAACAAAATTGTTAACATAAATAACATTTTAAATGAAAAATAACTTTATTTTCCTAATCAAAAGAATTTCAAAAAGAATGATATTGTTTTGCATTTTTATTTTTATTTTTGAGACAGAGTCTTGCTTTCTCACCCAGGCTGGAGTGCAGTGGCATGATCTCGGCTCACTGCATCTTCCACCTCCCAGATTCAAGCAATTCTTCTGCTTCCACCTCCCAAGTAGCTGGAATTACAGGCGCCCACCACCATGCCTGGCTAATTTTTCTATTTTTTTAGTAGAGACGGGGTTTCACCATGTCGATCAGGCTGGTCTCGAACTCCTGACCTCAAGTGATCCGCCCACCTCAGCCTCCCAAAATACTGGGATTATAGGCATGAGACACTGCGCCAGGCCGACTTAAGTGAAGAAAATCTGGCCTCACACAGATACATAGTTAGAAAAGAGAGTTCCTTAAGGAGCCCCTGAAAAGGTCTCCAGGTACCCACGGGGCTTGGAACTATACTTTGATACACTGAGAAACTCTGCTTATAGTACAACTAATTAATGTGTTTCAGAGACTCTTTTTGTTGTTACTGCTCTAAGTAGGATAAAAGTATGGTTTGAAACATAAATAAGTAAATCAAAGTGGATATTATAGTATTTTATTAAATGGCATATATATACGAAATATAGGCTGGGTGGGTGCGGTGCCTCACGCCTGTGATCCCAGCACTTTGAGAGGCCGAGGCGGGTGGATCACCTGAGGTCAGGAGTTCGAGACCAGCCTGGCCAACATGGTGAAATCCCATCTCTACTAAAAAATACAAAAATCAGCCGGGCGTGGTGGCAGGTGCCTTAGTCCCAGCTACTTGGGAGGCAGAGGCAGGAGAATCGTTTGGACTCGGGAGGCGGAGGTTGCAGTGAGCCGAGATCGAGCCAGTGCACTCAAGCCTGGGGGACAAGAGCGAGACTTCTCTCGAACAAACAAAAAACAAAAACGATGATAGAAGGGTAATGTAGCTGGAAGGAGGACACAGCCAGGAATTGAAGCTGGAAAGGCAAGCTGGGTCTGGACCATGCTGGGTCTTCTTGCACAGCACTGTGATATGAATTTTTTTTTTTTTTTTTTTTTTTTTTTGAGACGGAGTTTCGTTCTTGTTGCCCAGGCTGGAGTGCAATGGTGCCCTTTTGGCTCACTGTAACCTCCGCCTCCCGGCTTCAAGAGTTTCTCCTGCCTGAGCCTCCCAAGTAGCTGGGATTACAGGCGCCGGCCACCAAGCCTGTGTAATTTTTTTGTATTTTCAGTAGAGACAGAGTTTCGCCATTTTGGCCAGGCTGGTCTCGAACTCCTGGCCTCAGGTGATCCGCCTGCCTCGGCCTTCCAAAGTGTTGGGATTACAGGCGTGAGCCACCGCGCCCAGCCGAGATATTAATTTTGGATTCTACTAAGGACGACGGGAGCCAGCTCAAGGTTTTTAAGTGACTCGATCAGATTCACGAGGTTGGTTCACAAGGAACTTCGATAACCCCAAAGTCTAGTGAGCATAATTCGACTGGGAGAAGACACTGCTGCAAGGAATTCTGTGAACCAGACAGATTTGAGGGCACCAACCAGGGTGGATGGCAGATAAGGTCTTAACAGCCTCAAGGTGATTTGCTTCCTTGTTGAAGGCTTTAATTAATCCTCTTAAGTAACTTTCAAGTTCTTGAGTTCAAGTAAACACACTGGCACACTAGGGGAGGAGTGGCAGGCTATAAGCATTTTAATAATTAAAAAAAAAAAGCCTTTTATTGTTCAAAGTGTTCCTTTTCTATGGAGTGCTCCCAACCAGAAGATGAGGGAAATGGAGATAATGAAGCACGTCCCTCCTACCAAACACGATAAATTCTACAGGCACTGTAAGATCAAGAATTTAAGATTATTTTTGTCCCACCCTATTTTACAGGTGAGGTATCAAGCACAGTAACTCGTAATTTTCTTTTGGCCCAATTGAAAGGTATCATATAAGAGAAAGCTGTGTGTGCGTGAAAAGGATCCGCCTTTCTTTCTGAAGAAAAGGGTGGTTACGGCTTCGGAAACGCTTTTCAAGCCAACTCTGCAGCCCGGCTGGCGGCGGCAGCGGCGGCGGCGGCAACGTCAGATTCCCGCAGAGGCGGCGCCCGGCAGGGGCGGCAGGAGCTCAGGAGAGGCCCCCGGGGATCGGGCTGGGCCCCACGTGAGAGCTAAGCGACTGCCCTCGCGCCCGCAGAACAGCAGGGCCTGCATCGACTCTAAGGCGAGACCAGAAACTTGCTAGTGGAGCAATTCTGGTGCCCCTGCCCGGGCTGTGAACCCTCTGAGATCATCCCTCAATCAAACGAATAGAAATCCTCGGGAAGAAAAAAAAAATTGCGGCAATCCGGCTAAAATTCAGCAGCTTTCAGGGACCGATTCAGGACATTATCCCTGTGGTTCCCTCAGTGAAAGGAGACTCGAAGCGCGACTAGAAGTCGCCGGGCCCCATAGATCTGCGGTGCCCAGGCCGTAGGCGGAGGCGCGGGCAGAGGCGGCGGCGGCGGCGGCGGCGGCTGGAGGACCCGGCGCTGGGGGCGCTGAGCGGCAGCCTCGCTTCCGGAGCTCGGCGGGCGGCGTCAGCGGAACGGGCGGCTTCCGGCCGCGGCGTAAACAAGGCCGTGGACTGCAGGAGGCGGGGCAGACGGGCTGCAATAGGGAGCCGGCCCGACGCGGACCGCTTCCCTGCAGTGCCCCGAGTCCCGGGCCCGCGCCGCCGCCGCCCGGCTCCGCTCGCGGCCCCTCTGTCTGCAGGCGTGCCCCGGCGGCGGCGGAGAGCCGTCCTCGGCCGAGGAGGCTGGGAAACGCGAGCGCAGGCGGCAGAGAGGCCTCAACGCCGTCCCTTTCGCCACCGCCTTTTCCTTGCCTCGCGCCGCTGTGCATTTCTCTCCTTTTCCTTTGTTTTTTTGGCCCCTCGCGGGTGTGGGCATTGTTGGTTAGCAAAAGTGCAGCCTCAAGATGGCTGATGGCAACGAGGATCTGCGGGCTGACGACTTGCCTGGGCCAGCCTTCGAGAGCTATGAGTCCATGGAGCTTGCCTGCCCCGCTGAGCGCAGCGGCCACGTAGCCGTCAGCGACGGGCGCCACATGTTCGTCTGGGGCGGCTACAAGGTCAGTGAGTGGCCGGGCCGCGACGGACGTCGCTCGGCTGTGACTCGGGTCTGCGTTCGCGGCCAGGCGGGGAGGCCAGAGCGGGCCGCCGAGGGCGCTCCCCGCCTGCGTCGCGCGCCCCACCTCAGACTCTGCCCGTTGGTTGTTTTTTTTTTGCGCGCGGGAATCTTCCTTCTCTCGAGTACCCCAACCCGTCTCGAACCTCCAGGGCTGCTGTCATGTCACCCTGGTGCTCACAAAGCCAACTCACTCCCACCCCCGTTGTTGCCATTGGAGCGTTATTCCGGGGAAGGCCCTGTTAATGTTGCTTGGGCGGTGCATTCGGAAGGGTTGGGGTGTGAAAGGTGACGGTGTGTGATATCACTCAGACGCGTTATGAGGACGGCCTACGAGGACTTCACCCTCTGGAGCTGGGAACCGCTGCCCACTTACAGGGAGGCCGAGGTGTAGGAAAACTGGAATTCCAAAAGGTTACAGGAACCACCTTATTCAGCCTTCCCGCCTGTGCAAATGGCCATCAGGACTGTTTTCCTTCTGGCTTCAGCTGGGTTGAAGTTTTTCAGCAGACACCCCTATTAAGATAATGGAAAAGCTCCACCAGTAACCAAAAAATCCCCAGCATCAAATGAACTACAGAGTGCAGCTCTTTGACTCTCCGATCCCCTGGTTATAAACAACGTGATTAGTTAGCAGTTTAAAGCCAGTTGCCATTCTTTACCCTGCTAACCTCGGAAATCTAGAATTTTATTTGCTAGGATGGCTCTGAGCCAGTCCTACCACAAAATTCCTCTTTGGTCTTGAAAATGTTCTCCGCCCTCCCCACGCCCGTGCCTTGGATGACTTGCTTTGTGATTGTTTTTAGCTTATGGTACAGCTGACTTGATCATAGTTGACCATTTTTGAGATAGCTTTCAAAGATGGCTGTCCTGATACTTTATTTTGGTTTAACTGCAAAAGTAATTTTTTGCCAATCCTAATGAATCTGCAGTGTTTTCCCCAGTTTCCAATGAATGTGGTTAGAAAATAGAAAGGGGGCCGGGCGCGGTGGCTCACGCCTGTAATCCTAGCACTTTGGGAGGCCAAGGTAGGTGGATCAGCTGAAGTCAGGAGCTCGAGACCAGCCTGGCCAACATAGTGAAACTCCGTCTCTACTAAAAATACAAAAAAAAAAATTAGCCTGGCGTGGTGACGGGCGCCCTAATCCCGTCTACTTGAGAGGCTAAGGCAGGAGAATCACTTGAACCAGGGAGGCGGAGTTTGCAGTGAGCTGAGACGGCGCCATTGCACTCCAGCCTGGGCAACAAGAAGGAAACTGTCTCAAAAATACTTTAGAAAGGGGTAGAGAATTGCAAGAAGGGGGGCGGGGGGGCAAGCATGTAGTCACCCTTATAAAAATGTAAATTAATTCCCCTGGAGAAACCTGTCAATGACACTTCTAAGCTACCTAATTCATAATTGTATTTTTAAAATGACAGCATGAGAGAATAAGACTTTGGGAGTGGGGCAGGGGAGGATTCTTAGTGTGGAATATTTCTTGTGGATTTAAAAGGGCCTGGATGATTGGGGCCGATTCAGGGAGGAGCAGCACAATCACTGAATTGGATGGTTCTGAAACAGACTGCCCTCCCCATTTATGGCTGGTGGCTGGAACCCTGAGGGTAGGCACAGAAGTCCTTGGAGATTGTTTCAAAGGCAATAAACCTTGGCTTCCTACATAGTAGGCAGTTTTCCTCCCCAGGACAGGCTGGTCCCCTGTGGGTCAGCCCGCTTCCAGCCTTTCCCTTCATCACTGGTGGGGTGGAAAAAGAAGTTGTTTTACGTGGTCAACTGTTCTGTTTCTGTATGTTTAATATTCAAGCTTGCTGGACTTTGACACCCATTTTTGGCTAACCGCAGTCGTTTACTGTGTCAACATTGTTCAGAAAGTGGCTAGGGAGGGTCAAAGGCTGGGAATGTCAGGCAGTTGTTAAAGTTCAGGGAAAGGATAGAATCCTGGCTCCATCATTACTTCATAAATAACCTTGGGCAAATTACTTAAACTCTAAACTTGTTTTCTCATAACATCAGCTACTTTTTAGGGTTGTTGTGAGGATTAAATAAAGCAATCCATGGATAGCTTTCAGCTGTGGCATATGGTAGGCTCAGTCTGTGTTAGGAATTAATACCTGAAGGGAAATGGAGCAGAACAAAGAACTTAAAATTCTGCATAAGGATTTAATATTTTGCATATTTGCAGTTCTGCCCTCTCTATTGCTGCTTAGAGAATGGATAGGTGAAAGGAAGGCATGGCTAGAAAACCACGCATCGTGTTAGCGTGGATCAGGCACTTTCAGTAACAGCCTGCTGACCATGGCACAGGCAGTCTCCTGAAGTCATGCAGCTGAAATTTGGTGCATGGTTCTGTTCAGGATAAAGCTGCCTTAGAGAGTTCCCAGAGATCTCTTGGCTGGGCACAATGGCTCACAGCCTGTAATCCCAGCACTTTGGGAGGCTGAGGTGGGTGGATTGCTTGAGGTTGGGAGTTTGAGACCAGCCTGGCCAACATGGTGAAACCCTGTCTCTACTAAAAATACAAAAATTAGCCAGGCGTGATGGCGAGTGCGTGCAGTCCCAGCTACTTAGGAGGCTGAGGCAGGAGAATCACTTGAACCCAGGAGGTGGACATTGCAGTGAGCCAGCCAAGATTGCGCCACTGCACTCCATCCTGAGCAATAGAGACTTGGACTAAAAAAAAAAAAGTTCCCAGAGATCTCTTCTTGTCCTATTGCAACTGCTGTATCAAAATTCTGAATTAAGAGCTATCTATGTTGAGCTTTACCTTGAGTGTGTGGCATGGGTGGGGGAGGATTGTGCACTGTAATACCTATTTTTCATACTAATTATGAAATTAGTATCTCAAGATCGATTTAAAAAATACAGTAGTGCCTCTTTAAAATACCAGTTTTTATATTTACAATTTTTTTTATTCTTAGAGTAATCAAGTCAGAGGATTATATGACTTTTATCTGCCTAGAGAAGAACTATGGATCTACAACATGGAGACTGGAAGATGGTAAATGTGGATATTATAAGGGGGACTAAAAAATTCAGATAAGGGCTGGGCACGGTGGCTGGCTCATGCCTATAATCCCAGCACTTTGGGAGGCCAACGCGGGCGGATCTCTCGAGGTCAAGAGTTCAACACCAGGCTGGGGTGAAACCCCATCTCTATTAAAAATACAAAAATTAGCCAGGCATGGTGGCGTGCTAATTCCAGCTACTTGGGAGTCCGAGGTGGGAGAATCGCTTGAATCTGGGAGGCGGAGGTTGCAGTGAGCTGAGATCGAGCCACTGCACTCCAGTCTGGGTGACAGAGCAAAACTGTCTCCAAAAACAAACAAATCAGATATGGCTGCAAAGAAAAAAATGTAAAACACTTTCTAAGCTACTTATATATTCTAAAAACACTGTTCTGCTACTTTAGCTTAGCTGCTAAGCTTAATTTAGCACCTGTTCTGTAGTTACTAGATACTTTTATGAACTTAGAATAAATTTCTATCTCAAGTATCATAGTAATATTTAAAATAGATGTAGAGGCTTCAGATCCAGAATGGAAAAATAAGTGTTCCATTTTTTTCAAGATGTTAAGTCTTCTGTTATATGATCTCTTGAATAAGGAAAGGAATTTATAAATGGTTAAATTGTTAGATTTTAGATTGTATAGAATTTTATCTGCTAAAAATAAAGGTGGTATTCTATTTTAATAAGCTCTCAAAATTTGCATGCAAATCTTTTTAAAAATAGTGTTGTTCTGTTTAAAAACCAAAATGACCTCCAGTTTGCCCTTTTTGTAAACTGGAGATAATCTGAAATGATCTTTTGCAGTTTCATAACAGTAGTAGTCAAGAGCATGTCCCTGGTAGAATCAAGGTGTTTCTCAAAATGCTGGGTTAGCCATGGTTGCGGATTTACAAAGTAGTTTTCCCCATGGTGTGCTTTGTGAGAACTTTATGCTTTAAATATTTTACTTACTGTAGATCTCAGAATTAGCGTAGTAGTCCCACTTAACAGTTAGGCTGGATGCTGTGGCTCACGCCTGTAATCCCAGCACTTTGGGAGGCCGAGGCAGGCAGCTCACCTTAGGTGAGGAGTTCAAGACCAGCCTGGCCAACATGGTGAAACCCCATCTCTACAAAAATACAAAAATTAGCCAGGCATGATGGCAGGTGCCTATAATCCCAGCTACTAGGGAGGCTGAGGCAGGAGAATCACCTGAACCCGGGAGGCAGAGGTTGCAGTGAACTGAGATCATGCCATTGCACTCCAGCCTGGGTAATACAGTGAGACTCCCTCTCAAAAAACAAAAACATTTAACAGTTACAAACTAAAAATAAGTCATGATTATTTCTGTATATAACAAATTGGTGTTAATATGAAGCTGTTTCTTAATCTTTTTCTAGAGAATTGGAAATTTATAATTGTATTCTCTTAAAAGCAGAATGCTACATATTTTTAAAGATAATTTTTAAGGGGCCGGGCACGGTGGCTCACACCTGTAATCCCAGCACTTTGGGAAGCCGAGGCAGGTGGATCATGAGGTCAGGAGATCCAGACCATCCTGGCTAACATGGTGAAACCCTGTCTCTACTAAAAAATACAAAAAATTAGCCGGGCGTGGAGGCACGCGCCTGTAGTCCCAGCTACTCGGGAGGCTGAGGCAGAAGAATGGCGTGAACCCGGAAGGCAGAGCTTGCAGTGAGCAGAGATCGCGCCACTGCACTCCAGCCTGGGCGAAAGAGTCAGACTCCATCTCAAAAAAAAAAAAAAAAAAATTTAAGGCCAGGTATGGTGGCTCACACCTGTAATCCTAGCACTTTGGGAGGCCGAGGTGGGAGGATCACTTGAGCCCAGGAGTTCAAGACCAGCCTGAGCAATACAGTGAGACCCTGTTTCTATTTAAAAATAATAACTTTTTTTTTTTTTTTTTTTTTAATGAGAGGGAGTCTCACTCTGTCGCCCAGGCTGGAGTGCAGTGGCGCAATCTCGACTCGCTGCAAGCTCCGCCTCCTGGCTTCACACCATTCTGTTGCCTCAGCCCCCTGAGTAGCTGGGACTACAGGCGCCCGCCACCACGCCTGGCTAATTTTTTGTATTTTTAGTAGAGATAGGGTTTCACCATGTTAAACAGTATGGTCTCGATTTCTTGACCTTGTGATCCACCTGCCTCAGCCTCCCAAAGTGCTGGGATTACAGGCATGAGCCACCGCGCCCAGCCAAAAATAGTAACTTTTAAAAAAATGAGCCTTCTAAAACTTTTAAGTTTAGCAAAGATAAATATTATTATATCTGACAGTTTTAGCAGAAGACCTTGAGTATACTATTAGAATTTTAAATCTTAGATTCCTTAGGTTGATTCAGATCAATTTTTAGATTCAGAATGAGTTAATACATACAAAGCACTCAGGAATGCCTGGCACATGGCACTACCTGTTTGTAGTGTTACATAAAGGACTGAATCTGATGCATATGAACAGCTAAAAGGGGACTGAAGAAAAAACACTGAATTAATCTATCAGCACTGGGAATGTTGAGGTTTTCCTTCTGGGCTCCTGGCCCACTCAAAAGCAAAACAACTTATGGCCATGTAAATAAATAGCAAACAATTTAGTCTGAGAAACATAAAATGGTATGCTCCTAGAATAATAAAATATGACTTAGGCTTTCAGAATCTCTCATGCCTGTACACATGGGGCCAGCTGGCACTGTTTGTGGAATGGGTAAAGAGGGAAAAGCACATTCCTTGAATTAAGGTTAGACCTAGGAGAGATCCTAGCGGCACTGTCTACTCTGCCTTCTCATTTTATTCCTTTATTGTGAGGATATAAGTAGAAGAAGAAAAATTAATAGACTTTTGCATTTCTTCCCTTTAACTTACATACATTTAATTTATTCCCCCTCAGGAAAAAAATCAACACTGAAGGTGATGTTCCTCCTTCTATGTCAGGAAGCTGTGCTGTGTGTGTAGACAGGGTGCTGTACTTGTTTGGAGGACACCATTCAAGAGGCAATACCAATAAGGTTAGTGTTTCTAAGGATTATGGCTTGAGGCATTTTTATTCTTATTATCTTTCAAACAACTGCAAATTTCTAAGGTTAGCCCCAGACTTATTTGTGTCACAGTTAAAAATGATGTGTACTTGATTATGATATGAATGTGCATTTTAGTATTTTGTGTGCCAATCTGTATTTACCTAGGCATTATGTAAAATCAACTTTTGTTGGTAACCTGTGTGCAGTAACTTCCTGGGTGGTTTTTCTTTGTGCTTTTTGCAGCTACTTGTTCTCTTAGAACCTTAAATGTTAGATGAACATTAGTAATAAAATTGCAGACAAAATGAAGACAAGATGTAATGGAGGGAAGGGTAAAAATGAGCAGGCAACCAGTCAGAAAGCTGTAAGGATAAATTAAAACTGACAAAACTTTACATGTTAACATTCCTATAAAGTGGTGCCCAAAGACAATGCTGTTCAGACTTTGCCGTATTTTGTTCCAAGTAGGAAAAAATATATCACTTCTTCTCTTTCAGACCAATAAGAGACAGATTAAGTCAATCAGAAATGATACATATGACATATATTAGCGCTTACTGAGTTGCCAAATAAATGAATCCATAGGAGTCTATTAAGTTGGCAACTTAGTAAGCACTTTATGTGCTGAGCACTTGGCTGGACACTGGAGACAGAAAGAATGATATAGTTCTCACCTCCTGGAACTCACATTCTAGAAGGGACACATATAGTAAGTAAACCACTGCAGTAGCACCTGCTAGAGAGATACACAGCACCTGGCATATAGAAAATAACTCAGTAAGTATTGTTGAAACTGAAAACTTTGACATTGTATTTGGTGGGATGAGGGAACAGAACAAGGAAAATCTTGACCGAAGAGGTGATGCTTGAACTGAATAATAAAATTGGAAGGAGTAGCCAAGATACAGAGATATAAGCAAATGTCTTTTTTTTTTTTTTTTTTTTTTTCGGATGGGGACAGAGTCTCGCTCTGTCGCCCAGGCTGGAGTGCAGTGGTGCAATCTTGGCTTACTGCAATCTCCGCCTCCCAGGTTCAAGTGATTCTCGTACCTCAGCCTCCTGAGTAGCTGGGATTACAGGCATGCATCACTACGCCCAGCTAATTTTTTTATTTTTAGTAGAGACAGGGTTTCGCCACGTTGGCCAGGCTGGTCTTAAACTCCTGACCTCAGGTGATCCACCTGCTTTGGCCTCCCAAAGTGCTGGGATTACAGGCATGAGCCACCGTGCCCGGCAGCAAATGTCTTAATTATGGAAATTCCAAGTGGATGGAATATGTGGCTGAGATGGTTTCAAACTATGTTCCTAGAAACTTTAGGGATTTGAGATGCCTTGGGACACCTGTGGGAGGAGCATATGGTGTTAGGTAGGCTCCAAGCTGCCCCTTCCTCCTCCATTTTAACAAGTGTAGCTCCACTTTTGTTTGTATACGTTGGGCTTTTGCTTAGTATTTTGCTTGAAGAAAGAGTTCTATGCCTGAAAGATTCTGTGAGGCACATCTATAGGCTATCATTGAGCCATATGTATTTCAGAGCCAAGGGGGAGAATAATAACTGACACAACTTAAAAGCTTGGGGGAGGAGACAAGCTGTGGTTTTATGGAGGTAGTTACAGAAACAGTAGTAGTTTGTCGAGTGGCTAGGGTTGTGTGTTTTAAGTTTGACTGAATGGAAGCTTGAGTGTCTCAGAGAAGTAAAAAATATATAGTGGTCAGATATATTCAGTTGCCTGGATGTGAACCCTTTAAAGGAAAGATGAATATTTAATCTTTTAAGTATTGATCCTTAATTAATCTCTTTAATCTTAAAGATTAAGTCAATTAACTCTTTAATCTTAGAGTTAAATAGACACCGAACATGTATTTGTTAAATTGAATTTAAAGGTAAAATTACTAAACCTATTTTTTTTGGGTAATACCATTCTGATACCCATAAAATAAATATCAGGGCTGGGTGTGGTAGCTTATGCTTATAATCCCAGCACTTTGGGAGGCCCAAGTGGGCACATCACTTGAGGCCAGGAGTTTGAGACCAGCCTGGCCAACATGACAAAAACTCGTCTCTACTAAAAATACAAAAATTAGCTGGGCATGTTGGTGCGTGCCTGTAATCCTAGCTAGTCGGGTGGCTGAGGTACAAGAATTGCTTGAACCCAGGGCAGAAATTGCAGTGAGCCGAGATCATGCCACTGCACTCCAGCCTGGGTGACAGAGCGAGATTCTGTCCCCACCAAAAAAAAAGAAATATATATATATATATATGGCTATCAGCACAATTTTGCAATTGCAAAAATATGGAACCAGACC
Organism: Homo sapiens; assembly: GCF_000001405.40. Lineage (NCBI taxonomy): Eukaryota > Metazoa > Chordata > Mammalia > Primates > Hominidae > Homo > Homo sapiens. The sequence goes on from NC_000014.9 coordinate 49,776,996, forward strand.
AAATGCCCACCAATCAACAAGTGGATAAAGGAAATGTGGTGCATATATATACCAGGGAATACTACTCCGCCATAAGAAGGAACAAAATAATGGCATTTGCAGCAACCTGGATGGAACTGGAGACCATTATTCTAAGTGAAGTAACTCAGGAATGGAAAACCAAACACCATATGTTCTCACTCATAAGTGGGAGCTAAGCTATGAGGATGCAAAGGCATAAGTATGATACAGTGGACTTTGGGGACTCAGGGGTAAAGGGTGATAGATGGGTGAGGGATAAAAGACTACACATTGGGTACAGTGTACACTGCTTGGGTGATGAGTGCACCAAAATCTCAGAAATCACCACAAAAGAACTTATCCATGTAACCAAACACCACCTGTTCCCCCAAAACCTATTGAGATAAAAAATAAAAAAATAAAAATGGGAAAAGAAAATGTACGGCTGTCTTAGCCAGGTATGGTGGTACATGGCTGTAGTCCATCTATGTGGGAAGCTAAGGTGGGAAGATGACTTAAGCCCAGGAGTTTAGGTTACAGTAATCTATGATTGTGCCACTGCACTCCAGCCTGGCAAGAGAGACCCTGTCTCTTAAAAAAAAAAAGTGTGACTATGAAAAAAAAAATTAGTTGAGCTAACAGCGTGCTTAGTGACTTAGGAAGTTGGTATTCAGTCACAGAATCCTCATCTGGACTCTGAGCAGTCTGGCAGCCAGTCTGCAGTCACAATTTCAGTAGCACTGAATTAGATGGCACTCTTATCATAAATCATAGTAAAATTAAATGCTAAACTTGAATTTCTTTCATAAAACCAACTCTAACTGAAATCATTGCTTCTGACAGTTCTACATGCTGGATTCAAGGTCTACAGACAGAGTGTTACAGTGGGAAAGAATTGATTGCCAAGGAATTCCTCCATCATCAAAGGACAAACTTGGTGTCTGGGTATATAAAAACAAGTAAGTTGGCAGCACTACAGGTTTGGGTTTTTATGTGTAAAGTGGTTTACCATTCAGGTATCCTTAGCCAGTAAACATTTGCACAGAACATACCTCATAGGGCCCATATGAAGATTAACTGAATTAATACATGAAAGCATTTAACACAGCACCTAAGATAAACTGCTTGTATCCTATCCTATGGGTATTTGAATTTTTAGTGTCTTGGTTTTTCATCCAACAGGTTAATATTTTTTGGAGGGTATGGATATTTGCCTGAAGATAAAGTATTGGGAACTTTTGAATTCGATGAAACATCTTTTTGGGTAAGTGAAGTTTCATATTTGCATATGGCCTCCTTAGTATGTTGAAATAATACATTTTATAAGTTTTGTGCATTTTTCTTTGGTAATCAGGCAGGCTGTCTAATTTTATAAATATCATTTCTAAAATAACGCGGATTCTTATTTTCTGTAGAATTCAAGTCATCCAAGAGGATGGAATGATCATGTACATATTTTAGATACTGAAACATTTACCTGGAGCCAGCCTATAACTACTGTGAGTTACTAAAGAATAATGAATTGTTAAGGATACTTAGAGGCAGTGGGGAGGGGTGGGGTAGGGGAGAGGGGTGCACCAGAGTTGGAAGATACTGTGAAAGTGACAGTTCATTCTTGTTTTCTGGGGAGAAGATCCATAACTTTAATGATTTCCAAGGACTCTAGAACTCAGAAGTTTAATGAATGTATGAAATGACTAACCCAGCATCTATTACCTAATAATCTAATACTTTTTTTTTTTTTTTGAGACAGAGTCTCGCACTGTTGCCTGGGCTGGAGTGCAGTGGCGGGATCTCTGCTTACTGCAATCTCCACCTCCCAGGTTCAAGCGATTCTCCTGCCTCAGCCTCCTGAGTATCTGGGATTACAGATGCCCGCAACCACGCCCAGCTAATTTTTTTGTATTTTTAGTAGAGACGGGTTTCATCACATTGGCCAGGCTGGTCTTGAACTCCTGATCTTGTGATTTGCCCACCTCGGCCTCCCAAAGTGTTGGGATTACAGGCATGAGCCACCGTGCCCAACCTATCTAATACACTTTACGTGGTAGAAGTGTTTCAGATTTTGGAATATTTGCATTATATACTTAACAGTCAACTATCTCTAATCCAAAGATCCGAAATGCTCCAATGAGCATTTCCTTTCAGCATCATGTTGGCACTCAAATTTTCAGATTTGGAGCATCTCATATTTTGGATTTTCCGATTACAGATACTCAAACTGTAATTAAATAACTCTGCACTATACTGCAATTTGTATTACTTAAATATTAGATTTCTTTTCCCTCTGACACAGATAATTATATTTCTTTTCCCTTTGACGCAGATATTATATAATATGCCAGCCTTTATTTTAAAAGAGAAAAAATAAAGCAGCCTATTGTGTTAGCCAGCCCATTCAGTAACACATTTCAAAAATAGAAAATTAAAATGCCCAGTTTTGGTAGTCAGCTTGTAGTACAACTGTTGTCTAGAAGTCTACACTCCCAACTTTTAAAAGCTCAAGTGCCTTACATATTCTTATCCCATATCCAGAGTAGACATAGGTATTTTCCCTGTTTATAAAAAGTTCACTAACTTGCTTATGTGCCTCTAATAGGGTAAAGCACCTTCACCTCGTGCTGCCCATGCCTGTGCAACTGTCGGAAATAGAGGCTTCGTGTTTGGAGGCAGATATCGAGTAAGTATTCAAACGACTTCAATGACTTGCTTTTGAATTCTTCAAAATGATAACTTAATTATCCTTTTTTAGGATGCTAGAATGAATGATCTTCACTATCTTAATCTGGATACATGGGAGTGGAATGAATTGTAGGTATCACTTTAGATACATTTTTCCAAAATTCAGATTGTTTTTACCCTATATTCCCTACTATTGGTATATAATGTCCTTGCTTAACTTTTCTTTAACTATGAAATTAAATAAACATAATTACTAGGTCCTTAAGGAATGAATTTTATTTTTGTGTTTCCAGTTCCTGTAACTATGTGCCTAGTACATAGCATGTGCTCAGTGTTTGTTGAAAGGAAAAGGTCTGAAGTTGATTCTAACGTCAAAGAAAATATTTCAGTATAAAGCATGTAGTTTATACCAAGAAGCCTTTTTAAACTTAAGGTCTCTTTTTTCATAACATGTACATATAAATTTTAAAAGAAAACTTAAAAATACAGTAGCTGCTTCTAAATGCAGATATTGTAACTTAGCTATTATTTTCAGAATTCCACAAGGCATATGCCCAGTTGGTCGATCTTGGCACTCACTAACACCAGTTTCTTCAGATCATCTTTTTCTCTTTGGAGGATTTACCACTGATAAACAGCCACTAAGTAAGTCCTTGAAAAATATGATAATGAAATCATCATATATCATCCATATCTAATAGCTGAAAATGAGTCTATTAGAGACTGATGAGACGGCTTATAGGGTTGGTTGGAAGGTTTGAAATTAATTTTGATCCTGTAACATAGCTGTAATTGTACTATATGGCATACTTCTGTTCAATAAAGAACCTGGAGCACTTAAGAGCCCTGCTGAAGGGCTACAACATGCAAAGGGCTTACTTGGCTAATTGCAGGGGGGGGAAAAAAAAGAAAATATACTCTCTGTATCTGCTCATGATCTATTACCTTTCTTGCCAAAGCTGTGCCCTTTAAATGTCAATGTCATATTGACAGACTAACATACTTCATTTCTTTGCTTGAATCAGGTGATGCCTGGACTTACTGCATCAGTAAAAATGAATGGATACAATTTAATCATCCATATACCGAAAAACCAAGGTATTTAAAAGCAATTCATATACTGAATATGCATAAGACATAAGAATTGAGGTTTTGGCTGCATTATATCCAGCATTCTTATTTATAAAAATCTCAGCATTCACTAAGGTTTGAAATACTTCTCAAAGAAAAGAAAACCAATGTTATCCTAGTATCGAATGATCTCCTTTCCGTCATCTGTGCATGAAGAGTAGGGCTGGATTTTTATTTTTGCTTCTTCCTTCTGTTATAAAATTGACACATAGTTAAAATATACAATCAAGCTTTTCACTTCAATGAGTTGAACTGCATCTAAGTTTATTAAAAATGAGGGTCGGCCAGGCGTGGTGGCTCATGCCGGTAATCCCAGCACTTTAGGAGGCTGAGGCAGGTGGATCACCTGAGGTCAGGAGTTCCAGCCTGGCCAACATGGTGAAACCCCGTCTCTAGTAAAAATGCAAAATTAGCTGGGCGTGGTGGCGTATGCCTGTATAATCCCAGCTACTTGAGAGGCTGAGGCAGGACAATTGCCTGAACCAGGAAGGCAGAGGTTGCAGTGAGCTGAGATCGTGCCTTTGCACTCCAGCTTGGGCAACAAGAGTGAAACTCTGTCTCAAAAAAAAAAAAAAAAGGGGGTAGAGGTGCTGGAATGGGTAAAATGTTTAAACCTTAATCACATGGGAGGCGAGGTACAGTGGGATTACAGGATTACAGCTGTAATCCCAGCACTTCTGGAGGCTGAGGCAGGCAGAGTGCTTTAACCCAGGCATTCAAGACCAGCTTGGGCAACTTGGCAAAACCCCATCTCTACAAATAATAGAAAAATTAGCTAGGTGTGGTAGCATATGCCTGTAGTCCCAGCTATTCAGGAGGCAGAGGATGTAGTGAGCTGAGATTGCACCACTGCACTCCAGCCTGGGTGATAGAGCAAGACTCTGTCTCTTAAAAAAAAAAAAAATACATGGGGAAAAAACAAGAACTGTCAATTAGACTTGCAGTAGCACTGTATAACAAAGATGAAGAAATCAAATCATCCAAAAAAAGCTTATTAAACACTGATAATTTTCTCTTGTTAATCTCAGAACAAAATGCTAAAGGAAATGATACAGTCAAAATTCATGTTCAAAGCCTGCATTTTTTCCCCAAGTATCTAAACCAAGTATAGTCATGCAAGTAAGACTTCATTTGCACAAATGATCTCTCCATAAAACTACCAGGCTTTCTGAGACTTTATAGTTTACTCAAGCAGGGCTTTCACCATCCCTCAGACGTTCTGTGTAAGGCCAGTTGGCCCTACCTATGGAAGAAGAAGGCATATACTACTCAGCTCCCATACGATTTTTATTGCTAACAAAGACCTAGAGAACAGATCGTTCAGTTCAAACTCCTCATTGCATAAATGAGAACGACCAGAGAGAGAAAATAATATCCAGATAAAATAGATATTGATTGATCTGCTTTTGCTACTTTCCCTTAAGATTTTACTTCTCGCCATGATGTTTTGGTCTGAACTACCTTAAGATCGCTAGTCTTTATTTCATAGCTCTATTCTGTAGTATAAAATGGCCAACTGGTGTTCTGGGTGGCTTCAAACTCGTTTTTGTTTTAAATGCAGGTTATGGCACACAGCTTGTGCCAGCGATGAAGGAGAAGTAATTGTTTTTGGTGGATGTGCCAACAACTTGCTTGTCCATCACAGAGCTGTAAGTATACTACCTTCACATTATTACTGAAACTTACTTGCAAAGCATTTGCTTTTAAATGTGTTCTTCCTATTTATTTTTCAGGCACACAGTAATGAAATACTAATATTTTCAGTTCAACCAAAATCTCTTGTACGGTAAGTAACTTTGTACTTGGCACTTAGATTATTTAAAATTGTGTTTCCTAAGACTTAGCACTCTCGAAAAACTAGGTTTATGGATTATTTAAGGGCAATAAAACTTCATTGCTATAACCAGTTCCTATGAAAATCTTTGAAGAAAGAAAGAGGGATGTTTTATGTAGTTTTTCAAGTGAATGTACTTCCAAACAGTAAAGTGAAATTACTTTTCTCTTTCCTTGTCCACTTTCAGGCTAAGCTTAGAAGCAGTCATTTGCTTTAAAGAAATGTTAGCCAACTCATGGAACTGCCTTCCAAAACACTTACTTCACAGTGTTAATCAGAGGTTTGGTAGTAACAACACTTCTGGATCTTAAGGCTTCATAAATAATGCCTATGATCACCTTGCATGGACAGCAATCCTGTAAACATCACAGAGTGGCATCATTTGTATAATTATATGCATTGTTGTAGTTTGCACCTGTTGGTTTTAATGTGCATGTGAATGGCCTAGAGAACCTATTTTTGTGTCTAAAGTTTACAATAAATGTATTTAACACCAGTAGCTGTCCTCTATTAAAGTAAAGTAATGGTTGGGCTTTTTACCCTGAAGAATGGTTGCTACATTTTCTTTTCAGTAACTTCAGGATATGTATCTGTAGAAACATTATAGTCTTACCATCATCAAAATGCTGAAGTCATTTTTTGAAAACATTATAGATTTTTTTTTTTTTAATGGCAAGAGTAGTCTATAGTTATGTAACCTAGTGTTGTAAATACAATATAATAAAGGTTTTTTTTTTTAAACATTAATATTCACATTATGACGAAGCTGGAAAAACAAAGTGTGGAGGGACCAACAACTGTTCAGTACTTTGACCTTAATGCTTCAGTGTAGGGGCTGGAGCAAGTGGTCATGCTGAATACAGGCAGGTGCTGTCCAGTCAATTAAAAAGTTTTTTTTTAATTAATAGGTTTTATAGCTCATGAAGGAATGGAAATAATGATGACATCATTTTCCATTCTGTTAAGAGACAGAGGAAAAGTGGGTTAGAGTCTTTAGTGGTAAGCCTAAAATGCGCTTCTGGTATTATAGGTTAAGATACTCTAACGTGCTATATTGGTAATTAATTACTAAAGGTGGAAATTAAAATGGTACAGAACTGAATCAGATTACAAGGAAAAAATTAAGATCAAACCTGAAGGTCTACAAATGAATAGAAATGATTAAGCTGAGTCATGAGAATTATTACTTATATTTTACATTTTGGTCTAATATTTTTTTCTGACAAGTATCAATGAAAGCAGAAGAAAATCCACTCCAATACTTAGTTTTCAAGACACAATCCTAAATATTTAAACCCCTTGTAGCTGGCCTATAATATATATATATTAGATGTTATATACAGTAGACTTACCAAGTCAATAGTTTAAGCAATCAAGCCACTTCACTGTTCAGTTTCTTTACATCATGAAATGAATACTTGGTATTAACCTCCCAAATTTCAAGAAAATGTAGAATAACTACAGATGTATATAATTAGCATTTAACTGTCCACAAATACTTTAGGAAATCCTATCATAGTGTTTCCTCTATATAAAACTGGGAAAAAAACAAGAATTAAGTCCTTTTGGTGAATATAGCAAGGCAATGTTTAGTTCATTTGGCCTGTAATATATATATTAGATGTTATATACAGTAGACTTACCAAGTCAATAGTTTAAGCAATCAAGCCACTTCACTGTTCAGTTTCTTTACATCATGAAATGAATACTTGGTATTAACCTCCCAAATTTCAAGAAAATGTAGAATAACTACAGATGTATATTAATTAGCATTTAACTGTCCACAAATACTTTTGGAAATCCTATCATAGACAGTGTTTCCTCTATATAAAACTGGGAAAAAACAAGAAGTAAGTCCTTTTGGTGAATATAGCAAGGCAATGTTTAGTTCATTTTTATAATGCGGAAATCCTGATACATGGTGCTTTCATCTTTGAACTTCCAAAAGGCTATAAAATTGGCTCTTCTCAAATATTTTAGAATTTCATTTCAGCTATTTCCTTTTTACGTTCAGAAGATTGGGTGCAGACACTTTCACTTTGCCAGGAATGTTTCTTGATAAATCTGTGTCCTAAAAAAAGAAAATTGCTGAATATCTTCACATCCTGTATGGTCAATCATGTTTCTTTTATGACAAAAACGAAAAACATTTCCAAACTTTTAGCTGAGATGGTTTTACTGCTTCTAATAAGACAGCATTTTCTACTAAAATAACAAAAAACTGCTAACATTTTAAATTGTACTGTCAGTCTCCACATTCCTTTTCTGAAGGAGAACTTTACCTTTACGCTGCGGAATAAGTCTTTTTCTCTTGCTGTTGCTTCTTTGGAATGCATGAAACTATTCAAGGCTGTTTTTGCAGCTGTAAATACAAAAAAGAGTAAGAATAATCTACTGTTAAGTCACTGAACTGTTTAAAATCATAATTCAAAAAAACAAATTTAAATACCTTTTCCCTTTTTCTGCACTCCAGGAGTAAGTTTCACTTTATATCTTTAAAAAGGAATTACATGTGTTACTAAATAGACGTTACAAAACAATTCACAAAAGCCATTCTGTCAACTAATGGTAACTTACTTGTAGTTTGTCATGGTGGTGTAAGGGGCACATATTGGAATGGCAAACAGTAGTACATCTTCAGGATGTGGCTGGCCTGTCAAAGAATCAAATAGGTTTTCCTAAAAAGGGAAAATAACAGTTACAAAGGCAATTTATACCGCCCTTTACAAAAAATGCTAAAACACTTGAATTAGTATCTCAACATATTTTTTATCTTTTCCTGATATACATACCATCTAAGCTGGAACAGTGGTACTTAAACTCTGCTTCATAGTTCCAAAGAGTTGAAGACCAATGTTTAAATATATTCTTTACTACTTAATTTTTGCCTAGCATAATAAGTAATGAGAACAATAATTTTCAAAATCCTACCTACAGTTACATTTAAGAGAAAGAAGGCCCAGGAGCAGTGGTTCACGCCTATAATCCTAGGACTCTGGAAGGCTCAGGCTGAGGCGGGTGGATCGCTTGAGCCCAGGAGTTCAAGACCAGCCTAAGCAACATGGAGAAACACCATCTCTACAAAAAATATAAAAGTTAGCTGGGTATAGTGGGTGCCTGTAGTCCCAGCTACTCGGAAGACTGAGGGGGGGAGGATCACCTGAGCCCAGGAGGTAGACGTTGTGGAGAGCCATGATCCTGTCACTGCACTGGGTGACACCAGCCTGGGTGACAGAGACCCTGTCTCAAAAAAAAAAAAAAAAGGAAAAAAACTATTGGATATTACCTGAGTTGCAGAAACCTGCTGTGGATTAAAATGATGCAATAATAACCACAAATAGATTTAAGTCCTATCACATGGAAATGGGACTAATACCTTGGCTATACCACTATTTCTCGTCCTGGGGAGATTCTGCCCTCAGAAGACAATGGGCAATGTCTAGAGATAGTTTTCGTTGACACGATGAGGGGTGAGAAGGAATAGGTAGGGGCTGCTACTGGGATCTAGTGGGTAAAGGCCGAGGATGTCGCTAAACATTTTATAATGAATGGGACAGACCCCACAACAAAGAATTAACCAACCCCTAATGTTAATAGTGCCAAAGTTGAGAAACCCTGGGCTAGAACAGCCTTCTCTCTTACCCATTATTAAGGAGAAATCCCAGAGTTCTTATTTGCTGTGCTGCCTGTGAGATTGCCCCCATTTATTTTACAATATGAATAAACTTAGATTTAGGACAGAATGCTTGGTGCTGAAGTATAATTAATATTTGAGTGTTTGCTATGTGCCATAAACTTTTCTAAATGCCCTTTACATACATTAGTTATCAAAACAACCCTCTCCTGGGTAGGGACATTATCCCCATTCTTCAGATGAGGAAACTGAGGCACAAAGAATGTTTCCAAGTTTGTACAGTTACATATAGCAGAGTTGGGATTAAGACCCCGAAAGTTTGACTTCGTAGCCTGCAGTCTTGTCTTAGGTTTCTAAGTTTTAATAAGTTGTGTTTCAAACATTCTGGGAACTGAATTGTAATCACAGTGTTGTAGTAGGAACCCCAACATAAAATCATACCTCATTTCCCTGTTGATCCAGATCTTGCTCTTCCTGTTCCGAACATATAAAAATAAAAATGTCAGCTATAATGTAAAATGAAAATTCCACATCATTAAACCATAAGGAGAAAGAAACAGTGATACAACCAGACTGTCATTTCTGACCCACAGGATAGGGGGCCTCAAGGTTATATTCTTCCTAAGACTCTGAAGTGGATTCGTATATGTGTTTGTGTGTGTCTGTTTTATTACTTAAGAAAGTAATGTCATTCAAGAGAAGAAGGGTAGTTCTCTGAAGTAGAGGAGGTGGGAACTGAAACTTTCATATAAAGTATATGTTAAAGCAGCAAAAGTTACAAGTACAATTTAAAATGACAACTAAGGTTGATAAGTTTGCCAGGAGAAAAGCAAATGGAGAATTTTGGTCAACAGAACTTTTATTTTTAAATATCTGTTCAACAGTTTTGGATAAATTTTTCCCATATCCCATAAAATATGCTTAATTTTGTTTGCTTAAGAAAAATCTATCTGGAGATAACTGACTGTCTCAGTCTGTTCAGGCTGCTGTAACAAAATACCTTAGCCTGTATAATTTAGAAACAACAGAAATTTTACTTCTTACAGTTCTGAAGGCTGGGAAGTCCAGCATCAAGGCACCAGCAGATTCAATGTCTGATAAGGGCTTGCCTCAAAGATGGTACCTTAGGCTGGGTGTGGTGGCTCATACCTGTAATCCCAGCACTTTGGGAGGCCAAGGTCGGGGGATCCCTTGAGCCCAGGAGTTCGACACCAGCCTGGGCAACACAGGGAGACCTCATCTTAAAAAAAGATGGCACCTTATTGCAGTGTCCTCACGTGGCAAAAGGGCACTCATCTCATTCATGACAGAAGAGCCCTCGTGACTTCACTTCCTAAAGGCCCAACCTCTTAATACCATCACACTGGGTATTTAGGTTCCCATATATGAATTGTGGGGGGATATTAACATTTAGACCATAGCACCTACTCATGAAAGAACATTAATAATTAACACCTCTAGTGAGTATTTGTGAGTCTAGGATTTACAGAACATAAGGATATTGTACAAATTTTAAAAGCCAAAACGAGTTTTAGTATTACTAAACAACAACTGTTCAGCAGGAAAAAAAAGAAAATAGTAATACAGAATCCCTGTAAGCATTACCTGCACTAAACTGAGCACACAATTATAACTCAAGCTTTACATAAAAAAAATGCTGGTGACAAAGGTAAAAATTTTTTATCTGGCCTCTATTTTAAGCCGTTATTAAAAAATAAACAGGCTGGGCATGTGTCTTACGCCTGTAATCCCAACACTTTGGGAGGCCAAGGCAGGCGGATCACCTGAGATCAGGAGTTCAAGACCAGCCTGGCCAACATGGTGAAACCCCATCACCACTAAAAATACAAAAATAAGCCAGGCGTGATGGTGCATGCTTGTAATCCCAGCTACTCAGAAGGCTGAGGCCGGATAATTGCTTGAATCCGGGAGGTGGAGGTTGCAGTGAGCTGAGATTGTGCCACTGCACTCCAGCCTGGGCAACAGAGCAAGACTGCCTCAAAAAAAAAAAAAAAAAAAATTCAAGAAGAGGTACATATTCATGTAAGAAGATATACAGAAGGCTGGGCTTGCTGTACTGTTAATAAAACAATTAGGCAATCATCTTAGCTGGAAAAATACGAACTCACTGGTTTTGTAACCAGAGTACTTGGCTCTTAAATGGTGTACTCATTTTCAACATTATGTACGACCATATGGCATAGATTCCTATAGAAAAGCTTAGAGAAAGTGAAAATTTATTTTCTACACATCTTCAAGACAATCCCAATTTTCTCTCTCTCTTTTTTTTTTTTTTTTTGAGATGGAGTCTCGCTCTGTCGCCCAGGCTGGAGTGCAGTGGCACAATCTCGGCTCACTGCAAGCTCTGCCTCCCAGGTTCACGCTATTCTGCCTCAGCCTCCCAAGTAGCTGAGACTACAGGCGCTCACCACCACACCCGGCTAATTTTTTTGTATTTTTTTAGTAGAGACAGGGTTTCACCACGTTAGCCAGCATGGTCTCAATCTCCTGACCTTGTGATCTGCCTGCCTTGGCCTCTCAAAGTGCTGGGATTACAGGCGTGAGCCACCGTGCCAGGCCTCTCTGTCTTAATTTAATTCAGTTCCCATCAGAATCAAAGCCTCTCCTTAAAACTGATTACTTCCTAAAGGCTTGTAACAAAATTGTTATCAGCTATCAGTACTACCATTATCATGCTTAGATAAGATACTGCAATTTTAGTCTTTCAGGTTGTATTTCTGGATGACATTCCATTAAGAATAGGGTTACTCACTTGTCTTGGTTTTAGCACTGAAAGTCCCATGTCCTGGGAACTCCAGGATGGGTAATCACCCTAATTAAGAAGCAGAAGCCCACAAAGTAGCCATACCTTGTCATCATGTGGATCATCTACAGCAAAGTCTTGTAACTCATGAGTTATAACCTCAAGGAACGGAGTTTCTTTCTTAATGTTGTCAGAGACCCTCTGTCCACCTCTAGGTTTCTGGGGCTGTTTCTTCACAGGTTCGTCCTTTGTTTTTCCTTTCTTCCCCTTCTTCCCTTTTTCTTCTTTGTTTGAACCTGCAGACTTTAATTCATAGAGGAAACATCAGTCAGTGTTGTATTTTCAATACTGTGAATATTTTAACAAGAATGTATTGAATGCCTGTCATACGCTAGGCAGTGGGCTAGATGCCCATTTGAAAAGCAAAAGAAAAAATGTTTTTAGATGTTATTTACCCCCAGCAACTTCATGATAAGTTCACGGTCTTCTTCATCCTGGTCTTTGTATTTTTCTTTCATTTTTTTCATTTTACTCTACAAAATCAGAAGATTTTGGTTGGAAATATTCAGCAGCAAAAAAATGTCAACAAATACTTGCAAAGAAATGGTGTTACTTTATATTCTCTGTCAAAAATGCTTACTGAATAAGGCACCATTATAATAAACAATATGAAGGCTACAAAGTTGGATAACTGAAGTCCTCATCTTCAAGGAATTTACCATAGGGTGGAGAGAAGATACACAGAGAAGTAAGAATACATTAACAAAACATAAAGAACTGTGAGGAAGAAATAAAGTAAAACAGTATTGGAAAAGCAAGTCTAAAAAGGAAGAGAACAGTAATAGCAAGTCATCACATTTGGTTTGGGTCAGGGTACACATGGAGGAAGAACAGGAAATAAAGCAGCAAAGCTAGGCTAGGCACTTATTCTAGAGGCTTTCAAGACTCTGTATTTTATTAAATAAACCAATGATTCTTTACCCTGATTACATCCCCAAATCACTCTAGGGGTTTTAAACTATAAACATCTAGGCCCCACCCTAGAGATTTTTGTCTTGATTAACTGTGTTAACTGGGACTGAAATAACACATTTTGAAAATTGTAAATTTGTGTCCCTAAACAGGACACAAACACCGTAAAAGACTGATACATCAGACTCAATTAGAATTTAAAAATGCTACTCATCAAAAAAGACTATTAAAAAGTGAAAAACAGCAATCCCCAAAGTGTGAAAAACGCTTGCAATACATATATCCGAGAAAGGACTTGTATTCAGGATTGCAGAGAACCCTTATACATCAACTAGAAAGACAGGACAAACCAATTTTTAAAATAGGCACTTCGAAAGAGGATACACAAAGGTCCAAAAAACATGAGAAAGCGCTCAATATCATTAGTCATCAGGAACATGAAATAAAAGCCAAATGAGCTATCAGCATATACACACTTAAATGACTGAAAAAAGAAAACAATACCAAGTGTTACTACGGATGGGGGACAACTGGAACTCTCATACACTGCCTGGTGGGAAATTGATACAGGTGCTCTGGAAAACTGATTGACAGGATCTAATAAAGGCAAACAACATGTATGCCACAACCCAGAAAATTCCACTCATATGTATATGAACAGAAATGCATACTTAGGGATCCAAAAGTCATGTGAGGGTCTGGCACGGTGGCTCACACCTGTAATCCCAACACTTTGGGAGGTCTGGGTAGGTGGATCACCTGAGGTCAGGAGTTCAAGACCAGCCTGACCAACATGGTGAAACACCATCTCTACCAAAAATACAAACAAAATTAGCCAGGCGTGGTGGTGCATGCCTGTAATCCCAGCTACTTGGGAGTCTGAGGTAGGAGAATCGCTTGAACCTGGGAGACAGAGGTTGCGGTGAGCCGAGATCATGCTATTGCACTCCAACCTGGGCAACAAGAGTAAAACTCTGTCTCAAAAAACAAAAAAAATGTCAAGTGGGGATATTCTTAGCAAGTGGCAAGCATGAGCCTTCTGGCTGGGCGCAGTGGCTCACGCCTGTAATCCCAGCACTTTGGGTGGCCGAGGCGGGTGGATCACAAGGTCAGGAGATCGAGACCATCCTGGCCAACATAAGTGAAACCCCGTCTGTACTAAAAATACAAAAATTAGCTGGGTGTGGTGGCGTGTGCCTGTAGTGCCAGCTACTCAGGAGGCTGAAGCAGGAGAATCGCTTGAACCCAGGAGGCAGAGGTTGCAGTGAGCTGAGATCACACCACTGTACTCCATCCAGGCTGGCAACACAGTGAGAACCCATCTCAGAAAAAAAGAAACTGGCAAGCAAGCATGAGCCTTCTGGGATGCTGGAAACATTCCAAGTAAAGTATCTGTATCTGAGTGGTGGTTTCACAGATGTGTGTGCTTATAAAAATTCACTGAGGCCAGGCATGGTGGCTCACGCCTGTAATCCCAGCACTTTGGGAGGCCGAGGCAGGCGGATCACAAGGTCAAGAGATCGAGACCATCCTGACCAACATGGTGAAACTCTGTCGCTACTAAAAATACAAAAAGTAGCTGGGCATAGTGGTGCACGCCTGTAGTCCCAGCTACTCAGAAGGCTGAGGCAGGAGAATTGCTTGAACCCAGGAGGCGGAGGTTGCAGTGAGCCGAGATCGCGCCACCGCACTCCAGCCTGGGCAACAGAGCGAGACTCCATTTAAAAAAAAAAAAAAAAAAAAAAAATTCACTGAGCCAAAGATTTGTGCATTTTACTACTATGTACACTGTACCTCAAAAAAAAATTGAGAAAGAATATTGTAACCAATAAACAGGACTGAGGAATGGAAAACCTGATGACAACAGAGTTTCTTAGAAAATACAACTTCGGAAAACCAACTTCAAAAAAAATCCCGGAAAACCTGAATAAACCTAAAATCATTAAAGAAATTGAAATTAGTTCTTACAAACCTCCTCAAAATAGCCAGGCATGGTGGCACACACCTGTGGTCTCAGCTACTAGGGAAGCTGAGATGGGAGGATTGCTTGAGCCCAGGAGGTCGAGGCTGCAGTGAGCCAAGATTGCAACACTACATCCCAGCCTGGGCAACAAAGTAAGACCCAGTCTAAAAAAAAAAAAAGTCTCCTCACAAAACCCAAAACATTAGGTCTAGTTTTATAAGCAAATGCTATCCAATTTCAAGGAACAATCTCCGTTTTTTGACAGAGTTCTTGCTCTGTCACCCAGGCTGGAGTGCAGTGCATGACCTTGGCTCATTGCAACCTCTGCCTCCCAGGCTCAAGCAATTATCCTGCCTCAGCCTCCAAGAAGCTGGGACCTACAGGTCCCACCACACCCGGCTAATTTTTGTATTTTTAATACAGATGGGGTTTCACCATGTTAGCCAGGCAGGTCTTGAACTCCTGACCTCAGGTGACCCAACTGCCTCAGCCTCCCAAAGTGCTGGGATTACAGGCATGAGCCACCGTGCCCAGCCACAATCTCCATTTTATACAAAGTTCTAGAGAGCAGAAAAAGAGGGAAAGGTCCTAAACTTATTTTATGAAACTGGTATAATGTAAACACAAAAAACAGGCAGAGACGGTATGAGAAATTAGAAGCCAATTAATATATTTTTCTCAACTAATATACCATACTGACTAACAGATAAAATAATACAATAGTCTGGGCATGGTGGCTTATGCCTGTTAATTTTAGCACTTTTGGATAACAAGCAGGAGGATAACTTGAGCCTAGGAGTTAGACCAGCCTGGGCAAATAGGAAGAGCCTGTCTCTAAAAATAATAAAAATAAAAATTAGCCAGACATGGTGGCACATGCCTGTGATCCCAGCTGTTTGGGAAGCTGAGGTATTAGGATGGTTTGGGCCCAGGAGATCGAGGCTGCAGTGAGCCATAACCACACCACTGCAGTCCAGCCTGGGCAACAGAGTGACACCCTGTCTCAAAAAAACAAACAAAAAGAATGCAATAGACACAGAAAAACCATTCAGTAACATTTAACTCATCGTTATTAAAAATAACTTTCAAAAAGGTGTCCTTCAACAACCCAAAGGAAACATCCCGCAATGATAAAATCTTAGAAACAGTTCCTGTAATGGAATTAACAAAGATATACACGATTACTACTTCTATGAAACATTATATTTTTGCTTTTCAGTCACTGCAAAAAAAAACATGGGGAAAATAAAAAGATATTAAGACTAGAAGAAAAGCCATAATTTGCAGACGATATGACTGCCTACAGATGAAGTATTAAAATTAGTAAGTGCTCTATAAGATTGCCCATTACTTGATCAACATGAAAGTTGTCTTCCCATGTACCAGCAAGTAACAGCTAGGAAATGAAAGTTTCAAAAATAGGTAGGGCGCAGTGGCTCAAGTCTGTAATCCCAACACTTTGGGAGGCTGAGGCGGGCAGATTGCTCAGTTATAGTTTTATAATTGCACAATTATAGTTTTCCACAGGAAGACTCAAAGTGGTAAAAATGACAATTCCCCAGAAAATAATCTAAAAGTTTAATGTATTTTAATAAACATTCTATCAGGATTTGCCTTGAAACTTAACCTATCTGCAGAATATTTCATTGTAAAAATGCATCATTTATTGTTATTTCACATTGTTGTACACTTAAGATTAATTGCAGTATTTTTTTGCTACTACAAATATAAACTTCAACGTCCTCGTTGCGTACCCATAATTTTTTTTAGGATAAATTCCTATAAGAGGAATTGCTGAGTCAAAGGGCAGAAGCACTGTTAAGACTTTTGACTGGAATTCCCATGTTGTACACTCAAACTGACAATGTAGTATCTATTAATTTGATGGGTAAAAAAAATTCCCCAGGTTTACACAGCATTTCTGTCATCACTTTTTTTTTTTTCCAGATTTGTCATTTGTTTTTTAATTTTACTGGTGGTTCTTTACTTTCTCCACCTGCAATTCACTGTGGTACCGTTTTCACATGGTTAGCCATCATTTTGAATATTTCATATCTTCTCAAATGATCTACAATATTATTTTATCACGTACTAAAATGCTAAATATCAGGTAGTGGTCCTCTGTCTAGATTTTATTCTGTCTCATTTTTTTCTGTCTAGCTATTCCTATGTTAATAACATGCTGTTGTAAAAATTCTAGCATTAAATATTTTACTACCTCATAGGGAAATCCCTCCTTATTTCCTTAGCTATTCTCAAGCATTACTCCTTCCAAAATAAATTTACAATTATTTTATCAAGCATTAAAATCTCAATTCTGATTAAAGTCATGTTGAATTTACATATGAGGGGAATTTATATTTTTATTAGGTTGAGTCTTCCCTTCCTTATGCACATGTCATTTGCAGCTCACTGGAAAAAAGCATAGGAAAATCTGACCTGTATGGAAGAAGGAAAGATCATAAAACATCTTTATAAAGATTATAGCCTAGTGTGGTGGCATGCACTTGTGGTCCCAGCTACTTAGGAGGCTGAGGTAGGAGGAATGCGTGAGCCCAGGAGTTCAAAGCTGTAGTATGCTACAAACATGCCTGTAAATAGCCACTACACTCCAGCCTGGGCAACAGAGCAAGACCCTGTCTCTAAAAAAAAAAAAAAAAAAAAATTGAAAAGAAATTTAAATTTTAAAAGGGGTACACTGATAAATTAGCCCATAATCCCCTCATTTTTATACTGCTACAGCTTTTTTTTTTTTTTTGAGACAGGCGAGTCTCGCCATGTCACCCAGGCTGCGGTGCAGTGGCGTGATCTTGGCTCACTGCAACCTCCGCCTCCTGGGTTCAAGCAATTCTTCTGCCTCAGCCTCTCGAGTAGCTGGGACTATAGGCATGTACCACCATGCCTGGCTAATTTTTCTATATTTAGTAGAGATAGGGTTCACCATGTTGGATAGGCTGGTCTTGAACTCCTGGCCTCAAGTGATCCACCTGCCTCAGCCTCCCAAAGTGCTGAGATTACACGCATGAGCCACTGTGCCTGGCTGCTACAGCATTTTGAAGAGTGTATTATATCATAACCAGACATGGTGGCTAACACACCTCTAGTTACAAGCACTTTGGGAGGGTGAGGCAGGAAGATCACTTGAGCCTGGGAGTTTGAGACCAGCCCAGACAATATAGTTAGACCCCATCGTTACAAAAAATAAAAAAATTTAGCTGAGCATGGTGGCATGCACCTGTGCGGTCCCAGCTACTTGGAAGACTGAGATGGGAGGATCACTTGAGCCTAGGAGTTAAGGCTAGTGCAGTGAGCCCTGACTGCACCACTGCATTCCAGCGTGGGTGACAGAGCAAGACTATCTTGGGGGAGCTGACAGCGGGGTTGGGGGGTGGGGAGGTGGGGGCAGGGGCAGTGTGGAAAGAGTATGTTCTATCATAAGTACTTCTTTCTTCACCATCCACCTTTAGCAAAATATCTAAGAACTCTAACCAAAATCTAAAAATTACTGAGCTAAATTCTCAATAAATATCAGCTCTGCTACTTAACTAGCTGGGTGACTTTGGCAAGCCATAATCTCCTATTACTCTTCCAGATAAAATGAGAGCTTCTGTGCAGATGATCTTGAAAGTCTAAAGAACTTCTAATAGTGATCTCTGTGTTCCCTAAATGCTGTATCTACTCAACTAATTTTTAGTCAAAGGAAATCACACAGGATTATTTTTTGGCCTACATTTTCTATTTCACTTCAACTTTAAAAAATTAAAAAGGAACCTCACAAATTAACTGTGAACCATATAGATCATCCTGAAGTTTACCTTTTGTCCTCGTTTCATTGGCTGCACAGCCGCAACATTTTTGCTTGTGTTCTGATGAGTTTCAATGTGTACAGTACTTTCTTTTTCTTTATCCTTTCCCTCTAACGCTTCTAAATCTCCTGAGTCACTTGGAAGTTTTTTCTTTTTCATTTCCCTGAATAAAAAAGACATGAAAACATTTCATTCTTAGAATTTGAAATTCTTAGTGCCCTAAAAAAGTTCCATGGGGAAGGCACATATACAGTATATAAATGGTCATGGCTTCTGCTTCACTTGATAATCACCAAGTTAGAAAATACAAAGATGCTTAAAATCATCATGTGGGAAAAAGATGCAAGTTTTTCATCTCTCATGGATTTATCTTTCTTTCCATCATCCAAGCTCAACATATTGTCACCCCTGACTCATCCTTACTCACTAGGCACATTTTGCCCCTGATCACCTTGATGGCCAGGCACTGGGATTTGTAGTCTTTGTACCAACATAGCATTGGCAGGTCTTAGGCATTCAATAAAACATCTGTTGACCGGTTGGTTGACTAAATGGATTAAAAATACACAGGTTAAGAAGGAAGGGTAAATTTTATTACTGTGGTATTCTTCTTTCTGTTCCCAATGCCAACGTCTTAGTTCAGGTCCTCATTACATCCCACCCAGACTTCCTCCAGAGTCTACATACTCTGAATTTTTTTTTTTTAAAACGGAGTTTGTGCCACCACACCCAGTTAACTTTGTATTTTTAGTAGATATGGGGTTTCACCATGTTGGTCAGGCTGGTCTCAAACTTCTGACCTCAGGTGATCTATTCGCCTTGGCCTCCCAAAGTGCTGGGATTATAGGCGTGAGCCACCACATCCGGCCATTAACTTCTATATTAATCTTCCTTAATCATTTGCCTATGTCACATTCTCTTCGTATCACTTTAAAGGGTATAGTCCAAAATCCTTAGCTTTTAAGTACTCCACTTTTAGTCCAAATTTACTTCTCCAATCATATTATCTACCATTTAATACACAAACTTTCTCTTCCTTCCAACTCAGTCTATTTATCATTTCCCCAAAGCACTATGCATATTACCCCAAAGAAGCACTCCCCTTTGTTAATGCTAATTCTCCTTGGAGTCTCCCTCCTTCATTTACTTAACTGCTAACATATCTTTCAAGGTATACTTCTGATGTTATTTCCCCAAACATCTGAACTCACAGCAATCTCTTACTCTTGAACTACTTTATCACTTTCAGACACTATTTACATATTTATGACTACTTCCTGAATCCAGGACTCAAAAGCTTCTTGAAGGCATGAGCTTTATACTTCACCTCTTTGTATACTCAGTAAGTATCTAGCACAGGGCTATGTGCTCAGAATTCTCTGTAATTGTTCAATGATTATGTTTCTCAAATGAAAAGGCTTTATTGTCCATTCTGTTCTAGGGCCTCTTCCTGGAGTGCTTTAGTTTGCTTAGTCTTTCCCACCCTACAGTAGTTGTTCCCTTCCCTTCCGCCCTTCCCTTGCTTCTACTTGCTTCCTGAGACCTGCTATTAAAAAAAAAAAAAAAATCGGCCAGGCGCGGTGGCTCACACCTGTAATCCAGCACTTTGGGAGGCCAAGGCGGGTGGATCGCGAGGTCAGAAGATCGAGACAATCCTGCCTAACACGGTGAAACCCCATCTCTACTAAAAATACAAAAACAAAATTAGCCGGGCGTGGTGGTGGGTGCCTGTAGTCCCAGCTACTCGGGAGGCTAAGGCAGGAGAATAGCATGAATCTGGGAGGCAGAGCTTGCAGTGAGCCGAGATCGCAGCCACTGCGCTCCAGCCTGGGCCACAGAGCGAGACTCCGTCTCAAAAAAAACAAAAAACAAAAAATCAACTATTCTGCCTTACATAAAACTTTCCTAATTTCAGGTATTCATATTTATTCCTGACAATATCACCCTAGAACTAGTCTATGTAATACACTGAAATCATTATTGTACATGTTTATGTAATAAAAGGTCTTATTAGAGCTAGTCCTCAAATAACATCATTTCATTCAACATCATTGTGTTATAACTTTGATGAGAACAAAATTGATTCCTGGCCACGGCTACCATCTGTGCAGAGTTTACATGTTCTCCCCATGTCTTTGTGGGTTTTCACCAGGTACTCAGGTTTTCTCTCACATCCCAAAATGCGCATGTCAGGTTAACTGGTGTGTGTAAATTATCCCAGCATGAATGAGTGCAGGTATGTGTGCCCTGCAACAGAATGACATCCTGTTCTAGGTTGGTTCTGGCCTTTTGCCCTGACCTGCCAGGATAGGCTCTAGCCACCAATGACCCTTAACTGGAATAAGCGGTTGAAAAACGAATGAATGAATGAATGAATGACTTAATAAAAATGATTGTCAAAAATTCATAAACTATAGTCATACAAATGTATAACAATCAACAATGTAGTATGAAAGTGTTTAATGAATGTGCCACATTTTTGTTTTTGAACCTCATGGTAGTAGGAGGTACTCTATAGTTTTCACTTTGCAAATAATCCTTGATTTAACCCACTACCACTACAACTGCCATCACTCATTGATTTACCAAAAATTGGGTAAATAATTATCTTGCTCGCTTTCATTCATCTTTCTTAAATATACATACAGTTTACATTTATTTTAACGTTTAATATTAGAAGAGTTTTCAGTCTTTATTTAGAAGCTTGGTGATGGTTTTGTGACCAAAAATATGCCAGAGGAACTTAACTCTTGTTTATATCAATTAGCCCATGGCAAAACTGGTTTCATTACACACTGTTTCCCTTAAGTCCAAGTTTCCAAGAACCTATTGAAAATGTTAAGTGGGCCAGGCGCGGTGGCTTATGCCTATAATCCCAGCACTTTCGGAGGCCAAAGCGGGTGATCACGAGGTCAGAAGATCGAGACTATCCTGGCTAACACGGTGAAACCCCGTCTCTACTAAAAATACAAAAAATTAGCCGGGCATGGTGGTGGGCGCCTCTAGTCCCAGCTACTCGGGAGGCTGAGGCAGGAGAACGGCGTGAACCCGGGAGGTGGGGCTTGCAGTGAGCCGAGATCATGCCACTGCACTCCAGCCTGGGCGACAGAGCGAGACTCCATCTCAAAAAAAAAGAAAATGTTAAGTGAAGGCCGGGCACAATGGCTCATGTCTGTAATCCCAGCACTTTGGGCAGCCAAGGTGGGAGGATCACTTGAGCCCAGGGGTTTAAGACCAGCCTGGGCAACATGATGAAACCCTGTCTCTACAAAAACTATAAAAATTTTTGTAGTGGCACACGCCTGTAGTCCCAGCTACTCAGGAGGCTGAAGCAGGAGACTGCCTGAGCCTGGGAGTTTGAGGCTGCAGTGAGCCATGACTGCGCCATAGCACTCTAGCCTGGGCAACAAAGCGAGACCCTGTTTCAAAAAAAAAAAAAAAAAAAAAAAAAAGGAAAATGTTAAGTGAGGACTTACTCTACTAGGTCTATTTCATTGATTATAGTTATAGATTAGGGCCCTTAAACAGAAAAATGTATTAGAGCTTAATATTAAAAACTAAACATTTGTGCTAAATCTTGGTAAATTTAATGAAGGAAGTCTTTAAACAGCTAAGTAATCTGTGGTAGCTGAGCTATCAATTAAAAAAAAAAGAAAAACATGCTTTTTAGTTAATTAACACAGATGTGTTTACCTTCTTTCCTTGGCTGACAAATGTCTCCGGCTCTGTGATTTACTGTCACTCTATTAAAACAAAAAAACAGGCAAATGCAAATATCACTATTAACTTTTTTGAAAAGTAGAAAATTATTCACTGAGAATCGGATGTTCTTCATAAAACTGAAAATAGCTTACAGAATTAGAAGATTCCTCTTTTGAAGCCAATTTCTGGATGGACCTATGAAAATAAACACAAGGGAGTCTCTACTAGCCTGTAAAAGACATGCATTTACAAAGTCCCAAAACATTCCCATATCATACTCTTAAGTACTGGCAATCCAACAAATTTTCAAATTTGGTGAAGTGAGAAAAACATACAACCAAATTGCTCCTCTCTCCACACTTCCATATACATTTTTAAATAGGTGACGTGTATTGAAAACTTACTGTGTGTCAGGCACTGCCAGATGGTATACACGCATGAAACCTTCACCAAATCCCTATGAAAGGGATACCATTCTGTTTTCACCAAGAAGGAAACTGAAGCTTAAGCACAAAGTAATTTTCCCAAGGACGCACCCTAAGACCCAATACTGGTCTGTCTGACTCCTAGACTGTTCTGAATTACCCCTAAGTTAATTATGCATTTATAACTATGGACTATTCACCTGATGATCTGCAAAACATTATATAGACTAAAACACATTTCTTTGATGGAATTGCCTTTGTTATGTTTTTAGCATTTATAACCATTTACTTGTTTCTATTTGGATCTAGTTTGGCCACTCTATATGCACTGTATTTTTCTACCCTGGTCCTGGGAATTTCTTTGCAGAGAGACCCAATCAAATGTTGAAAAAGTATTAAGACAATGGAGTGTAAAAGTACTGATGTCAATCTTGGTATTATCTTTGTAAGGATTACCTCATCATCATTCTCAGCTTACACAATAATATGTAAAATTTTATTTTTTAATTACCTTTGGGGTTGAAGGTGAGACAAGTCAATGGTAGTATCAGGATAATTTAATGTCTCTTCCCCTTCATCCTTCATTTCACCAACAGAATCCTGATCTTTTCTAACCTCTTCATATTCTCCTTCGTCTTCAGAGCTTTCTTCCTGAATGAGCTCCTCATTTAGTTCATCTCTGCCACTCTGAAGAGTGATATCCTCTTGGTCAACCTGAGTCATGAGTTCTACTTCCACAGGAGTTTCATGTTCTTCTTTATCCTCATCACTGCTCGTGTCACCTCCATCTGTAGAATTATCATAAGGAAAGTCAGTGTGGGACTACCAACCAAGCCAGGTGATTTCCTAAAAATGTCATAAAAATATTCCACTGTTTCTCCCATATTTCTCCAAAAAATCAACAGAAAAGTGTCTGATCATTCCCAAAGGGTACTCTTAGACAAAAGAATAACCTGTATCATGAATAGGTTGAACTAAATGATCTCCAAGATCCTTTACCACAATAAATTTCTTGGACATTGCTACCCTTTCAACAATGAAAACCACAACTCTGCCTTAGTTGGGTATTTCCAAAAACCAAGACAGCAAAATTAGTTGCATAACTTTTGCTGCTTTTATTATAATTTGCACATAAAAACTTAAATACGTATTATATAACGCCCACATAGCAGGTGCTCATTCTTCTGCAAAAGGAACACTGTCTAATAGTAGTAACAGGGTCTACTGCCTCACCTGTAAAATGAGATGCCACCACTCATCTGACAAGGATGGTTGTGAGAATAGAAAATAATGTAAATAGGCCAGGTGCAGTGGCTCATGCCTGTAATCCTAGCACTCTGGGAGGCCGAGGTGGGTGGATCACAAGGTCAGGAGTACAAGACCAGCCTGGCCAAGATGGTGAAACCCCGTCTCTACTAAAAATACAAAAATTAGCCAGGCGTGGTGGCAGGCGCCTGTAATCCTAGCTACTCGGGAGGCTGAGGCAGAAGAATTGCTAGAACCTGGGCGGCAGAGGTTGCAGTGAGCCGAGATTGTGCCACTGCACTCCAGCCTGGCGACAGACTGAGACTCCCTCTCGGGGGGAAAAAAAAAAAGAAAAGAATGTAAATAAGGCACTTTATACAGTCCCAGGGAAATGGTGAGCCTCAATCAACAAAATCTTGCAGCACAACAGTAATAGTAAATGAAACAATGCAATATTACCTGTAAAGAGGAATGACCTTAGCAGAGAGAATAACTACAAAAGTAGTTTAGTGGGAATATTTTCCCTAGTTTCCTCAGGTAGGCAGATGAATTTATTCCAGCAACTATAATTGCTCTCTACTTGAAACAAATATTTTATTAAATCAAGCCAAATTTTCATATGAGAAACTGCACTTTATAAATTCATCTATCACTTGTAATTCCTAAACCCAAAACTAAATGCTAATGCACATTTACCCGAGTCTACCTTTGTTAAACACATTTATGCATTACCCATTAAATACTGAAGTCTCACTATATAAACATACATTAAAGTATGTTAGTATGGATCCAATTAAATACTTTTTTTTTTTTTTTGAGACAGGGTCTCATTCTGTGGCCCAGGCTGGAGTGCAGTGGCAGTGGCGTGATCTAGGCTCACTGTAACCTCTGCCTCCCAGGTTCAAGCAATCCTCCTACCTCAGCCTCTTCAGTAGCTGGGACTATAGGCGCTCACAACGCCTGGGTGATTTTTTTGGTAGAGATGGTTTTGCCATGTTGCCCAGGCTGGTCTCAAACTCCTGAGCTCTAGCAATCCACCTGCCTCGGACTCCCAAAAGTGCTGGGATTACAGACATGAGCCACAATGCCCGGACTGATAAATACTTTTAAATTCACTAGAATAAGTATATTTAGCATTTCCAAAAAAAAAAAAATTCAGTAAAACAGCACGTACTTTGGGTTTTCGGGGTTTTTTTGAAATTTAGATTATCCCAAAGAGACATGATCTTCTAAGGATTTAGAAGCAAAACTAGGTAACAAAAAACATCACAAGCTAATTTCTTAAAATCTATAAACTACCTAATTGTTCCATTTCTTCTGATATGAGTTCACTTGTACAACTTGCCAGTGTCTCCATGTCTTCATCCTGTACTCTGACTTTTCGTTCACCCTGATGTCTCCAAACACAAGACTCATCTACCTAAAGAAACAGTTATTTTTCAGTGACGGAGCTTCAGACAAGACTAATGAAAATCAGGAAAAAAACAAATAAATAACCAAGAAGTTGAAGAGTACCTTAAAAAGGAAGCTAAACCCCATCATTAGATATGAGGGAGGAAGAAAATTCTTTTTTCCTACAAAAGATAACGTACATTAATGCTTTGAAAATCAGTCTTCTCCATTTTTTGCTTGTAAAACAAAAAAAAATTAGTGTCAGATGACACTAATGGTCATATCCATTTTGTCTTTTACTATGTCAAGAATAACATTTCCCATTTATAGAACTGGGCAGTATGTATAGGAACAGTTATTAAGAAGTAAAAAATATACACACTTGCTCTGATATTCTGGGTCAGTCAGACCCTGAATATTCTATTTTCAGAAATAAGTTCAGGCTATCCTTTCTTACCCTTATAACTAAACTATGTGAAAGTGCACTGCCCTCAATAAAAATATACATGAAGAAGATATGACAAACACTAAACTTGTCACACCAAGGCAAAAATTTCTTTACTTCATAGCAGACTTCACATAGGAAATCCGAGTAATTTGTTTTTGTTCTAAGAGTATTTGTAAACTGTCTCAAACCTGTCTCCATAATCCATTGACAAGTCTAGTGATATTTTTCCTGTCAAGACATTACCTCTTATCATGAAGCTTCCTGTTGTCAAATATTCTCCAGTTGGTGCTGTTTTAGATACCTGAAGAACACAATAATACATTATATTCTTATTTAAAAAAATACTCTAGTTTTCTTTTTCCACTTGAGGAGAAAGTAAAGTCAGAGTCAAGTAAGCCACACTGTCTTCTGAAAAGTTTATAATTTCGTACAAATTCTCAATACTAAAGGGAAAGATACCCCTTTAATGACAGATAAGCCTTTGGAAGTAACAAAGAAAAAAACAAAGAATCCACTACATCAATAATTTTCTTTCTTTTTTTTTTTTTTTGAGATGAAGTCTCACTCTGTTGCCCAAGCTGAAGTGCAGTGGCACAATCTCGGCTCACTGTAACCTCCACCTCCTTGGTTGAAGTGATTCTCCTGCCTCAGCCTCCTGAGTAGCTGGGACTACAGGCACGCACCACCATGCCCAGCTGATTTTTGTATTTTTAGTAGAGACGGGGTTTCACTATGTTGGCCAGGCTGGTCTTGAACTCCTAACCTCATGATCCGCCTGCCTCGGCCTCCCAAAGTGCTGGGATTACAGGCGTGAGCCACTATGCCCGGCAATAATTTTCAAATGCCATGGACGACAGCCAGAACTGGTCCACTCATCTCTTCCAGCATGAGATGTAATGAGAAAACTAAGGATAGGTTAATGAGCTTATCATAAAGCTATGTTTACTAAAATAAAGCTCTATTTATTAAATAAAATCCTTGTCTAAGATACTGTTTTTGATAATAAAGTTTTGCCTTTTTTTTTTTTTTGAGACAGAGTCTCACACTGTCACCCAGGCTGGAGTGCAGTGGCTTGATCTTGGCTCACTGCAATCTCCACCTCCCAGGTTCCAGAGATTCTCCTGCCTCAGCCTCCCAGGTACCTGGGATTACAGGTGCGCACCACCACGCCCGGCTAATTTTTGTATTTTTTAGTAGAGACGGGGTTTCACCATATTGGCCAGGCTGGCCTTGAACTCCTGACTTCATGATCTGCCCACCTTGGCCTTCCAAAGTGCTGGGATTACAGGCATGAGGCAAAAGTAACCTTTGTCTATATGAAATAGCAGATTTTTAAAAATATATCCTATTTTGGCAAAACAGAAAGTGAGTAAACTTATCCCATAATTTAAAAAAATTTTGGGGCCAGGTACAGTGGCTCACACCTGTAATCCCAGCACTCTGGGAGGCCAAGGCAGGTGGATTGTGAGGTCAGGAGTTCAAGACCAGCCTGGCTAAGATGGTGAAACCCTGTCTCTACTAAAATTAGCCAGGCGTGGTGGTGGGTGCCTATAATCCCAGCTACTCGGGAGGTTGAAGCAGAGAATTGCTTGAACCCAGGAGGCAGAGGTTGCAGTGAGCCGAGATCACGCCATTGCATTCTAGCCTGGGTGACAGAGCAACATTCCATCTCATAAAAAAAAAAAATTTATACATCTGTGAAACCCCCAAATCTTGAGAGTATCTTTATTAGTCATAGTTATTAAAATAGCAAGGGGCCAAGTGTGCTAGCTCATGCCTGTAATCCCAGCATTTTGGGAGGCGGAAGCAGGAGGATCACTTGAGGCCAGGAGTTTGAGACTGGCCTGGCCAACATGGCAAAACCCCATCTCTACAAAAATAGAAAAAGTAGCCAGGTATGGTGGGACACTCCTGTAGTCCCAGCTACTCAGGAGGCAGAGGCAGGAGAATCGCTTGAACCCAGGAGGCGGAGGCTGCAGTGAGCTAAGATTGCACCACTACACTCCAGCCTGGACAACAGAGCAAGACTCCATCTCAAAACGAACAAACAAACACAAAAAACCAGCAAGGGATTAAAAACACTAAATTTCATTCTAAAAAATTTCTTAATGAAAGAATTAAAACCACTTTTATAACAGCACTGAGGTAGCAATTTATAATCCCCCTATATGACAATATCACAGCACAGCATATAATATAAAAAGATATAAAAATGAAACTAAATCTAAGGGAGTATAATGAAACTGAATTCTTTTTATCCTACTGTACAGCTTTAGGAACTTATAAAAGTACATCATCATCAATTATAATTCTCAAAAGTATGATAAGAAATCAATAGCAATGTGAGGTCAAATATAGAATGAAGTATCACCAAACTCAACAGCACTGGCCAGGCACCATGGCTCATGCCTGTAATCTCAGCATTTTGGGAGGCTGAAGCAAGAGGACCACTTAAGGTCAGGAATTCGAGACCAGCTTGGCCAACATGGTGAAACCTCATCTCTATAAAGAAAAAAAAAAATGCAAAAAAACCCCAACAACATCATTAACCACAAAGAAGGGCAATTAATAAAAACAAGTGAATTTAAAAAAAAAAACAAACAGGATATGCCTACTTTTCTGGAAGTGCCCAAGAGAATTCAGAATATTCCAACAAAGATGAACAGAAGAAAGGCCTTTTAGGTCAGTATGCCAATAATAATCAATAATAACTGGAACACTCTTTATCCTGTATAATTGTGTGGATCACTCTCTCTTCATTTACCTCTCTGCTCAAATCCTACCTTCCTAGAAAGGTTCCCCCAATACTTCATCCAAAACGGTATCCCCTATCACTCTCTATCCCCTTCCATGCTTTTAAAAACACTATTTTATGGCACTTATTACCTGACATTATGTACATATTTTCCTCTACCAAAAAGAGTTAGCTCTATTGAGCCTTGTCTGCTTTATTTACTTCTATACTCTCAAAATTTGGCACACAGTAGCTCTTAGTAAATTAAGAAAAAGGACAAGAGCCCTTATTACCTGATGATGGTACACCCACCAAGCACTAGTGATAACTCGTGCATCCCAAGCAGCACTGTAGCAAAGTGCCATTGTGCCAGCTTCAGTCAAGGTCCGTGGGGGGATGGGTTCTCCTAGAATAACAATGCATAATGTTTCAATACCAAAGTATGGACTTTCTCCAGAGCAAGATATGAAAATCACATGCCGCATGACAGGGTCAATGATATGTGTATATATATATATATATATATATATTTTTTTTTTTTTTTTTTTTTTTGAGATGGAGTTTCGCTCTGTTGTTCTGGCTGGAGTGCAATGGCGCAATCTCAGCTCACTGCAACCTCCGCCTCCCGGGTTCAAGCAATTCTCTGCCTCAGCCTCCCGAGTAGCTGCAATTACCAGCGCCCGCCACCATGCCCGGCTAAATTTTTGTATCTTTAGTAGAGATGGGGTTTCACCATCTTGGTCAGGCTGGTCTTGAACTCCTGACCTCATGATCCACCCACCTCGGCCTCCCAGAGTGCTGGAACTACAGGCATGAGCCACCGAACCCGGCCGGTCAATCACATATCTTAAATACTAATACATTTTTACTTCACCATTATAAAAAGTTACTATTTTAATTAAAAATGTATTTTTAATACTCCTATTTACAGAGCAAGCTTTTAAATGACCTACGTAAATAAAACATGTCAGAGAAGAAATATCCTCTCACATCAATAATTCTAACTTCACTCCAGAAAAGATAATTTAGAGAAATCCATTTAAAGTTTGAAGACTTCCAAAATTAAAATAGATTGGCTGAATCATGAACATGAAGAGCATATATGAATAACATGTCCCTTATGGTTAGATTTCAAATATTTTTAAATTGGGGTATAATTCACATGCCATAAAATTCACCCCTTTAAAGTATACAATTCAGTGGCTTTTTGTATATTCATAATGCTGTGTGACCATGACCATCAATACTATTTAATTCCAGAATATTTTCATCATCCCAGAAAAGAAACCCTATATTCATTAGCAGCCACTCCCCATTTTCTCCTCTGTACCCAGCCCCTGGCAATTACTAATCTATTTTCTGTCTCTATGGTTTTGCCTATTTTGGACATTTCATACAAATGTAATCATACACAGCATTTTAGGTTTGGCTTCTTTCACTTAGCTTAATGTTTTTCAAGATTCATCCATGTTAAAAGCACATATAAGTACTTCTGTTCTTTGCAAGTCTGAATAATATTCCATTATATGGATATATCACATTTTGTTTATTCATTAATTGAATGACATATGGATTGTTTCCATTTCTTGGCTATTATAAATAATGCTGCTATCAATATCTGCAAACAAGTTTTGTGTAGACACATACCTTTGCTCATCTTGGGTATATACCTAAGAGAGGAATTGCTGGGTCAATTATGTTTAACATTTTTTGGAACTGCCAAACCACTTCCCACAGCAGCTGTATCATTGTCCATTCCTACCAGCAGTATTCTATGTTCTCCACCATCATCACCAACACGTGTTATTGTTTTCTCCAGCATCATCACCAGCACATGTTAGTGGGTATAAAGTGGTATCTTGTGATTTTTTTTTTTTTTTTTTTTTGAGACGGAGTCTCTCTCTTTTCACCCCGGCTGGAGTGCAGTGGCGTGATCTCGGCTCACTGCAACCTCCACCACCTGGGAAGTGATTCTCCTGCCTCAGCCTCCTGAGTAGCTGGGATTACAGGCATGCACCACTACGCCCGGCTAATTTTTATATATATATATTTTTTTACTAGGGATGGGGTTTCACTATACTGGCCAGGCTGGTCTCAAACTCCTGACCTCAAGTGATTTACCTGCCTCTGCCTCCCAAAGTGCTGGGATTACATGCATGAGCCACAGCGCCTGACTGGTATCTTGTGATTTTGATTTAAATTTTCCTAATAACTGATGATACTGAGAATCGTTTCATGTGATTGTTGGCCATTCACGTATCTTTGCAGAAATATCCATTCAAATCTCTTGCTCATTTTTCAGCTGGGTTACTTCCCTTTCTATTGTTGAAACTTAGGAATTCTTTGGACACTAGACTCATCAGATATATGATTTGCAAATATTTTCTCTTATTCTGTGGGTTGTCTTTTTACTTTCTTGATAATGTTCCTTGGATTAAGGTTTTATTTATTTATTTTATTTTTTGAGACAGAATTTCGCTCATTGCCCAGGCTGGAGTGCAATGATGCCATCTCAGCTCACTGCAACCTTCGCCTCCAGGGTCCAAGCGATTCTCCTGACTCAGCCTCCCAAGTAGCTTGGATTACAGGCACCCGCCATCATACCAGGCTAATTTTTCATATTTTTTAGTTGATACAGGGTTTCACCATGTTGGCCAGGCTGGTCTCGAACTCTTGACCTCAGGTGATCCACCTGCCTCGGCCTCCCAAAGTGTTGGGATTACAGGCATGAGCCACCGTGCCGGGCTGAATTAAGGTTTTTAATTTTATGTCTAACTTACCTGTTTTTTGTTTGATTACTTATGATTTTGGTATCATATCTAAGAAATTACTGCATGATACAAGATCATAAAAATTTATGCCTTGTTTTCTTCTAGCAGCTTTATACTTCTGGCTTTTAAGTTTAGGTCTTGGATGCATTTTAAGTTAATTTTTATAAATGGTGTGATTAAGAGGTCTAACCTCAATCTTTTGCATGTGGATATCTAGTAGTGCCATACTACCGTTAAAAAGTTAAGCCACTGACTGGCAGAAAATACTTGCAAAAGACATAGCAGATAAAAGATTGTTATCTAAAATATAAAAAAACTCTTAGAACTCAACAGTAAAAACACAAACAGCCCAATTAACAAATGGGCCAAAGACTTTTAACAGATACTGCATCGAAGATATACATATGAATATCTAATAAGCATATGAAAAGATGCTCTGCATCATATGTCACCAAGGAAATGCAAATTACAACAACATTGAAATACACTATGCATCAATGATAATGGCCAAAATCCAAAACACTGACAACACTAAATTCTGGTGGCAGTGGAACAACAGGAACTCCCATTGCTGGTGGTGATGTAAAAGGGTACAGCCACTTTAGAATAGACAGTCTGGTGGTTTCTTACAAAACTAAAAATACTCTTACCATGTGATTCAACAATATTGATGTTTGGTATTTACCAAAATGAACTGAAAACTTATATCTGTACAAAAACCTGCACAGATGTTTATAGTAGCTTTATTCATATTGCCAAAACATGGGGGCAACCAAATTCAGTAGATTAATGGATAAACTGTGGTTCATCCAGACAACTGAATATTATTCAGGGATAAAAAGAAATGAGCTATCAAGCCATGAAGAGACATGGAGGAAAGGTAAAAGCATACTACTAAGTGAAGAAGCCAGCCTTTAAAGATCAGTGGTTGTCGGGGGTTGGGGGAAGGGAGGGATGAACAGGCAGGGCACAGAGGACTTTTTTAGCACAACCAAACTAAATCTGTATGATAATACAATGGCAGATACATGTTTTACACATTTGTCCAAACTCAAAGACTATATACATCAAGAGTGAACCCTGGCTGGGCTTGGTGACTCATGCCTGTAATCCCAGCACTTTGGGAGGCTGAGGTGGGCAGAACACTTGTCAGGAGTTCGAGACCAGCCTGGCCAACATAGTAAAACCCTGTTTCTTCTAAAAATACAAAAACTAGCTGGGTGTGGTGGCACGTGCCTGTTAATTCCAGCTACTCTGGAGGCTGAGGCAGGAGAATCGCTTGAACCTGGGAGGCAGACGTTGCAGTAAGCTGAGATTACGCAACTGCACTCCAGGCTGGGCAACAGAGCGAGACTCTGTCTCAAAAAAAGAGAGTGAACTCTAATGCAAACTATGGACTCTGGGCCATAATGATGTGTCAATGTAGGTTCATTAGTTGTAACAAATGTACCGTTCTGGTGGGGGATATCGATAATAGGGGAGGCTACGCATGCATGCAGCAGGGGGTATGAGGGAAATCACTATACATTCTGCTCAATTTTGTTGTGAACCTAAAACTGGTCGAAAAAAATGTCTATTTAAAAAAAGAGGCCGGGTGCGGTGGCTCGTGCCTGTAATCCCAGCACTTTGGGAGGCTGAGGCGGGCGGATCACAAGGTCAAGAGATCAAGACCATCCTGGCTAACACGGTGAAAACTCGTCTCTACTAAAAATACAAAAAATTAGCCGGGCGTGGTGGAGGGCGCCTGTAGTCCCAGCTACTCGGGAGGCTGAGGCAGGAGAATGGTGTGAACCCAGGAGGCAGAGCTTGCATGAGCCGAGATCACACCACTGCACTCCAGCCTGGGTGACAGTGCAAGACTCCATCTCAAAAAACCAAAAACAAAAAATTAAAAAAAGAAAAAAAGAAAGAGGAAATTCTATCCCCATTGGTCTTGGCACCCCTGCTGAAAATTAACTGACCATAAACTACAGGTTTATTTCTGGAATCTCGATTCTATCCCTTGATCTATTTGTCCATCCTCATGCCAGTACCAGTGTCCTGATTACTGTTACTCTGTAGAAAGCTTTAAAATCAGGAAACATGAGTCCTTCAAAATTTGCTCTTCATTTTCAATACTGCTTTCGCTAATCTGAGTCTCCTTGCATTACCACATGAATTTTAGAATCAGCTTCTCCATCTCTGAAAAAATAAAATAAAATAAAATGCAGGGCCAGGGGCAGTGGCTCATGCCTGTAATCCCAGTACTTTAGGAGGTCAAAGTGGATGGACTGCTCGAGCTCAGGAGCTCGACACTAGTCTGGACAACATGGCAAAACCTCATCTCTACAAAAAACACAAAAATAAGTTGGGCACAGTGGCAAATGTCTATGGTCCCAACTACTCAGGAGGTTGAGATGGGAGGATCGCTTCAGCCTGAAAGTTCAAGGCTGCAGTGAGCCAATCGCACCACTTTATTACAGCCTGGGTGACAGGAGACCCTGTTTCAAAACAAAACAAAAAAAGCAGCTGCAATTTTGAGAGGGATTACAGTGAATTCCTAGATTACTGGGGAGTACTGCTATCAGAACAATATTAAGACTTCCAATACATATACATGGGATGTCCAATTTAGGTCTTTAATTCCTTAAAATAATTTTATAGTTTGTTATCTATAAGCGTTGTAAGTCTTTTGGTAAATTGATTCCTAAGTATTTTATTCTTTTTAATGCTAATTATAAATTGAATTGTTTTATTAATTTCCTTTTCAGATTGTTCACTGGTAGTGTACAGAAATACAACTGATTTTTGTTTACTGATCTCATATCCTGGACATTGCTGAACTTGTTTATTAGCTCTGATAATTACTGGTAGATTCTTTAGGTTTTTTAAATGTGTGTGACCATATCAACTGTAAACATAGGTAGCTTTACTTTTGCCTAATTTGGATTTTTTTTTCTTTTTATTGCCTAATGACCTATATAGAACCACCAGTATAATGTTAAATAGAAATGGCAAGAACAGACATATTTGTCTTATTACTGATGGGAGGAGGAAGGTACCCAATCTTTCAGCATTAAGTATGATTGTTAGCTGTCGGTTTTTCATAAATGCTTGTTTACCAAGTTGAGGAATATCCCTTCTATTCCTAGTTTGCTGAGTGTTTTTATCACAAACAAATGTTGAATTTTGTCAAATGGTTTTTCTTCATAAGTTGAGATAATCCATGTGTGTTTTTTGTCCTTTATTAGTAGATTATATTACATTAATTTCCATATACTGAACCAAGCTTTCATTCCTGAGATAAATTACGCTTTGTCATCGTATATAGTCATTTTAATATGCTGCTAGATTCAGTTTGCTAATATTTTGTCAAAGATTTTTGTCTATATTTATAACCGGTATTGGTCTGTAGTTTTCTTGTGTTATCTTTGGTTTTGTAATACTGGCCTTGTAGAATGGGTTAGGAAGTGTTCCCACTGATCCTATTTTTTGGAAGAGTTTGTGAAGAACTGGCATTCAACCTTCTTTATAATTCACCAGTGAAGCCATCTGGCCTAGGGTTTTCTTTGATGAGTATTTTTTTAATGTTTTTCTTTATTATTAATCCAATCTCTGTACTTACAGGTTTATTTCAATTCTCTATTTCTTCTTGAGTCAGTTTTAGTATTTATATCTTTCTAGGAATTTGTCCATTTCATCTAGGTTACATAATCTGTTGGTATATAATTGTTCATGGTATTCCCTTATAATCCTTTCAATATCTGTAAAGTCGGAAGTAATGTTCCCTATTTCATTCCTGATTTTAGGGATTTGAGTCCTCTATTTTCTTGGTCAGTCTAGCCAAGGGTTTATCAATTTTGTTTATCTTTTCAAAGAACCAACTTGGGTTTTGTTCATTTTCTCTATTTTTTTCCTATTCTCTGTTTTGTTCATTTCTACTCTAATATTTACTATTTTCTTCCTTCTCCTTGCTTTGGGTTGTTTTTCTAGTTCTTAAGGTGCAAAGTTAGGTTACTGATTTGAGATCTTTCTTCTTTTTAAATATAGGCATTTATAGCTATAAATTACCCCCTAAGGGCTGCTCTTCTTGCATCTCATAAGTTTTGACACACTGTATTTTCATTTCGTTCATCTCAAAGTGTTTTGTGGCATCTTTTGTGATTTCCTCTTTGTTCCATTGCTTATTTATAACTGTGGTATTTAATTTCCACATACTTACGAATTTAAAACATTTTCTCTACTCCTGGTTTCTAATTTCACCCCATTATAGTCAGAAAACTTACTTTGTCTAATTTCAACAGTTTTAAATGTATTGAGGCTTTTTTTTTTTGAGATGGAGTCTCGCCCTGTCGCCCAGGCTGGAGTGCAATGGCACCGTCTCAGCTCCTGGGTTCAAGCGATTCTCCTGCCTCAGCCTCCCGAGTAGCTGGGACTACAGGCGTGTGCCACCACACCCAGCTAATTTTTTGTATTTTTAGTAGAGACAGGGTTTCACCATGTTAGCCAGGTTGGTCTCAACCTCCTGACCTCACAATCTGCTTGCCTCAGCCTCCCAAAGTGCTGGGATTACAGGTGTGAGTCACCGCATCCAGCCGAGGCTTGTTTTATAGACTATCCTATGGTCTACCCCAGAGAATATTTCATGTGCACTTAAGAATACAGGGTGAGCACCCCAAACCTGAAAATCCAAAATGCTCCAAAATCTAAAACTTTCTGAGTGCAGCATGATGACTCAAAGAAAATGCCCACTGGAGTTTGCTAGAAACGTTTTGCAGCATTTTGAATCTGTGATTTTTGGATTTGGGATGCTCAACTGGTAAGTATAATGCAAATACTTCAAAATATAAAAACACTCTGGTCCCAAGCATTTCAGATAGGATACTCAACCTGTATGGTGCTGCTATTAAGTAGAGTATTCTAGAGATGTCTGTTAGATTTAGTTTACAGTGTTGTTCAAGTCTTCCATTTCCTTGCTGATTCTGTGTCCAGTTATTCTATCTATGACTGAAAGTTGGGTATTAAAGTCCTCAACTATTATTGTAGAACTATCTCTCTCTCCCTTCAATTCTGTCAGGTTTGCTTTATGCATTCTAGGGCTCTGTTATTAGCAGCACATATGTTTATAATTGTTACATCTTCTTGATAAGACTGATCCTTTTATCATTACATCTTTTTTTATTAGGTGTGTGTGTGTGTGTGTGTGTGTGTGTGTGTGTGTCACCCAAGCTGATCCTCCCACCTCAGCTTTCTGTAGCTGGGACTACAGGTGCATGCCACTGCACCCAGCTTTTTAAAAAAATTTTTCTAGAGATGAGGTTTCACTTTCTTGCCCAGTCTGGTCTCAAACTCCTGGCCTCAAATAATCCTCACACTTCAGCTTCCCAAAGTGCTGGGATTACAGGCATGAGCCACCACATCTGGCCCTCTATTAAATTTTTGTCTTACAGTCACACTAAAAATATTTTAAAGAAAGGAACAGGAATTCTGAATAGAAAGAAATATATTACCTGTTGGATTCTTAATTACACAGCTAGTAGCTCCATGAAGATCAGCATGTACATAAATGTCTCCTTAAATACAGACAAATAAAAAATGACACTTTAAGTCCTAATTATTCTTTTTTCCTTTTTTTTTTTTCAGATGGAGTCTCGCTCTGTCGCCCAGGCTGGAGTGCAGTGGCACGATTTCAGCTCACTGCAACTTCTGCCCCCAAGGTTCAGGCAATTCTCCCACCTCAGCCTCCCAAGTAGCTGGGATTACAGGCGTGCACCACCACGTCCAGCTAATTTTTTTGGTATTTTTAGTGGAGACAGGGTTTCACCATGTTGGCCAGGCTGTTCTTGAACTCCTGACCTCAGGTGATCCACCTGCCTCAGCCTCCCAAAGTGGCTGAGATTACAGGCGTGAGCCACCACGCCCGGCCAAGTCCTACTTCTAGGTGTGAAAAATGATTGCAAACTTTAACACCACTACAGTAAGCTTTTAAAAATTTGACCTACAATAACTTTGAAGACTGAAAGTTATTCTGTTAATGTAATGTACTGAAAGTCCAACACTGCAGATTAGCTCAGCAATACCATTTTAGGAATATTCACTTAAGAACTAAAAGCATCAAAACACATATGCAACAAACCATGAAGCATCATGCATCAAATCTTTCTACTAGTTAAATCTATCAAACAGAAGAGTATAACAAGAAAATCAATGCCTAATATTGAGATAACTGATCCAAACATTCAAGAGAAAATTTTTCCGAATTTTAATCTTACCTACCTGGTGTCAAGTATCTTTTCACAATTATTTCATTCTGTTGCTGATCTCGTCCACCTATAATTAGATAGTTCTCTGAGCTAATGAACCACAGAAATTTCTCAAACCTATCAAAATGAAAGAAAAAAAGTTAACTTTTCTTTATAGCTGCCTGAATTCATACCCTTTTTGCAAACAAAACAAAACAGGAAGCTATTTAAGACAAGTTGATGGTTTAATTTTTTTAAGGCATCAAGCTTAATTTTACTAAAAACCTATAATACAAATTGCCCTAGGATATTCTTTAGACAGTCTTAGAAAAAAGAAATTAAATTCTATGTTTAAAAAAGTTATCTCCTTACTCCATATAGCCTTCTTAAACTCAACTTCTAACAATAAATTTCATAAAGCAAAAGTATAAAATGTCATATGGTCCTTAGGTTTAGCTTTCTTTTAGTGAGGCACTGAATAGGCTTTAGACCACTAATAAGAAAGAAATGTTGTTTTCCCACTCTGCTCTCAATAAATGAACGTAATTAATCTTTAATATGATATTCTTTACATTTTTTTAAATACAAAAGACCAAAAATTGTCCTTAGGAGGATAAAATTACAACTTTTCTCAAAAGACAAAATAACTTGGGTTTTCATGATTAATACCTGCAAGATAAAAAGTACAGAGTATATTATCTGTATGACATTTAGAAAATGACATGCAAGACAGATGAACATAAATACTTGCTACATTATATATGACTACAGAGATTATCTTCTGTATGATTTAATCCACACTTTTTAAAACTTTTGGTTAAAAATGGTAGACTAAGCACAGATACTTAACTTAAACTCCCTAATATAATAGTGAAAGGACTTTACTATTTTCTAATCTGATTTTTTGATTGGGTAACACATACTCATGGTTGAATAAATTTTTTTACTTATATAAAAAAGGTCAGCTGGACACGGTGCCTCACGCCTGTAATCCCAGCACTTCGAGAGGCCAAGGTGGGCGGATCACGAGCTCAGGAGATCGAGACCATCCCGGTTAACATGGTGAAAACCCGTCTCTACTGAAAATATGAAAAATTAGCCGGGTGTGGTGACAGGCGCCTGTAGTCTCACCTACTCGGGAGGCTAAGGCAAAAGAATGGGGTGAACCTGGGAGGCGGAGCTTGCAGTGAGCTGAGATGGCACCCCTGCACTCCAGCCTAGGCAACAGAACGAGACTCTGTCTCAAAAAATAAATAAATAAAAAACAAAAAATATAAAAAAGATAGTGAGAGATCCTGCATCCCTTCAGTTCCTGTCACTACACCAAAGAGGGAGCCATTGTGACTGGCTTCCTGAGTATCCGTCTCAAGATTCTTTATACATAGAAAAGCTAAAATATTTATCCCAATCTTCTCTTTTTTGTTGCGGGAAGTCAGGGACCCTGAACAGAGGGACCAGCTGGAGCTGTGGCAGAGGAATATAAATTGTGAAGATTTCATGGACATTTACCAGTTCCCAAACAATACTTTCACAATTTCTTACGCCTGTCTTACTTTAATCTCTTAATCCTGTCAATCTTTTGTCCTTTGCCTTGTGATCTTTGCTTTTGCCCTTTGCCTTGTGATCTTTGTTGGACCCTTATCAGGA
Organism: Homo sapiens; assembly: GCF_000001405.40. Lineage (NCBI taxonomy): Eukaryota > Metazoa > Chordata > Mammalia > Primates > Hominidae > Homo > Homo sapiens. The sequence continues at coordinate 49,816,367 of NC_000014.9, forward strand.
GTTTCTGATTTTGCCCTTGTCCTGTTTCCTCAGAAGCATGTGATCTTTGTTCTCCTTTTTGCCCTTTGAAGCATGTGATCTTTGTGACCTACTCCCTGTTCTTGCACCTCCCTCCCCTTTTGAAATCCTTAATAAAGCTTGCTGGCTTTAAGGCTCAGGTGGGCATCATGGTCCTACGGATACGTGATGTCACCCCCAGCAGCCCAGCTGTAAAATTCCTCTTTGTACTCTTTCTCTTTATTTCTCAGCTGGCTGACACTTAAGGAAAATAGAAAGAACCTATGTTGAAATACTGGAGGTGGGTTTCCCTGATACATTTTTAGACATAGCACAAACTGTTCTGAATATTGCTTTTTTCACCTAAAAGTACATTTTCTTCATTGCTGAATGGATGCACTACACTTACTTAACCATTCCCCTACTGATAGTAAAGAGGTTTGTAAAAAGACAAAGACATAGGGACAAAAAGAATGGGAGAGAAAAATCAAAGATGTATTTTGTAATCATCCTAGTAAGGGAATGTATAGCCAACAAGTCAATAAAAAGTAGTCAATCAAAAGAAGGCAATAATGAAGACAAAAGAGGACACAGAACAAATGGGACAAGCAAAAAGCAAACAGTAAGATGGGTGGATTTAAACCCAAATATATCAGAGATTACATTAAATATAAATGCATTAAATGCCCAGGTAAAAGGCAAAGACTGTCAGACTGGAAAACAATGACAATGATATATATGATGCTCCTTTAAAATATAAGGATGGAAAGGTTGAAATATAATGATGAAAAAAGACAGGCCAGGCGCGGTGGCTTATGCCTGTAATCCCAGCACTTTGGGAGGCCAACGCAGGCATATCACTTGAGGTCCAGAGTTTGAGACCAGCCTGGCCAACATGATGAAACCTCATCTCTAATAAAAATAGAAAAATTAGCCAGGCATGGTGGTGGGCGCCTGTAATCCCAGCTACTCAGAGGGCTGAGGCAGAATTGCTTGAACCCAGGAGGCAGAAGTTGCAATGAGCCAAGATTGCACCACTGCACTTCAGCCTGGGTGACAGAGCAAGACTATGTCTCAAAAAACAAAAAACAAACAAATAAAAAAGATATACCATGTAAACACTAACCAAAAGAAAGCTCATCTAGTTACACCTGACAAACAAGGAAAAAATAGTTACAAGTTAGAAGGACATTTCATTAAAGTTGATAAAAGACTCAATTAATTAGGAAGACGTAACAGTTATATAGTTTTATCACCTAATTACATTGTCTCATATATAAAAAGCAAAAACTGGCAGAAGTAAAAGGAGAAATGGACAAATTCGCAGAATATTATAAACTTTCTGCCAATATATTTTAAACTTTAGACAAAGTCTTTAAAAAAACACTGCTTACCAAAACTAGGAAATTTGAACAGTCCTTACATTTACTAAATAATTTGAATCTGCAATGACAAGCTTTCCCAAAGAAAACTCCAGGACTACTCAGCTTCACAGGTGAATTTCATCAGCTATTTAAGAACAACTGAAAAAGGAACACTTTCCAACTTGTTTTATGAGGCAATATGACCTTGATACCAATACCCAACAAGAACATTACAAGAAATGAAAACTACAGGATAATCCTAGTCATCAACAGAGATGTCAAACAAAACAGAGAGGGAGAAGAGACAAATACAACCAAATTTTGAAAGCTGGAAAACAAATGGACAAGTGATGAGACTTTTTTTTTTTTTTTTTTTCCGAGACAGAGTCTCGCACTGTCACCCAGACTGGAGTGCAGTGGCCCGATCTCGGCTCACTGCAAGCTCCGCCTTCTGGGTTCACGCCATTCTCCTGCCTCAGCCTCCCGAGTAGCTGGGACTACAACAGGCGCCCGCCACCACGCCCGGCTAATTTTTTTTGTATTTTTAGTAGAGACGGGGTTTCACCGTGTTAGCCAGGATGGTCTCGATCTCTTGACCTCGTGATCCGCCCTCCTCGGCCTCCCAAAGTGCTGGGATTACAGGCGTGAGCCACTGCGCCCGGCTGTGATCAGACTTAAGAAGCTGAATCCTAAGCTGATGGTGAAAAAAGCAACAACTAAATTTGCAATGTAAAACTCATAAAAGGATAAACAAATGGCAGCACAAACACTTAAGGAAATAAGAGTTTAAGATGGGAATGAAAACAGGAGGACTGGCTGAGAGTCTGTTCAAGAAGCAGTTAGTTCCATATATGTTCTTTCCAGCTAATTCCTGTTCCATTTCCTAACAGAAGGCCAGAGGTTAATTTCTCTAGAAAGGGTATAAAGAAGATCTCTGGACAAGGGTAAATGTGGCACAGCTATATAATCAGGAGTAATATATGTAAAATACAGCAAATAAGTAAATGAATTATGGATCCTAAGACTCTCAGCCTATTATTTCCACTGGGCTCCCCAAATGCTGCAGCAGCCAGGTCTTCACCTTACAAGCAGGAGAAAAAAAGAATCTTTTCTGGGAAATGAGACTAGCTCAAGGGGAAAAGGGCTAAAGACAATGAGGATTCTACACAAAATGGCCAACACAGATCATTTCACAAGCCCAACCACCCAGGGAACTTCCAAACAGCATTTAAATACCCTACCATAAAATGTAAAACGTTGAACAGACAATCAAGGAGCACCAGACACTAATATGAAAGATGGAGACAAAAGCAACATTTTTAAAAAAGTGCCTGTAGTCCCAGCTACTCAGCAGCCTGTGCCACAGAGCGAAACTCTGTCTCCAAAAGAAAAAAAGAAAAGGAGGGTGCGGTAGGGCTGATGTAGGTATGTCAAAAACTAACAAGTTACAGTAACATGAGTAACTCTAGACATCCAATATATGGCATGAGGAATACAGTTAACAATACTGTATTACATATTGGAAATTTGCTGAGAGTATATTTTTAAGTGCTCTTACCAGACACACAAAAAACAGAGTAACTACGTGAGATGATGCATATGTTAATGTGCTTGACTGTTTCATTTCATTATGCATATGTATATAATAAAAACATATTATAGACCATATATATATATATATATATATATATATGTTTATTTTTTTGAGATGGAGTCTCGCTCTGTTGCCCAGGCTGGAGTGCAGTGGCACAGTCTTGGCTCACTGCAACGTCTGCCTCCCAGGCTCAAGTGATCCTCCCACCTCAGCCTTTCAAGTAGCTGGGACTACAGGTGTGCACAACCACACCTAGCTAATTTTTGTATTTTTGTAGAGACGGGGTTTCGCCATGTTGCCCAGGCTGGTCTCGAACTCCTCACCTCAGGTTATCTGCCCGCCTATGGTCTCCCAAAGTGCTGGGATTACAGGCGTGAGCCACCGCACCTAGCCTATCCCTGTCTTTATAGAAACATTGTGAAAAGGAGAGAGTTCTGAATGTTGATGTCCCTGAGGTAGAGCAATTGCATGTACCCAAAATCTGTGTGTTTTCATTTGTGAGCATCTAGTCCAGTGCCCTCCCTTCACTTGCTCTGAGGGTGTAGGATGTTGTGATACCCATTAGCTAATTACCTTTGGGAAATGATTTCAGAGGATTAGAATGCCACTTCAGCCACCCATTTTTTTTTTTTGTTTTTGTTTTTTTCTGAGACAGAGTCTCACTCTGTTGCCCAGACTGGAGTGCAGAGGCGCCATCTTGGCTCACTGCAACCTCCGCCTCCCAGGTTCAAGCGATTCTTCTGCCTCAGCCACCCGAGTAGCTTGGTCTACAGGCACAAGCCACCACACCTGGCTAATTTTTGTATTTTTAGTAGAAACGGGGGTTCACCTTATTGGCCAGGCTGGTCTCAAACTCCTGATCTTGTCATCTGCCCGCCTCGGCCTCCCAAAGTGCTGGGATAACAGGCATGAGCCACTGTGGCTGGCCCCCATTTCCTTTTGACAGCAGGCAAGTGTCTGTGTGTTTGTTGAAATGACACATTTGATCCTTTTTATGGCTCAAAGAAAAGTTAATGAATACCTTTTGAGTTTGGTGCCATGACAGAGTCATTCCTCAAACCTGTCAGCACTTACGCGTTGTCCTCTGGTCACTGCATGACTTCGCTGAAGTTCCTTACCCTCTCCGTTTCAGATTCTGAAAGTATTGTATCAAGAGCTAATAATCGGCTGGGCGCGGTGGCTCATGCCTATAATCCCGGCACTTTGGAAGGCCGAGGAGGGTGGATCACTTGAGGTCAGGAGTTCGAGACTAGCCTGGCCAATATGGTGAAATCCATCTCTACAAAAAGTACAAAATCCCCTCTCCCCTCTCTCCTCCCCCTTCCACGGTCTCCCTCTCATGCCGAGCCAAAGCTGGACTGTGCTGCTGCCATCTCGGCTCACTGCAACCTCCCTGCCTGATTCTCCTGCCTCAGCCTGCCGAGTGCCTGCGATTGCAGGTGCGTGCCGCCACGCCTGACTGGTTTTCGTATTTTTTTGGTGGAGATGGGGTTTCGCTGTGTTGGCCGGGCTGGTCTCCAGCTCCTAACCACGAGTGATCCGCCAGCCTCGGCATCCCAAGGTGCCGGGATTGCAGACGGAGTCTCGTTAACTCAGTGCTCCCCACCTGGGAAGTGAGGAGCGCCTCTTCCCGGCCGCCATCCCATCTAGGAAGTGAGGAGCGTCTCTGCCCGGCCGCCCATCATCTGAGATGTGGGGAGCACCTCTGCCCCGCCGCCCCGTCTGGGATGTGAGGAGCACCTCGGCCCGGCCGCGACCCCGTCTGGGAGGTGAGGAGCGTCTCTGCCCGGCCGCCCCGTCTGAGAAGTGAGGAGCCCCTCCGCCCGGCTGCCACCCCGTCTGGGAAGTGAGGAGCGTCTCCGCCCGGCAGCCACCACGCCCGGGAGGGAGGTGGGGGGGTCAGCCCCCGCCAGGCCAGCCGCCCCGTCCGGGAGGGAGGTGGGGGGCTCAGCCCCCCGCCCGGCCAGCCGCCCCGTCCGGGAGGGAGGTGGGGGGGGTCAGCCCCCCGCCCGGCCAGCCGCCCCGTCCGGGAGGGAGGTGGGGGGGGTCAGCCCCCCGCCCGGCCAGCCGCCCCGTCCGGGAGGGAGGTGGGAGGCTCAGCCCCCCGCCCGGCCAGCCGCCCCGTCCGGGAGGGAGGTGGGGGGGTCAGCCCCCCGCCCAGTCAGCCGCCCCGTCCAGGAGGTGAGGGGTGCCTCTGCCCGGCCGCCCCTACTGGGAAGTGAGGAGCCCCTCTGCCCGGCCAGCCGCCCCGTCCGGGAGGGAGGTGGGGGGGTCAGCCCCCCGCCCGGCCAGCTGCCCCGTCCGGGAGGGAGGTGGGGGGCTCAGCCCCCCGCCCGGCCAGCCGCCCCGTCCGGGAGGGAGGTGGGGGGCTCAGCCCCCCGCCCGGCCAGCCGCCCCGTCCAGGAGGTGAGGGGCGCCTCTGCCCGGCCGCCCCTACTGGGAAGTGAGGAGCCCCTCTGCCCAGCCACCACCCCGTCTGGGAGGAGGTACCCAACAGCTCATTGAGAATGGGCCATGATGACAATGGCGGTTTTGTGGAATAGAAAAGGGGGCAAGGTGGGGAAAAGATTGAGAAATTGGATGGTTGCTGTGTCTGTGTAGAAAGTAGTAGACATGGGAGACTTTTCATTTTGTTCTGTACTAAGAAAAATTCTTCTGCCTTGGGATCCTGTTGATCTATGACCTTACCCCCAACCCTGTGCTCTCTGAAACATGTGCTGTGTCCACTCAGGGTTAAATGGATTAAGGGCGGTGCAAGATGTGCTTTGTTAAACAGATGCTTGAAGGCAGCATGCTCGTTGAGAGTCATCACCACTCCCCAATCTCAAGTACCTAGGGACACAAACACTCTGCCTAGGAAAACCAGAGACCTTTGTTCACTTGTTTGCCTGCTGACCTTCCCTCCGCTGTTGTCCTATGACCCTGCCAAATCCCCCTCTGCGAGAAACACCCAAGAATGATCAATAAAAAAAAATAAAATAAAATAAAAATAAAAGAATGATGCACATTTTAATAAAAAAAAAAAAGAGGAAAAAAAAAAAGTACAAAAGTTAGCCGGGCATGGTGGCGCACACCTGTAGTCCCAGCTACTTGGGAGGCTGAGGCAGGAGAATCCCTTGAGCCTGGGAGGTGAAGGTTGCAGTGAGCCAAGATCGCACCACTGCACTCCAACATGGGCAACAGAGCTAGGACTCTGTCTCAAAGAAAAAAAAAGTAATAATGGCAGGGCCAGGCATGGTGGCTTTTATCTGTAATCCCAGCACTTTGGGAGGCTGAAGTGGGAGGATCACTTGAGCCCAGGAGTTCGAGATCAGCCTGGCCAACACTGAAAGATCCAGTCTCTACTTAAAAAAAAAAAAAAAAAAAAAAAAAAAAGAGGTAATGGTGGCCCTTTCCTCTCATTTATGCACTGCAGGGATGAAAAGGATGACAATGTCTATGTGTGTGATAGATTGTGGAAAGCCTACTGCCATGTTAAGTGAAGAAAGGGAGTATGTCTGCTGAAGAGATTAACTTCTGGTCTCCTATCAGTATGTGTGGTGTGGTAGGGGGACTGCATGACCTTAACTTTTTGTTCTTGAGAGGCCTAGCATTATCAGAGTCCCCTTAGAGATTTTTTTTTTTTTTTTTTTGGAGAAAGAGTCTTGCTCTGTCACCCAGGCTGGAGTGCAGTGGCACGATCTCGGCTTACTGAAACCTCTGCCTCCCAAGTTCAAGTGATTCTTGTGTCTCAGCCTCCCTAGTAGCTGGGATTACAGGCACCTGCCACCACACTCAGCTAATTTTTTTTGTATTTTTAGTAGAGATGGGTTTTCACCATGTTGGCCAGGTTGGTCTCAAACTCCTAACCCCCAGTGATCCACCTGTCTTGGTCTCCCAAAGTGCTAGGATTACATGGGTGAGCACCACTGTGCCCAGCCTAAATATATATAATTTAAAAAAATTTAAAAAGAAACAACTTGGAGAAGACAGAGACTTGCCAAAAAAGAATACTAAAAAAATTTAATACATCAAAACTATTCTCAGAGAGCTAAAAGAAACTAAAGCAGAAACTTATTTATTTTTTTAAAAAGGGTATATTCCAAGAACCAAAAAAAAAAAGTCCTCTCTTTTTTTGCCAGGAACATTATGTTGAAAAGAGAGTTCTTAAAATTAAAAACATGATAGGAAGTAATAAAATATTCAGTGGAAAGATTTGGTGGAAGATAAAGCTGAGGAAACTCCCAGGATGTAGAGCAAAACGATAGACTTGAAAATAGAAAATACAACAAAATTGGAGGACTGGTCTAGGGGGTTCCATATCTTAAAAACAAGATTTCCAGAAGGAAAAGAAAAAAGAAAGCAGAGGTCAGGCAGTTTTTCAAGAACTATTTCCAGAAAATGTCTCAGAACTGAAAGTTTCTGAATTAAAACAGCCCACAAAGTATCCAACATAATGGATTAAAACATCACCACCAACCCCAATTGTAAAATTTTGAAAAATTTGGAGAAAAAATTGGGAGGGGAGAAATATCTACAAGCTTGTAGAGAGGCAAAAACAAGTTTCATGTAAAATATCAACTATCAGCCAGGTGTGATGGCTCAAGCCTGTAATCCCAGCATTTTGGGAGGCTGAGGCGGGCAGATCACTTGAGGCCAAGAGTTAAGAGACCAGCATGGGCAACATGGCAGAAACCCTTCTCTACTAAACACACAAAAATTAGTTGGGCATGGTGGCGTGCACCTGTAATCCCAGCTACTCGGGAGGCTGAGACAGGAGAATCACTTGAACCCAGGAAGCGGAGGTTGCAGTGAGCCAAGATCATGCCACTGCACTCCAGCCTGGGCAACAAAGTGAGACTCTGTCTCAAAAAAAATAAAATAAATAAAATATCAACTATCAAAATAATACCAGATTTCTCAAGTTACTATAATGAAGCAATACCTTTAAAAGTCTGAGGAGGCGGGGCGTGGTGGCTCACGCCTGTAATCCCAACACTTTGGGAGGCTGAGGCGGGTGGAACACGAGGTCAGGAGTTTGAGACCAGGGTGGCAAGTAAGGTGAAACCCCATCTCTACTAAAAATACAAAAATTAGCCAGGCGTGGTGGTGGGTGCCTGTAATCCCAGCTACTCCAGAGGCTGAGGCATGAGAATCGCTTCAAACTGGAAGGCAGAGGTTACAGTGAGCCAAAGACTGCGCCACTGCACTCCAGCCTGGGCAATAAAAGTGAAATTCCGTCTCAAAAAAAAAAAAAAAAAGTCTGAGGAAAATATATTTTCATAGAATTCTATACTCAATTTTTTTTTTTAAGAGACGGGGTTTGGCATGTTGCACAGGCTAGTCTCGAACTCCAGAGGTCAAGAGGTCCACCCACCTCACCCTCCCAGAGTGCTGAGATTACAGGAATGGGCCACCATGCCCAGCCCACTCAAACTATAAGAGTAAAATGTTTTATACATTGGAGACCTCAAAAACTCTGCTTTCTATACACCCTTTCTTGTGAAGCTTCTGGAACACACACTCTTTCAACCAAGAAAGAAGTATGAGATCCAGAAAAGAGTTTCCAAAACAGAGAAGGATAAAGATAACAATAAAAAGAAAAGTGTACGATGCTTAGAGAGAACCAATATAAAATTAAGTAAGTCAAAAAGCTCCAGGAGAGACTTCTGACCTCTGCAAGATGATACTGATTGAATTCCAATGTGTCTGAACACACTTGGAAGATATTATTTAGATAAATTAGTGATAAGAACAAAAATAAAAAGCAAATGAAATGACAATTAATAACTCCAGGGAAGATTTTTAAAACTGAGCAAGGAAGGAAAAAGAAAACAGAATTCTATGTGGGTCAGCTATGACATATAAATTATATGACTACAATTTAAATATTTATAATGATGCCAATGCTATTAATCTTGACAAAATTATGCTGTAACTGTGTGTGTATGTAATGGAACACAAGTGGAAAGAGGGAAATCCTCATCTTTCCCAGTGGGAAGTTAGTAAGAATATAAAACAGAAAAATTAAGAAGTAGCAATATAAACATATTACTAAGATAAATAAAGGCAAATATCAAAAGAATCAACTAAAAGAGCTAAAAGTGGTTTCCTTCGGAGAGCAGGCAATAGGAGTAAAGGTGAGGAACTGGAGAACTAGCTGAGTGCAGAAGCGTATGCCTGTAATCCAGCACTGAGGCTGAGGCAGGAGGATCTCTTGAGCCTAGAAGTTTGAGACCAGCCTGGGCAACAAAGTGAGACCCTGCCTCTACAAAAAATTAAAAAATTAGCTGGGCACAGTGGCATGTGCCTGTAGTCTCAGCTACTTGGGAGGCTGAGGTGGGAGAACTGTCAGAGCCCAGGAGGTCAATGCTACAGTGAGCCATGTTCATGCCACTGTATTCCACCCTGGGTGACAGAGAACCTGTCTCAAACAAACCAACAAAAAATTGCAGAGCTACTGGTTTTGTAACAAGCTTTGTAGAACTGTTTGACTTTTCTAAACAATGTGCATGGATAATTTTAATAAAAACAAAAACTGTATTTGAAAGAGACAGAACACTTACCAATATACTTTTCTTGCTTTTTGAATAGAGGTAACAGTCTGAACTTCTTTTAATGTTTGCTTTGTTTTCTTTTCTGCTGACTTGAATGCCTATTTATAGAAAAGAGTTTTAAAAACAATTTGTTAAGAATGTATTTAAATAACACCAAAGTAAATAATGGGGCAAGAATTTTTTTAAATGTCACAAAATGGCACAATCTACACACACACACACAAACACACACACACACAAATACGCATACTTGAAAGTAATGAAGAAATGAAAATATTTTTGCCTGAAGTATTAAAATAATCTAAACTAAAGAATTACTACATGAAAATATTTGCCCAAGACCTACAAAGTAATAAATACCTTGTCATTTTCTAGATACTGAGTACCTATCATATGCTTGGTTCTAGGCTAGATGCCATTAGAGATATAAGAGTGAACAAGATGGACAAAGCCCCCACTCCCACCCCACTAGGTCTAGAAGAGACAACTATTAATCATATAATCCTTTAAATAAATATATAATGGTGAGTGCTTCTAAAGATGCTACAGGAATATAACAAGGAAACCCGATTTACACTGGGTTATGGTCAAAGAAGGTATCTCTGAGGAAATGACATTTAAGCTGAATCCTCAACGACTAACGGGGTTATCAGGCAAAGAATAGGAAAAAGGGCATTACAAGCAAAAAAAAAAAAAAAAAAAAGACCAGCAAGTACAGCAAGTAGTAATCAAGGGCATAATGTCAAGAAATGAGGTTGAAGCAATAGACAGAGGGCCAAGTCATGAAGGCCACTCATTTAACAGCTATTAAAGTGCCTACTCTGTGCCAGGCAATATTCCAGGGATTGGGATGCAGCAATGAACAACACAAAGATTCTACTTTCATGCAATCTATATTCTAGAGGGAATCCAGAAAAAATATTCAAATAAACATATGTTGGGCTGGGGGGAGTGTTTTTCAAGAAGAAAATAAGGCAAAATAAAGAGAGATTCAGGGTGGTACTATCGTTAGTAATGAGCGGTCAAGGAAGGATTCTCTGATTAAATCTCATTTAAGTGGATATGTAAATGAAGAGAGGGGTCAAACTGAAAATTCCAGGTAGAGAGAACAGCAAGGGCAAAGACCCTGAGAGGGGAGCACGTGTCATTATTTTATGAACAGCTAAGATCCCAGTGTAGCCAGAAAGAGTGTATGAGAGGAGGAATGCAGGTGTTGAGGTCAGAGGGGAGGAGATCTCCCGTCCTTCTTGCAGGATAGGAGAAGGGCTCTGAATTGTATTAAGATGGGAAGCAACTGGAAGAGAAAAAGGACTTCACTTTTGATTTATTTATTTTAATATATTTTTTGAGACGGAGTCTCGCTCTGTCTCCCAGGCTAGAGTGCAATGGCATGATCTCAGCTCACTGCAACCTCCACCTCCCGGGTTCATTAGATTCTCCCACCTCAGCCGCCCAAGTAGCTGGGATTACAGGTACCCGCCATCACCTCAGGCTAATTTTTGTATTTTCAGTAGATATGGGGTTTCACCATGTTGGCCAGGCTGGTCTCAAACTCCTGGCTTCAAGCGATCCACCGGCCTCGGCCTTCCAAAGTGCTGGAATTACAGGCGTCAACCACCACACCCAGTCTTCACTTTTGATTCAAAAGGATCACAACGGGGCTAGGCATGGTGGCTCACACCTGTAATCCCAGCACTTTGGGAGGCCGAAGGTCAAGGCCTGAAGCGGGCGGATCACCTGAGGTCAGCAGTTTGAGACCAAGCTGACCAACATGGTGAAACCCTGTCTCTACTAAAACTACAAAAATTAGCTGGGTGTGGTGGCGGGCGCCTGTAATCCCAGCTACTTAGGAGGCTGAGGTGGGAGAATCGCTTGAACCTGGGAGGCAGAAGTTGCAGTGAGCTGAGATCAAGCCATTGCACTCCAGCCTGAGCAATAAGAGTGAAACTCCATCGCAAAAAAAAAAAAGGGTCACAATGGCTGCTATGTGGAGAACAGACTGTAGTGGGAAAAGAGGAGGAGGAGAGAGATCCAATAAGAGGCTACTTGTCATAGTCCATGTGAACACAGAGGTGATAGGGGACTGATCAGTGGAAATAATGAGTAGTAGCCAGATTCTGGCTGTACTTTAAAGAAAGAACCAAAGGATTTACTGATGGATTGCATGATTTATGGGAAAAGAGTCCAGGATATCACAAACATTTTTAACCTGAGTGAACAGAAAAATGAAGGTGTTATTTACTGAGATGAGGAAGAATAGGGGAGGAGCAGTCCTGGGGGGAAAAAATACTGGAAATACATATATTTAAAGCAAAGTTAAGTTTGAAAGATACTTCTGAATTAGAAAACCTCATTTAAACAGAAGAAATAATTATGTCCATTAAATTACGCAGGCACAAACAACTAACATTCACTCTAAGAAATACTCAGTACCTTCTCAGCAGCTTCAACAGTCTTTTGTGTTTTCTTAGCAGCATATCTCTTGTGATCATAATACCTAGAAAAACATATTTCTCTTAAATTTTAAGTATAATATTTATTCTTCAGTTTTCTACTTAGTTCTAACTTGACAAATTCTCAAATTATACAGAACAAATCAGAACAAACTGTATAATTAACAAAACTAAATTTAAAAAAGTATTTTCACCCAAAAAAAGTATGCATGTACAAGTGAAATTTAAAATTTTTTAAAATGTCCTTAATTCCTTAATTTATTGCAGATAACACTTGGCCTAAAATGTAAAGTTAAATGACTTACTTTTTGGCATTGGCATATGCTGACAAGCTGAGATCAACATCTACAAGTAAGGGCTTATTTTTCTGAGGCTTCTGCAGCTGTTTATTCTTTTGTTTTTTCTTTTTTCCTTTTGGTGGTTCAGTTTCATTTTTCTCAACATTGACGTCACCATCAACATCATCATCTTCCTCCTCTGATAACAAGTATGGATTTCTATTAAAAATATTCAATAGCATTTCACTAACGTCAATGACATCACTTTTATTTTCAATTTTCTTCTTCAATAAAATTATAAATGGTTTACAGTACTGGAAGTTTCATTATTTATTTTAATCTAAATTAGTTTTTTCCCTTTCTTTGAGAATTTCAAAATATGAAGAAAAAATGTTTAATACAGTGAACAATTAAAATAACAAAATAAAGACAAGCATTAACTGCTTGACTAAGAGTCAAACTTACCTTAGCAGCATTGTAACATGGTTTGTTTGTAGTTTTAATTCTTTGATTGCACTTGCAACAGGGTCTCCTTGAGCCTGGGCTTCTTTCACAATTAACCCAATTTCTGTCCAATCTATCTGGTTAGCTAAAGCACTTCGAACTACCTGAATGGCTCTGTCAACTATTTGTAGGTTCATTTCTATGAGCTCTCCTTTCAGTTTGTCTATTTCCTTAAAAAACAAACCACACACATTTACTACATTGCCAGTTAAAGTTAACATTTTTGAAAAAGCACTGAGAAAGCCAAACATAATACCTGAGCCTGCTGAAGAGCTTCCAATCTGTTTTCGTGATCCTTTCGAACATTATCTAATTTCTTCAATGCTTGCTTTTCCTTTTATTGGCAAAACAGATTTTTTAAAAATTAGATTTCTCCTACCTCATGACATCCCTCTCTTACTTCCCAACACTCACTATCCTGACCCCATCTATGCTGTTATCTAGCTAGCTGAAGTTCCCATAGTCTACCACCCTAGGCCTATCCCACTACAATGCGTTCCATGCCCCAAAATTACTTCTCCTGTCTTCCTAACTCCCACTCCTTATATAGAAAGGTATTTTGATTACAGGTTACTGTGTATATAAGATATACCCCTAATACCCTTGGCATTATTCAAACAGGCAGAAATCAAGACATTTTTTCCTATGGCACAAAAGTAAAGTTTGGGAGAACGAATTCTTTATTTTTTTTTAAATAATAGAGACCGGGTCCCGCTATGTTGCCCAGGCTGCTCTCCAATGTCTGAGCTCAATCCTCCCACCTTGGCCTCCCAGAGTGCTGGGATTACAGGCCTGAGCCACTGCACCTGGCAGGGAATGAATTCCCAAAGAGCATAAATTACCAAATGACTTTGTATTTTTTGCTACTTTTGATTTTCTCACAACTATTTCCAGTATTTTACAGAAACTTTTTCCCCTAAATTAATAAGACAAAGGCTCATGGTAGTTATTTGGCATTTTATCATATATACTTTACATTTCAAGGTTATCAATTGGGGGACAAAATTTCTAACACTAGTAATATCATCAATTAATGAGTATTTAAATGCTAGATGAAATATTTTTTAAAATTTAGATAAGAATGATGACTATTAAAACCCACAAAATAATTACCAAAATAAATCACTAGTATTTTGACACCCATGAAACCATGGGGTTCAGTTTACTAGCCAAAGTGCTGCCACCATGTGGTAATTACATGATGTATATAATTCATCTGACTGGCCTACCTGCTTTGAAATTGTGCTATGATTAACTAATTTTTAAAAACTGAAGAGGAAGTGGTACAGGGATTCAAACAATTTGATTTTTTTTTCTTTAAGGCAGAGTCTCACTCTGTCACCCAGGCTGGAGTGCAGTGGCACAGTCTCAGCTCATTGCAACCTCCGCCTCCCAGGGTCAAACAATTTTTGTGCCTCAGGCTCCTGAGTAGCTGGACACCCATACCACACCCCATTAATTTTTGTATTTCCAGCAGAGACAGGTTTTCACCATGCTGGCCAGGCTGTTCTTGAACTCCTGACCTCAAGTGATCTGCCCGCCTCGGCCTCCCAAAGTGCTGGGATTTACAGGCGTGCGCCACCGCGCCCAGCCTCAAATAATTTGAAATTTTTGCACACATATTTTAAGACTGTTTTTGAAAAAATCAAATCCCCTTCAAATCAAGAGTGACTATTAACAATTTATGAAACTGTTCTGCAGCAAATGCTCTAAAAACATGGTCAAATGTGCTGGGAAAATACTGTATATCACTTCTTTTGGAGTCATGATACACAGAAAACATATTAAGACTTGGCTTTAAAGTCCATTTAAAAAAGAAACAGTTTAATGATAAACAATATCCCCTCCTCTGGCCTATTTAAAATCTCCCTAAAACAGTATCTCCTTAACAGCAATGTTTGAGAAGCTTTGGGTTGTTCTGAGCAAACCACATTAAGGTGTAAATAACAGGCCTCACGTTCCCACCGTATTTTCCTTTTTTTACAGAATATCTGAAATACTCATGAAACAAATGAGGACATACTTTTCAACAATAAAATCCCCCATGGACCTTCTTCATAAACCTTTATCATAAATAAAGAGGCAGGTCAGAGAGTTCCCATACTACTTCTTACACTCTTTCTGAAAGGCTACCCTTTCCTATATCATCTACCCATCAAGCCGCTAAAGACTAGCTGGTTTAATATGTGTTTTTAATAATACATACCTGTTGTAAAGCTTTTAAGTCAATTTTCTGGCCTTCTATCTTGGAATAAAATTCATCCACCGCCTTATTAAAAAAACAAACAACTAGTTGGAAAAAAAAGCACAGTCTCTACTTCAACTTGCATACACAGAATTTTATTTTTTTTTTCTTTTTTTTTGAGACAGAGTCTCACTCTGTTGCCCAGGCGGGACTGCAGTGGCGCGATCTAGGCTCACTGCAACTTCCACCTCCGAGGTTCAAGTGATTCTCCTGCCTCAGCCTCTCAAACAGCTGGGACTACAGGTGCACCCCACCACACACCGCTAATTTTTGTAGTTTTTCAGAGACAGGGTTTCACTGTGTTGGCCAGACTGGTCTTGAACTCCTGACCTCAACTGATCTGCCTGCCTTGGCCTCCCAAAATGCTGAGATTATAGGCATGAGCCAGCAAGCCCAGCTGCATACACAGAATTTTAGATTCCATTGTGTTTCATAACACCACTCAAAGAACTTGAACAGATTTCCGGTAAATGTATTATATGGCTAAACAGTATCAAGAATCAAATGAAGTTCAAACCTCTGGTCCTTCATCCTGAAATAAAGTGGCAACAATTATTTCCAACAGCTGTATCTGTGACGACACTGATCTTTAATGCCCAGATTCACAGTGAATGTAAAGCAAGTATAGTTTCAGTTTCTCAATAGAAGCAAGTTGATATCAACAGCTCATATCATGCTAACTAACTGGTAAAGGAACAGAACGGAAAACCCACCTTGTCAAATGATTCAAATTCTATATATGGACATTGTGAATGTTGAGAAAACAAGAAAGGATGAAATTCCTCATACCTGTAAAACATATTTATTATATCACATTCGAGAACATTAACAAACATCCAAAGCAAATTGACCCATGCCTATATGCTTACGTCAGTATGTCTTCAACTGGTTTATCTGCTTCCAAGCTTGGTTTTATTTCTCTTTTCTGAATGATATATCCCTACAAAAATGCAACATTAAAATCATTCCTATTCATAATTAACAAAGATTTACTTCTTTTTTTTTTTTTTGATACAGTCGCGCTCGCTCCATCACCCAGGCTGGAGTGCAGTGGTATATTCTCGGCTCACTGCAACCTCTGCCTCCCGGGTTCAAGCAATTCTCATGCCTCAGCCTCCCAAGTAGCTGGGATTACAGGTGTGTGCCACCATACCTGGCTAATTTTTGTATTTTTAGTAGAGACAGGGGTTTTGCCATGATGGCCAGGGTGGTGTCGAACTCTTGGTCTCAAGTGATCCGCCCACCTTGGCCTCCAAAAGTGCTGAGATCACAGGTGTGAGCCACTGCACCTAAAAATTTAGTTTCTGTGACTGATATTAATTTGCACCTAATCCAAAGGTTTACTTTCTATGACTGATATTAATTTTAATTTTCTATAAATAGTTATGCTTTGAAAAGGGAAGAAAAACACTCATAAGCTACTAGGTAATTCAAAAAATATTTAATGGTTGGGAGCTGTAAATCACAACATTTTTGAAAAGGGCTGACAAATGAAAATGTGCTTCTCTATCTGAAACTAAAGAAATAACTGTAAATTCCTCAACTTTTCTGAAGAGCCGATACTAACCTGACATTGTACTTTCTATAAAAGATAGGGAACAGAAAAAAACTTATAAACCAACAAAAACTTTTAAAACACTATCCTGGGCCGGGTGCAGTGGCCCATGTCTATAATCCCAGCACTTTGGGAGGCCAAGGCAGGCGGATCACTTGAGGTCAGGAGTTCGAGACCAGCCTGGCCAACACGGTGAAACCTCATCTCTACTGAAAATATAAAAACTGTCCAGGCATGGTGGCACGTGCCTGTAGTCCCAGCTACTCGGGAGGCTGAGACAGGAGAATCACTTCAACCAGGGAAGCAGAGGTTGCAATGAGCCAAGATCATGCCACTGCACTCCAGCCTGGGTAACAGAGCAAGACTGTCTCAAAAAACAAAACAAAAAAACTATCCTGGAATAAGCATATTACAGATAACAATTTTCCAAATTAAAATAAAATGTATATATAATGATCCTTTAATGAACGTTTAATTTCTGAAAACCCAAATAAATCACAACAATATATAGTAAGTATACATGGTGCTACCTTCCCACTGAAGTTGGATGTTGTTTTCATATAGTCTTCTGCTTTCTGCAGAGAAACAAGTACTTTTTCAATATCTAATGGTGGGGGAAAAAAAGGAAAAAAGGAGTGCCAATCAAGTGTCAATTAACCGTGGCTAAACAACTATGTAGAAAAACAGGAAAGTGCTTACAAAATAATGTTGCGTTCAAGAAAATTAGAGATAGTGATTTCATGTTTATAACCAGTATATGTGGATATATGGTTTCATTTTGAACAGCCTGTTGTCCAAGTAGCTTTTATTGAATCATCCACCTTTCCCTCCATGACCTGAAAGGAACTTTGTTCATAAACTAAATTCCCATATTATTTCAAATTATTTTTGGAATCTTTATGCTATTCCTTCTCCAAAAACTTACAGTTTTAATTACTATAGCTTCATATTTTAATCTGTGAAGGGTTACACAGACAGTAATAAATCATTACTAGTATTTTCCAGAGTTATCCTGAACATTTTCACATGCTTTTGCTCCATATAAACATCAGAGTCATTTTATAAAAACAAACAAAAACAAAACACCACCACCAGCACCTGTTGTCATTTTATGAGTGCACTGATTTAGTATATTGCAGAAACTAAAACATTCACTAAAATCTCATTCAATTTTTTTTTTTGAGAGTGGTGATACTTGTTTTTGTGGGGTTTTTTGAGATGGGGGTCTCACTCTGTTGCTCAGGCTGGAGTGCAGCTGTGCAGTCACCACCCACTGCAGCCTCAAACACCCAGGCTTAAGTGATCCTCCCACCTTAGCCTCCCAAAGTGCTGGGATTGCAGGCATGAGCCAGTGTGCCTGGTCAAATGTTTTTCATTCTAGAACCACCTGCTCCCTTATTACTTTCCCAGAAAAAATTTTCATAGTTTAAAAAAAATGAAATAAATGAAAAATGTACCATGCAGACATACCTTTAGTTTCAAGTTTTTCATCCACTTTGACATTACCCGAGAATCCATTTTCTAAAAGACAGTGTTCAATGAGAGCTGGTCCATAGGCTATAAATGCAGAGGATATTACTTTTAGTATTTTCCTATAAATTCTTTTTTGTTTTTGTTTTTTGAGATGGAGTTTTACCCGTCGCCCAGGCCGGAGTGCAATGGTGCAATCTTGGCTCACTGCAACCTCTGCCTCCCACCTCCTGCCTCAGCCTCCTGAGTAGCTGGGATCACAAGCACCCACCACCATGCCCAGCTAATTTTTGTATTTTTAGTAGGGACAAGGTTTCACCATGTTGTCCAGGCTGGTCTCGAACTCCTAACCTCAGGTGATCCACTCACCTCAACCTCCAAAAGTGCTCAGATTACAGGTGTGGGCCACCATGACCTAGCCTAAAATTTAACATTCAAAATATAGCACAAATTTATTTCCCAATATCAATGATCTACTCAATAACAGTGGCTGGTGAAAACAATAAGTTTACTTATTTTGAAGTGTTACTTAGAAATGACAATTCTAGTTCTTAGACTGGGTGCGGTGGCTCATGCCTATAATCCCGGCACTTTGGGAGGCCAAGGCAGGCAGATCACCTGAGGTCGGGAGTTGGAGACCAGCCTGACCAACATGGAGAAACCCCATCTCTACTAAGAATACAATAAATTAGCCAGGCGTGGTGGCACATGCCTGTAATCCCAGCTACTCAGGAGGCTGAGGCAGGAGAATCACTTGAACCCGGGAGGCGGAGGCTGTGGCGAGCCAAGATCGTGCCATTGCACTGCAGCCTGGGCAACAAGAGTGAAACTCCGTCCCCCGCCCCACCCCGCAACCAAAAAAAAAAAAAAAAATGACAATTCTAGTCCTTAAAGAAATTTGAAACTACAATTAACTTACAAAAGTCAGTGCAAGTTATAGGAATTTAATGGGCTTCAACCACAATGAGGATTTATCCCTGGAATGCAAGGTTGGTTTGGCAACCAAAAATTGGTTAATATAATACTCCATATTGATAAAATAAAGGAAAAGAGCCATATATCATTTCAATAGATGCAGAAAAAGCATTTGACAAAATTCAACACTAATTCCTAATAAAAACTCTCAATAAACTAGGAATAGAGGGAGCATTCTCAACCTTATAAGGACACCTATGAAAAACCTACAGCTAACATGATAATTACTGGTGAAGGACTGAATATTATCCCCCTAAGATCAGGAACAAGGAAAGAATATTCAGTCTCACACTGCTATTCAACATTGTACTGGAAGCTATAGCTAGCACAATAAGGCAAATTAATTAATAGCATTCAGATTCTAAAGGAAGAAGTAAAGCATCCTTATTCACAGATGACATGATCCTGTACCTTAAAAAATCCTAAGGAACCCACAAAAAAACCCTACTAGAATGAATAAACAAGTTTATCAGGTTTGCAGGATACAAAAACCAATATATAGAAATCAATTGTATTTCTATGCAAAAATGAAATTAAGAAAATTCCACTGACAATAGCATCAAAAAGAATAGAATGTTTAGGAATAAATCTAACTGAGAGAAATTAAAGATCTAAATAAATAGTCAGACATTCTCTCTTCATAGAAGACTCAATGTAGTTAAAACGGCAATTCTCCCCAAACTGATCCACAGACTTAATGTAATCCTTACCAGGCCAGGCAGTGGCTCACAGCTGTAATTGAGACCAGCCTGGCCAAGAAGGTGAAACCCCATCTCTACTAAAAACACAAAACTTAGTGGGTGTAGTGGCATACACTTGTAATCCCAGCTACGTGGGAGGCTGAGGCAAGACAATCACTTGAACCCAGGAAATGGAGGTTGCAGTGAGCCGAGATCATGCCACTGCACTCCAGCCTGGGCAACAGAATGAGATTGTCTCAAATAATAGTAATAATGTAATCCTTATCAAAATCCTATGAGGCTTTTTTCATAGAAAGTAACAAGTCAACTCTAAATTTTATAAGGAAATGCTGGCCGAGCGCAGTTGCTCACGCCTGTAATCCCAGCACTTTGGGAGGCTGAGGCGGGCAGACTGCTTGAGTTCAGGAGTTCGAGACCAACCTGGACAACATGGTAAAACCCTGTCTCTACCAAAAAATAGAAAAATTAGCCAGGAGTTCATCCCTGTAGTCCCAGCTACTTGTGGGGCTGAGGCAGGAGATGGCCTGAACCTGGGAGGTGGAAGCTGCAGTGAGCAGTGTTCGTGGCACCGCACTTCAGCCTGGGCAACAGAGCGAGACCCTTGGGAAATGCAGAAGATCTTTTGAAATGCCAAATGCCAAAACTCTTTTGAAAAAAAAAAAGTGAACAGTTAAGAGGACATGTAAGTTGAGTATCCCTTATGTGATGTGTTGGGATAGAAGTGTTTGAGATTTCAGATTTTTTCACATTTTGGAATATCTGCATATACATAATGAGATACCTTGGGGATGGAACCCAAATCTAAACACAAAATTCATTTATGACTTTACGCAATATAGCCTGGAGGTGATTTTATACAATATTTTAAATAATTCTGTATAGCTGTCACATAAGGTCAGTGTGGAATTTTCCACCTGTGGCATCACGTCTGTGCTCAAAAAGTTTCAGACTTCAGGCCAGGCACGGTGCCTCACACCTGTAATCCCAGCACTTTGGGAGGCCAAGGCAGGTGGATCACGAGGTCAAGAGATCAAGACCATCCTGGCCAACATGGTGAAACCCCATCTCTACTAAAAATACAAAAAAAATTAGCTGAGCGTGGTGGCATGAGCCTGTAGTCCTAGCTACTTGGGAGGCTGAGGCAGGAGAATTGCTTGAACCCGGGAGGCAGAGGTTGCAGTGAGCTGAGACTGCACCACTGCACTCCAGCCTGGTGACAGAGAGAGACTCTGTCTCAAAAATAATAGTAATTTTAGGCTTAAGATTTTCACATTAGTAATGTTCAACCTGTACTACCTGATTTCAAACATTACAGAAATTTGCCAGGGGAAGGCCAAGTGTGGTGGCTCACGTCTATAATCCCAGCAATTTGGGTGGCCAAGGTGGTTGGATTGCTTGAGCTCGGAGTTTGAGACCAGCCTGGGCAACATAATGAGACCCTACCTCTAAAACAAACAAAAAAAATAAATTAAAAAAGAAAAGAAATTTGCATTTGCCAGGGAGACACTGGCTTAAACATACAAATTTTACACATGCTATACTAACAGCTGGAAAGTTCTAAAGATAACTTTTGAATGCTTTCTAATTTCATAAGAGAGGAAGAGTTAACTCTCTAGTGCTCAGTAATCAATGGTACCTGCCTCCCCGTCTTCTCTAGATTCCTTAATATAGGGCTAAGTGATGATCTTCTCAAGTATAAAAGTGTATTGGGATCAAAAATGCTTATTGGGATCAAAAGGACCTGTCAGATGCTGGGATGCCCTGAGACCCACCAATTAAAAAAAAAAAAAAAAAACCAAAAAAAAACTAAGCTAAGTGGTTATTAAATCAAAGACTCACAATGAAAAAATCTGATTTCTTAGAATACTACCATTAGCACTGAAGTACTAGATAACACAATCTGCATTGCTTTTAAATAAAATCTAATAGATAAAGCTCAAACTTCATGTGGTTTAACTTCTCTTTCTTTGACAATAAACTCCTACTTACTCCAAGGATCACTTGTTCAAATTTTCTAATAAAACCATAAAAGATTTCAATATATTCCTGAAAACCACACTGCCTTGCAAACATTTCACTGCTATTTGCAGGAATACTCACGAAGTAATGGGTTAAGCACCCTCTTCAGTAGTTCACCCTTAGGTGCGCTGGCTACTATTTCAGTCAACCTGTGAAACAAAACGGACATGCCTCTATCATATCTTAAATAAACCTTACAGCAATCTTCATATTAATACTACTTTCATCTGTATCAGTTCACCTGATCTTTACAATAATCTGAAACGTAACAGGAATTCATTCTTCTGTTGTGAGAAAATGGATCATAAAAGATATTTACCCAAGATTAACAGGTTCTTGAATGGCAGTTTTCTAAGATAAACCAGTATTTTTTCGACCAAGGCATATTGTCAGCAATGTGCCCACATATAAATGACATAAAAATGACATTTTTCTGTAAAAGTTAAATGTTTGTAAATTTTCATGCCATATCTTAATATCCAAAATGGTTTACCTAATTAAGCATCGAACAACTTTTTTTTTGTTTGGTTTTTTTTTTTTTTTTTGAGACGGCATCTTGCTCTGTCGCCCAGGCTGCAGTACAGTGGCACGATCTCGGCTCGCTACAAGCTCCGCCTCCTGGGTTCACGCCATTCTCCTGCCTCAGCCTCCCGAGTAGCTAGGACTACAGGCGCCCGCCACCACGCCCGGCTAATATTTTGTATTTTTAGTAGAGACGGGGTTTCACCGTGTTAGCCAGGATGGTCTCAATCTCCTGACCTTGTGATCCGCCCACCTTGGCCTCCCAAAGCGGTGGGATTACAGGCGTGAGACACCGTGCCCAGCCAGCATCTAACAACTTTTAACAATGCTGTACATCAATGTGGTCCCCATACCAGCATCAGCATTACCTGAGAACTAGTTAGAAATGCAAATTCCTGGGTCCTAGACTAGATCTACTGAATTAGCAGAGGGTGGGGGTGGCAATCTATGTTTTAACAAGCCCTCCAGGTAATGCTGAAGCATGTTAATTTTTTTTTTTTTATTTTTTTTATTTTTGAGACAGAGTTTTGCTCTGTTGCCAAGGCTGGAGTGCAATGGCGCAATCTCAGCTCACTGCAACCTCTGCCTCCTGGGTTCAAGAGATTCTCCTGCCTCAGCCTCCCAAATAGCTGAAATTACAGGCATGCACCACCATGCCCGGCTAATTTTTTTTTTTTAATTTAGTAGAGTCGGGGTTTCACCATGTTGGTCAGGCTGGTCTGAACTCCTGACCTCAGGTGATCCATCCTCCTCGGCCTCCCAAAGTGCTGGAATTACAGGCGTGAGCTACAGTGCCTGATCAACTTTATTTATTTATTTAATGTAGACTAGTTAAGTGAAGCAGTGGGAGTGGAGAAGGAACAAAGAAATGATGTATGTTAAACTTCAGGAACCACTGCTATAGAATATGAGTCAGCAGGGCCTTCCAGCTAGCTGGAATACAGCTGAAATACAAAAATACAGCTACAATCATTACTTTACCTCACCGAACTTCCCTTTTTCTTACGTAAACCAGAATTTCTCTCCCTTTGCCCTCTGCACAAGATATCCATCTGTCTTCTCACAGAGTAGCTAATAAGTCTCCTCAATTTACCAAGAAATCATAACCATTTGAAGTAACCCAAAACTTAGCTAAAAAACACATTGGGCTTGCTTCGGCAGCACATATACTAAAATTAGAACGAAACAGAGATTAGCACGACCCCTGCACAAGGATGACATGAAATTTGTTAAGTGTTCCATATTTTTTAATTTTAAATTTAAAATTTAAAAAAATTACAATGAAAAAGAAAGACATTGGCTGGGCCCGGTCGCTCATACCTGTAACTCCAACACTTTAGAAGGCTGAAGTGGGAGGATTGCTAAAGCCACAAGTTCAAGACCAACTTGGGCAACAAAGCAAGACCCCATGTCTACAAAAAAATTTAAAAATTAGCCAGGCATTGTGGTGGGCTCCTGTAGTTCCACCTACTTGGGAGGCTGAGGCAGGAGGATTGCTTGAGCCCAGGAGTTCAAGACTGCAGTGAGCTATGATCACGCCAACTGCACTCCAGCCTCAGGGAAGGGGGAGTGAGACACCACCTCTAAAAAAACTAAAGACAACCGAGCACAGTGGCTCATGCCTGTAATCCCAGCACTTTGGGAGGCCGAGGCAGGCAGATTGCCTGAGGTCAAGAGATCAAGACCAGCAAGGCTAACATGTTGAAACCCCATCTCTACTAAAAATACAAAAATTAGCTGGGCGTGGTGGCGCACGCCTATAGTCCCAGCTACTCGGGAGGCTGCGGCAGGAGAATCGCTTGAACCTGGGATGCAGAGGTTGCAGTGAGCTGAGATCGTGCCACTGCACTCCAGCCTGAGCAACAGAGCGAGACTCCATCTCAAAAAAAAAAAAAACACCTAAGGACATACATTTGCCTCTCCCAAATAAGACTTAATTGCTTACATGCACATTTATGTAGTTCAAACAGTCTAAATTGAGTTACGTTATCTAAGTAAAACAAAATATTTTATCTCACAGTTCTTTCACGTTCTGACATATGACCCATTTTACCTTTTTTTTAAGAGACAGGGTCTCATTATGTTGCCCAGTACATTTTAATACAATACGAAATGGGTTTAAAAACAAAACACTTTACCTTTCCAAAGTAAGCAAAGGTTCAGCAGCTCTAGCATGATCAAGTGGATAGCGTTCACGAACAGCAAATTTAACATCATCTGCCTCATCAGTTCGAAACCTTAGAATATTTAAAATTACGTACTCATAATCTGTAAGAACAATGTTCCCCTGCAATAAAATAAAATACAATTTAGCGCTCTTTCAAATAATTTTTGAGGCCAGGCACAGTGGCTCACACCTGTAACCCCAGCACTGTGGAAGGCCGAGGCAGGCAGATCACTTGAGGTCAGGACTTTGAGACCAGCCTGGCCAACATGGTGAAATTCCATCTCTACTAAAAATACAAAAGTTAGCCAGGTATGGTGGCGGGTGCCTATAATCCCAGCTACTTGGGAGGCTGAAGCAGGAGAATCACTTGAATCTGGGGGGTGGAGACTGCAGTGAGTTGAGATCGCACCACTGCATTCCAGCCTGGGCAACAAGAGCAAACTCTGTCTCAAAAAAAAAAAAAAAAAAAAAGGAAATAAAAAAACAAAACAAAACAGAAAAAAACAAAGCAAATCATTTTTGAGACTACTTAAAAATTGAGAAAGAAGCCGGGCATGGTGGCTCATGCCTGTAATCACAGCACTCTGAGAGGCCGAGGAAGGAGGATCACCTGAGGTCGGGAGTTCAAAACCAGCTTGACCAACATGGAGAAACCCTGTCTCTACTAAAAATACAAAATTAGTTGGGCGTGGTGGTGCATGCCTGTAATCCCAGCCACTTGGGAGACTGAGGCAGGAGAATCGCTTGAACCTGGGAGGTGGAGGTTGCAGTGAGCTGAGACTGAGCCATTGCACTCCAGCCTGGGCAACAAGAGCGAAACTCTCGTCTTAAGAAAAAAAAAAAAAAAAAAAAAATTGAGAAAGAAAATGTGGTCAATTTCAGAAGCCAGCCAGGCAAGGAACATATTACACTTCCACCTGCAATTTGTCTTTTAATATTAATAGTTACATGGCAAGAGCAATATAGTTAATTATACCATTTGCCCACAAATTTCCACATTTGGTAATGTAGCCCAATGAAGTAACTCCAACACTCCAGTAAAACCAAAGGCAATATGCTTAAAGATGTTCACTGAATGGCTGGGCGCAGTGGCTCACGCCTGTAATCCCAGCACTGTGGGAGGCTGAGGCGGGCAGATCACCTGAGGTCCGGAGTTCAAGACCAGCCTGACCAACATGGAGAAACCCCGTCTCTACTAAAAATACAAAATTAGCCAGGCATGGTGGCGCATGCCTGTAATCCCAGCTACTCAGGAGGCTGAGGCAGGAGAATGGCTTGAACCTGGGAGGCGGAGGTTGCTGTGAGCCGAGATCACGCCATTGCACTCCAGCCTGGGCAACAAGAGCGAAACTCCGTCTCAAAAAAAAAAGATGTTCACTGAAATTTATCTACAATAGAAAAAAAAAACCCCAAACAGCCTAAATGTAAAAGTTAGGGAAATTAAATTATGATAGCTCAACACAACAAAATAGTAGAAAGAGGTTACCTAATGGAAACAATGTTAGAAAAAAAGGAAAACATAAATAATGTTAGGTAAAACATAGCAAAGACACACAAAAAAGTTATATCCTAGAAAATGGAAGGCATATGTAGGCTAAAATGAAATTACTTCTTAAAGATTTAGAATTAAAGACTTTTTAAAATTTAATATTGCTAGATAACCTTTTCAATAAAAAAGAAGGGGGAACATAATGAAAATAAAGCTAACGAAAGAATACCACCTTCCAAATTTATTACTGACAGTGAAGATCAGAGTTACTCTACAGGTATAATTAAAATACAAAGAAGCATCCATGAAAACAGTCAAAAATGCCTTACAACTGTTTACAAGATAGTCACAGAATACGGTGGGAGTAATCCCAAATTCATCTGAAATGACAGGTTGCAATGTAAGTGGCTTCAGTAAATGTAGCCACCATTTACGTTGGTTAGAGAGATAGATAACCAGAAATTACTAAGTGCTGAAAAACTAGTAGCAGGCCAGGCGCAGTGGCTCACGCCTGTAATCCCAGCACTTTGGGAGGCCAAGGTGGGCAGATTATCTGAGGTCAGGAGTTCAAGACCAGACTGGCCAACATGGTGAATCCCTGTTTTACTAAGAGTACAAAAACTAGCTGGGCGTGGTGGCAGGTGCCTGTAATCCCAGCTACTCGGGAGGCTAAGGCAGGAGAATCGCTTGAACCCGGGAGGCGGAGGTTGCAGTGAGCCAAGATCACACCACTGCACTCCAGCCTGGCGACAGGGTGAGACTTATTCTCAAAAAAAATTAAAAAATAAAAAAAAAGAAAGAGTAAAAACTCAGGTTAGAGTAGAAAAGGACATTTACTACACAAATAATCAGCAAAGGGCTCATAATCAGATTAGATAAAGAGCTCTAAGAGATCATATCAAATGTTGCTAAGGATGTGGAGCTAAGGGAATTTTCAACATCAATGAATCTCACAGACATTATATATTGAATAAAAGAGCCAGGCGTGGTGGCTCACCCCCGTAATCCCAACACCTTAGGAGGTTGAGATGGGAAGATTGCTTGAGCCAGGGGTCCAAGGTCAGCCTGGGCAACGAAGTGAGAGTCTGTCTCTACAAAAAATAAAAAAATTGGCCAGGCATGGTGGTGCACATCTGTGGTACCAGCTACATGAAAGGCTAAGGCAAGAGGGTCACTTGAGCCCAGGAGGCCGAGTTTGCAGTAAGCCCTGATCATGCCACTGAATTCCAGCCTGGCCAACAGAGCAAGACTCTATCTCAAAAAAATAAAAAATATTGCATAAAAGAAGGCAGACCCAATGTCATGCATTGCTTAACAATGGGGATACATTCTAAGAAATGCATTTAGGCAACTTCGATGTCGTGTGAACGTAATAGAGTATACTTACACAAACCTAGACGGTGTAGCCTAATACATCCACCAAAGATATGATATAACCTATTGCTCCTAGGCTAGGAATCTGTATAGCATGTTACTGAATACTGTAGTCAACTGTAATACAATAGCAAGTATTTGTGTATCTAAGTACATCTAAATATAGAAAAAGTACAGTAAAAATATGGTATTACAACAACAGTTCCAGGCCGGGCGCAGTGGCTCATGCCTGTGATCCCAGCATTTTGGGAGGCCAAGGCGAGCAGATCACCTGAGGTCAGGAGTTTGAGAACAGTCTGGCCAATATGGTGAAACCCCATCTCTACTAAAAATACAAAAATTAGCTGGGCATGGTAGTACATGCCAGTAATACCAGCTACTCAGGAGGCTGAGGCACTAGGATTGCTTGAACCCGGGAGGCAGAGGTTGCAGTGAGCTGAGATCACACCCTTGCACTGCAGCCTGGGCAACAAAGTGAGACTCTGTATCAAAAAAAAAAAACCAAAACAAAACAAAAAAAAAACCGCAGTCCCCAGCCTTTGGCACCAGGGACCAGTTTCATGGAAGACAATTTTTCCATGGATGGGGGGTGCAGGGGTATGGTTTCCGGATGAAACTGTTCCACCTCAGATCATCAGGCATTAGATTCTCGCAAGAAGCATGCAACCTAGATCCCTTGCATGCACAGTTCACAATAGGGTTCACGCTCCTATAAGAATCTAATGCCACCACTGATCTGACAGGAGGCAGAGCTCAGGTGAGTAATGCTCACTCGCATACTGCTCACCTCCTGCCGTGTGGCCTGGTTCCACAGACCAGTTCCAGTCTGCGGCACAGGGGTTGAAGATCCCTGGTATAAAAGATTAAAAATGGAACACCTGTATAGGGCACTTACCATGAATGGAGCATGCAGGACTGAAAACTGCTCTGGGTGAGTGACAGTGAGTAAATGTGAAGGCCTGGGACATTACTGCATACTACTGTAGACTTGATAAATACTGCACACTTGGGCTACACTAAATTTGTTTTTTATTTTTTAATTTTTAAAAAAATTATGCTTACCTCAGACCAGATTAAATTTATGTATTTATTTATTTATATACATACACACGCACGCGCACGCGCGCGCACACACACACACACACACACACACACATATATTTTTTTTTTCCTTTTTGAGACTGAATCTCACTCTGTCACCTGAGCTGGAGTACAATGGCATGATCTCAGCTCACTGCAACCACTGCCTCCCAGGTTCAAGTGATTCTCCTGCCTCAGCCTCCCGAGTAGCTGGGACTACAGGCACGCACCACCACACCAGGCTAATTTTTGTATTTTTAGTAGAGATGCAGTTTTGCCACATTGGGCAGGCTGGTCTCAAACTCCTGACCTCAGGTGATCCACTCGCCTTGGCCTCCCAAAGTGCTGGGATTACAGGTGTGAGCCACCACACCTGGCCCAGATTAAGTTAGTTAGTTAGTTAGTTAGTTAGTTTATTTTTGAGACAAAGTCTTGCTCCGTTGCCCAGGCTGGAGCACAGTGACACAATCTGAGCTCACTGGAACCTCTGCCTCCCAGGTTCAAGTGATTCTCCTGCCTCAGCCTCCCGAGTAGCTGGGATTATAGGTGCCCGCCACCACGCCCAGCTAATTTTTGTATTTTTTAATAGAGACGGGGTTTTGCCATGTTGGCCAGGCTGGTCTTGAACTCCTGACCCCAGGTGATCTGACCCCAGGTGATCCGCCCTCCTCGGCCTCCCAAAATGCTAGGATTACAGGTGTGAGCCACTGTGCCCGGCCTGAGTCATTGCGCTCAGCCAAATTTATTTTTAAGATGTTTTTCTTTCTTCAATAATAAATTAACCTTTGCTTCCTGGAACTTTTTTACTTTATAAACTTTAAACTTTTTAGCTTTTTGACTCTTGTAATAACACTTAGCTTAAAACACATATCGTACAGCTGTACAATACTTTCTTTCTTTAGATCCATATTCTCTAAGCTTTTTTTCCATTTTAAATTGTTTTGTTTTTACTTTTAATGTTTTTGTTAAAAACTAACACACAAACTCACACACCAGCCTAGGCCTACACAGAGTCAGGATCAAGATGTCACTAAGCAGTAAGAATTTATTAGATCCATTACAATGTTACAGGACCAACGTTTATATGCAGTCTGTTGTTGACTGAAACATCACTATACATACAGCGCATCAGTGCATGACCGTATTTGACTATTTTCTGGTTGCATATTAGTCCTGAAATGTCAAGTACCAAATAATTTACTTCTCAGATCTTCATCTCCTACATTCATAAGGCTATTCTAAATGGCTAAAGTCTGCCTAAACTCAGACCTACAGATAAAATGAAGGTTATTACTGGAAAATTTTATTTTATTTGTGTGGCACCCATTTCCTAGGGTAGTAACAACCTTTGACACAGAAAAAAAATGTTCCCCCACTCATGTTATATAGCACTATTACAAAATGATTAATAAGAAATTTTCCTTCACCATATCCCACAAATTTAACTTACCCTATCATAGAGCTCAATGATTAAATGGTAAGCAGCTTCATCACTTCCAAATTGAAAATCTACAATTCTATCCACACCAAGCTGTTTTGCACTGACTAATCTCCGACTCTTCAAATGTTTTCGGCACTAGCAAGAGAAAGAAAAAGGCATTCATTTAGTAAAAGTGAATTCCTAACCATTTGGTATTGGTTTATAAATAAGCTTCTTTTCATTATCATCAGGAATATTTAAAACGTTGTGAATAACAGTATAGTCATAAAGTAATAGATTGCAGATGATAATCAGAGGGAAAACATTTTATTATAAACACTAACTCTGAAACAGTGTTTTATTTGCATTTTTTTAAGACAGGGTCTCACTCTGTCACCCAAACTGGAGCCCAGTGGTGTGATCATGGCTCGCTGCAGCCTCGACTTCCCTGGCTCAGGTGATCCTCCTGCATCAGCCTCCTGAGGATTGGGACCACAGGCACATGCCACTATCCCCAGCTAATTTTTTCATTATTTGTAGAGACAGGGTCTCACTATGTTGCCCAGGCTAATCTCAAACTCCTGGGCACAAGCAATCCTCCTGCCTTGGCCTCCCAAAGTGCTGGGATTACAAGCGTAAGCTACTGAGCCAGGCTTTTATTTTCAATTTTTAAGTAGAGAATGATGGACCTATAGCAAAATTTGCTTTGTTGCTTTATACCACTGCTAAATTCCTTGTTGTGGTCCTAATGACCTCACTCATAAGCCACAACCTTTATTTATTTACTTTATTTTGAGAGAGAGTCTCGCTCTGTCGCCCAGACTGGAATGCAGTGGCACAGTCTCAGCTCACTGCAACCTCCGCCTCCCAGGTTCAAGTGATTCTCCTGCCTCAGCCTCCTGAGTAGCTGAAATTACAGGCGTGTGCCACCACACCCGGCTAATTTTTCTATTTTTAGTAGAGACGGGGTTTCACCATGTTGGTCAGGCTGGTCTCGAAGTTCTGACCTCGTGATCCGCCCACCTCAGCCTCCCAAAGTGCTGGGATTACAGGCATGAGCCACTGTGCCCAGCCAACCTTTACTTATTTATTTATTTATTTATTTATTTGGAGACGGAGTCTCACTTTGTCACCCAGGCTGGAGTACAGTAGCACAATCTTGGCTCACTGCAACTTCTGCCTCCCAGGTTCAAGCAATCCTCCTGCCTCACCCTCCCAAGAGTAGCTGGGACTACAGGCGCCCACTACCACGCCTGGCTAATTTTTTGTATTTTAGTAGAGACGGGGTTTCTCCACGTTGCCCAGGCTGGTCTCGAACTCCTGAGCTCAGGCAATCTGCCCACCTCGGCCTCCCAAAGTGTTAGGATTACAGGCGTGAGCCACCACACCCAGTCCCTTTATTTTTTTTAAGTCTCTTTGATGACACTTCTAAGTATGCCAAATTTCCCTTTTGTATGCTTCATTTATGTTCAAAATTAATTAATTGTTTCCACTAATCTTCTACTTCTAATACATATCAACTATGGACCATGAGCTTATGGCTTATGGTATCCTGTAAATAGTCCACCACCTTATATCCAGTTACCCCTACCAATTCTTTTTTTTTTTTTTTTTTTTTTTTTTTTCTTTAAGAGAGTCTTTGCCAGGAGCGGTGGCTCAGGCCTGTAATCCCAACACTTTGGGAGGCCGAGGTAGGTGGATCACTTGAGGTCAGGAGTTCAAGACCAGCCTGGCCAATATGGTGAAACCCCATCTCTACTAAAAATACAAAAATTAGCTGGGCGTGCTGGCGCATGCCTGTAATCCCAGCTACTCAGGAGGCTGAGGCAAAAGAATCGCTTGAACCCAAGAGGCGGAGGTTACAGTGAGCCGAGATGACACTACTGCAATCCAGCCTGGGCAACAGAGCAAGACTCTGTCTCAAAAAAAAAAAAAAAAAAGAAAGGGACAGAGTCTCTCTGTTGCCCAGGCAAGGCTCAAACTCCTGGACTCAAGCAATCTCCCACCTTAGCCTCCCAAGTAGCTAGGATTACAAGTGCCCTGCCACTGTGCCCAGCTTATTCCTACAAACTTTACTAATATAACCCAAAGAGAATTTTCCTGGTATCGTCTCTAAGCTTTTGATAACCTATTTCAATCCAATGTAATAACTCTCATTCTTTATTAAATCCCCTTCCTCCTATCCCTGGCCATAAGGTTCTTTTTCTTATTAACAATTAAAATAATATTAGTATATCAAATCCAAATACAATTTACTTGGCAATACCTACTCTTTTAGATTACATGTACCGTCTTTTTGTACAAATATTGAAGTATGACATGGACTGGTAACAAGACTACTCTGTAGCCTCTAAAATATCTTACAATTGTTTCTAATTTTTTAATATAAAAGACCCTTTAGTTAAGACCAATAAGAAAGAATGCTTTCTTCAAGACTCAAATACGGTCTGGGTATGGCAGCTCACGCCTGTAATCCCAGCACTCTGGGAGGCCGAGGCAGGCGGATCACAACGTCAGGAGTTCAAGACCAGCCTGGCCAACATGGTGAAACCCCATCTCTACTAAAAATACAAAAATTAGCCAGGCATGGTGGCGTGTGCCTGTAATCCCAGCTACTTGGGAGGCTGAGACACGAGAATCACTTGAACCCAGGAGACTGAAGTTGCAGTGAGCCAAGACTGCGCCACTGCCCTCCAGCCTGGTGACAGAGCAAGACTCCGTCTCAAAAAAAAAAAAAAAAAAAAAGACTTAAATACGAAACAAATTTTACAGAAGTTAATCTAAGACCACCTTCAAAAAAAAGACAAAAAATCCACTCCTTGACAAAGGTTGAAAAAAAACAACAATAAACACATAAATTCATTATTAAAATTAATGCTAACATTTTCATAACTAAGAAGAGTTCTTCTCCAGACCTTATAGCCCAAATTGACTGAAATTCGCATTTTATATACTCACATAGGCAGAATAACTTCCTAGGATAAACAATCTGCTCCTCCTTAACTCAGTAGTTTTAAGAATGACCTATACTGATTTGATTAAACAGTAACCTACATGTAGGGCTATCTTTAAATCCCTAGAGGAAAATCACAATCAGTTCTTCCAGAGTCCCTGAGTAATAATTTTATTCAAGAAAAATAAAGACAAAAGGCATCATTGAAAGGACAGAAGTTCACACAAAGGAATAGTAAAAAGGGGATTATTTATCATGGAGAGTACAGATGGACACATAGTACATATTTAAAGCTTGTTTCATTTCCCTATCAACAGCTTGGTGAAATCAACCTGCTGCTGTGTGCCACAAAGCTATAGCTGTCATCCCCAAATGTGAATACTGGAACAACCACTGTGATTTATCACATAATAGACATAACTCTGCCTGTGCCATGCAACAGTAACAGCTCTTTGATTTATAAAGTGCTTAACATTGTCTGCTCCATTGAGGAAATCTTTCTATACATTTAGATTGACACGTACACCTAACCCATAGAATTCTAAGTATTTTTTAAAGTGACTGACCTATTAGTGTAGTCTGATTTGGAGATGTTTACACAATCCCAGTGTCCTATTTCATTGGCCTGTTACCTCATCCATAAAACTGAAATTGTATTTGTTCTTCACAGTCCACTGAGTTGCTAAACAACTTAAATGAAATACATATTATTCATCTGCCTTAAAAAGTGCTACACAACAGGTAGCATTATTATTGTCATTATTATTAAGGACAGGCCCCAAAAGAACTATTTTGGGTTACTATTAAATAAATTAAACTTTAATAATCTGAGAATTTTGTGAAAGCCCTTGTGATATGGAAACACTTACCTAATTTGTAATCCAAAACAGACTCTAAATTGCTGGGGGGTAAAGCTCTTCTCTGTAAAGCCTCTAATGAAATAACTCAATGCCATAACAGATACATTGCCAAAGTAAGGAGCGGAGCAGGAAGGAAATGAACATGTATGGAGTTCTAATATGTGTCAGGTATTGTTTCAGGTGCCTTTCTTTTTTTTTTAGATGGAGTCTCGCTCTGTCGCCCAGGCTGGAGTGAAACAGTGCGAACTCAGCTGACTGCAATCTCTATCTCCCAGGTTCAAGTGGTTCTCCTGCCCCATCCTCCCAAGTAGCTGGAATTACAGGTGTGTGCCACCACGCCTGGCTAGTAGAGACAGGGTTTCACCATGTTGGCTGGGCTGGCCTTGAACTTCTGACCTCAAGTGATCCACCTGCCTCAGCCTCCCAAAGTGTTGGAATTACAGGCATGAGCCACCGCACCTGGTCTGTTTTAGGTGTTTTATATATCATTTCAATTAATCCAATAATTTCATGAAGGAGGTACTATCCACATTTTACATTTAAAGAAACTAAATTCCAAGAGGTTAAGTAACTTTTCCAGGTTATAAAATTACTTTCTGACAAAGCTATTAATTCAAAGTTAAGTATATGTGACTCGAAAGTCTCGTGTACCACATGAATTTTCAATCTATATGTTACATCAATAAAAGAATGGGTAGCATGCCCACCCATGTAAAAATCTGTTTTAATAGTAAAAACAAAACAGAAAAATAAAAAGACTTAGTAACATATTAATGTCAGTGAGTATTCCAAAAAAAAAAAAATACTGACTGGGTACAGAGGAATACGACTCACAAAAGTGAGCTCTGGAAGATAAGACTAGGAAAAAAAGGTGGGGCAGGGAGGAGAAAGAACACAGAAAGCCAAGAATGTTAGGCTATAGAATATGGATTTAGAAATCAGGAAACCATAAAAGGTGAGGTAACTAATGAAAATTATACTTTAAAAAAATTAATGTTGGGCCAGGCGCGGTGGCTCATGCCTGTAATCCCAGCACTTCAGGAGGCTGAGGCTGGCGGATCACCTGAGGTCACGCATTTGAGATCAGACTGGCCAACATGGTGAAACCCCATCTCTACTAAAAATAGAGAAATTAGCCGGGTCTGGTGGCACACGCCTGTAATCCCAGCTACTGAGGAGGCTGAGGCAAGAGAATCACTTGAACCTGGGAGGCAGAGGTTGCAGTGAGCCAAGACTGTGCCACTGCACTCCAGCCTGGGTGACAGAGCGAGACTCCTTCTCAAAAACGAACAAAAAAACAAACAAACAAAAACAAAAAAATTAACGTTGGTCTAATTTAGAATTGTTTTGATGCAGAGAAGTGAATTACAGTTAAGGAACTGTAAGGCTGAATGTGATAAAAGCTTGAACTCTAATAGTGACTGTGGAAACAGAAGATCTGGAGCAGAACAGGATGTGAAAGGTAATGGGGAGAAATCAATTAATAAATATTCACTTTATTCAACCCATTATCTGTCAACCACTCCCTTTACCTTCATTTTATCTGCACTTTATTCGTAACAGTGAAGGAAACCCCAATTAAAAACTTAATTGTTAGTGAGCAATCTCTTAAAATTTAGCTTCAAGCGTAACAAGTTTACCTTCATGGCAAAACTAGACGGCATCATATTCTTAGGCCACTCAAATTCTGTTGTATGAATTCGTATGCCAGATTCAAGTAAAAGTGTAGCTTTAAAGTCCGGTCTGTAGAAGAAAAAAGTCGAATTTTTCTTTAGGGTATATGCCAAAGCTAATTGCTAAACAGGCTTAAAATGTAGGTTAAAAAAAATCAGTAATCTCATACTTAATTGTCAAAGAGAAAATAAGCCTATAAAATGTTCTTACTTTTGAAGACGAATAAGGTATGTCTTATTATCCACATCATAAACATTGTTTACTCTCATTCCTAGCAAGCTGCAAAGATAAAGGAAACATGTAACATGTTACACTATTGTCTGAAACATAAAACTACACATAATTTAATAAAAGCTTCGAAAGAGCGGATCTCAGTCTCTAAGGATATGGAGTCAGCCGAGGAGCAGAGTCTGAAAGCCATTTGGAGATTCAGTTCAAAACTTAAGAGTAACGATTTAAAAACAGAAGTGGTCTATCAGCTCTAGGAACAACACACTATAGCTTGCGTCTTCCAAATGACCCAATTTTGGGGGAGAAATACAGTAAAATATAATCCAATTAATTTATTACAAGGGAGAAAAAAAAAAGATAAAAGAGGGCCCCGAAAATATGACAAAGCTCACAGGGCTGAATAATAGAATCCAGACTAGAATCCAGATCTCAGTCCAAATCTGCTCAATCCAGCTAAAACCGCGATGCTCTCTCTCTCTCTGGGGTGAGGGGAGGGAGGTGTTCAAGAAACCAAGCCCCCAGTCTGGAAACCTCTGAAGCAAACGACCACTCTGGCGTCTCGTGTTTTAACAAACGTTTCCTGCCCAACCCGGACAACCCAGGCCAACAATGCAAGAGCTTCGCGCTAGCGGGGCAAGCCAGAGAGCTGGGAGGACGCGGGGGATGGGGCACGAGGTGCCTGGGACCCCCAGGGGTATCCTAAGGGTCACGGGAAAGACACCACACGCCTGCCCACTCAGGCCTAGGCAGGTCCATAGACGCACTAGGAAATAAGGAAACATATCAAGCTGGTCTGTTTGCGCCATGGGACTCCGGCCTCTGCCTCCTGCACTCCCCACACGAGCCTCGTCACTTAGGGTACTGTACCTAGCATTCAGCTCCGCGAGTACGGCGCGGAGGTCAATGGTGCTAAAGCGGCTCTTCATGGCGAGGCCCGAGGGTCACTACCGCAAGTTCCTCTACTGCCCGGCCGGACTCGACGCCACTTCTCCTCCGCGCAGGCGCACTTGGCGGAGCTCTACGGCCGCGCAGAAGACCCAATATTCCTCGAGGCGAACGTATTTGTGTCGCTTTTCTGAAGATTTCGATTGTCAAGTTGCAGCTGACTCTCTTCATTGTACCAAAATTCAAATTCGAATAAAGATTCAAACTGTTCTCTTGAAACTGCATTCCTTCCTGGAACCCTTACGGACCAGTCTGGTTACCGTGCCCCATTGTGTCTTGGGCTCAAGTCAGCCTTCATAGTGACCCCTGCTGGTCGAAACAATTTTCGAGATGATTATCAGGAGTATTTCCCCACAGGGGGGCCGTAGGGCTCAGTGTAGAAGAGCAAGGACCCCTTTCTGCGCGCTTACTTTGACATAAGATTTTGAAATGTAACGAAACGGAACTGCTTCGGTCCTTCTAAGATTATCCTCAACGATCGAGGCGAACTCTCAAAACGGAGTTCCTATTTTGATGGGTCCTGCTCTCGGAAGGAGCATTCTGCAATTGATTACAGGATTCTCATCGAACCTCGGTCTTGGTACCCCTGAGACTCACCGCAGTACCTGGTGTACAATCGGTGCTCCATAAACACTTGGCAGCATGAATGTGCAAGTGTTTAGCTAGATAATGGTGAAATAAGATAAAAATAAAAACAAGAAGATTCCCAATGGGGGTGGGGTGGGAGGGGGGATTCACAGTGTAGTGAGGAAAATAGTCCTGTAAGAATGTAAATTCTGCATTTCTTTTGTCTTAGGATAGATGCATGGGAAGAAAGGCTACTTTATAAGGTGAGAACTCAAAAGAGGCAGGGTCTCACTATGTTGCCCAGGCTGGAGTGCAGTGGCTATTCACAGGCGCAATCCCACTACTGATCAGCACGGGAGTTTTGACCTGCTCCGTTTCCGACCTGGGCCGGTTCACCCCTCCTTAGGCAACCTGGTGGTCCCCCGCTCCCGGGAGGTCACCATATTGATGCCGAACTCAGTGCGGACACCCGATCGGCATAGCGCACTACAGCCCAGAACTCCTGAACTCAAGGGATCCTCCAGCCTCAGCCTCCCGAGTAGCTGGGACTACAGGCACGCGCCACCGCGCCCGGCGCTCGGCGTCGCTGCAAAAGAGCTGCTAGAGGCTTGCAGGCTACACATGGTAGCAACCAGAATTCCTACCACCAGAAGGCGACTCTAAACAGAAAGGGCGCCGCTGCTATTTCAGAACTGGTACCAGTAGATGCAAAAATGGCTATAGCACATACTGCACAGCATTACTGTCATACGGTACAGTAAACCATACAGAATGGCCCAAAATATGAAAGCATTGGGGAGAAGGTGGAGAACAGGGAACTTTTGTATGCTGTTGATGGGAATGTAAATTAGTAGAGCCATTGTGCAAAACAGTATAAAGGCTCCTCACAAAATTAAGAATAGAATTACCATGTGATCTAGCAACAACATCACTATCCTGAAGATATATGTTCATGTTCATTGCAGCATTATTCACAATAGCCAAGATATAGGGATAATCTACTTTTCATCAATGGATGAACGGATAATGAGTGCAAATATATATGTACACACACACACACACACACATACATACATACAGTGGAATATTATTCAGCTTTCAAAAAAGAAATAAATCTTGCTGTTTGCAACTGGCATGGATTTAACAACATGGATGAACCTGGAGGACATTATGCTAAGTGAAATAAGCCAGACATAAAAAGACAAATACTGCATGATCTCACTTATACGTGGAATCTAGAAGTTTCTCATAGAAACAGACAGCAGAAATGTGGTTTCCAGGACTTGGGATGTAGGGGAAATGGGAAGATACTGGTCAAAATGCACAAACTTTCGGTTGTAAGTAGAGTAAGTTATGGAGACTTAATGTACAACATGCTGATTATAGTTCATAGTAATGTATTGTATGCTTGAAATTTGCATGGGAACAGAAAACCAAATACCGTATGTTCTCACTTATAAATGGGAGCTGAATGATGAGAACACATGGACCCATGGAGGGGAACAGCACACACTGGCGCTTATCAGAGGGTGGAGAATGGGAGGAGGGAGAGGGTCAGCAAAAATAACTAATGGGTACTAGGTTTAATACCTGGGTGATGAAATAACCTGTAAAACAAACCCCATGACACAAATTTACCTATATAACAAACCTGCACATATACCCCATGAACTTAAAATAAAAGTTAAATTAAAATAAAAAACAGAAATTTGCTAAGAAAGTGGATATCAAATACACACATACAAAGTGTGAGGTTATGGATGTGTTAATTGGCTTGATTGTAGTAATCATCTCACAGTGTATACATACATCAAAACATCACATGGCTGGGCCGGGTTGCTCACACCTATAATTCCAACACCTTGGGAGGCCAAGGCTGGCAGATGGCCTGAGCCCAGAAGACCAGCCCGGACAACATAGTGAGGCCCCCTCACCAATCTCTACAAAAAAATAAAAAAATTAGCCAGGTGTGATGGCATGTACCTATGGTCCCAGCTACATGGGAGGCTGAGGCAGGAGGATCCCTTCAGCCCAGGAGGTCAAGGCATGGTGGCCATAATTGTGCCACCACACTCCAGCAGGAGCTTCAGAGTAACACCCTGTCTAATAAAAAAAAAAAAAAAAAAAAAAAAAAAAAATTGGCCGGCTGCAGTGGCTCACGCCTGTAATCCCAGCACTTTGGGAGGCCAAGGTGGGTGTATAACCTGAGGTTGGGAGTTCAAGATCAGCCTGGTCAACATGCTGAAACCCTGTCTCTACTAAAAATACAAAAATTAGCCGGGCGTGGTGGCAGGCATCTGTAATCCCAGCTACTTGGGAGGCTAAGGCAGGAGAATCACTTGAACCCAGGAGGTGGAGGTTGCAAAGAGCCGAGACTGTGCCATTGTACTCTAGCCTGGGCAACAAGAGGGAAACCCTGTCTCAAAAAATATATATATATATAATATTTATATATATAGATATATGTATAATATATTTATATAATATGTATAATATATTTATATAATATTTATATAATATGTATAATATATTTATATAATATATAACATATTTATATATATATACACACCTCAAATATATGCAAATTTTATTTGTTCCCATAATTCATTTTACACTACTATAACAGAACACCACAAACTAAGTAATTTATAAAGAACATAAATTTAATGCCTCACAGTCCTGGAGACTAGGAAGTCCAAGATCAAAGGACTGGCATCTTGAAAGGGCTTTCTTGGTGTTACATCCCATGGTGGAAGAGCAACGAGAGAATGAGAGAGACAAGAGGACCAAACTCATCCTTTTATAAGGAAACCATTCCCATTTCTTTTTTCAGTAGCCCGAAACTGAGCCCCAGGCACTGTCTTATATAAAATATTTTAGTCTCTTATAAGCTTAGCATTAACCATCACTATGTTTGGCCTCATCAATAGATGTCTGGAATCTAGAATGAGAGATGGGATTTTTCAGTCCTATGCTTAGAGAGTAAATCAGAGATAGAATACATTGTTGTGTACTGGGGAATCATATTTTCCCAGAAAGACATACAAATGGAACAAACAGAATAGTGGAATTCAATTGAAACCATGTAATACAAAAAATAGTTGTGGTTCTTCTGGGTAAAAATAATGCTAAATTTGTTATTTATAACCCCAAGGGTTAAAGAAAGTACTAATGAAAAAATTTTAGGGCAATGGATTAAATCTTAACATAAGGAAGAACTTTCCGGTAGTAAAGACCGTTCAAATATTATTTAGAGATATATTCAGGCACTAAAAACCATTAAGAATAACAAGAGAATGCCACGAAGTCAGAATAGTGGTTATTTCTAAGAGGAAAGGTACTTGGGTGCGGGTTTCTGGGATGCAGGCAAAGTTCTATTTCTAGATGCCAATTATATAGTTTCTCACTTTATAAATTCCTTAAACTTACATTATGTGTATGTCTTATGCACAGTTTCATATGTACGACACAGCTCACAAAGTTTAAAAAGCAAAACAGCCAGGCACAGTGGCTTGCGCCTGTAATCCCAGCCCTTTAGGAGACTGAGGCAGGTGGATCACTTGAGCCCAGGAGTTTAAAACCAGCCTGTGCAACATGTTGAAATCCATTCTCTACAAAAAATATAAGAAACTAGCCAGATGTGGTGGCATGCACCTGTAGTCCCAGCTACTAGGGAGGCTGAGGTGAGAGGACCACCTGAGCCCAGGAGGTTGAGGCTGCAGTGAGCTGTGAGTGTGCCACTGCACTCCAGCCTGGGTGACTGAGTGAGACCCTGTCTCAAACAAAACAAAACAAAATAAATTTTAAAATGAAATTAAAGAGGCTGGGCACGGTGGCTCACACCTGTACTCCCAGCAATTTGGGAGGCTGAGGCAGGCGCAGATCACCTGAGATCAGGAGTTCGAGACCACCCTGGGCAACATGGTGAAACCCCATCTCTACTAAAAATACAAAAATTAGCCAGGTGTGGTGGCACATGCCTGTAATGCCAGCTACTGGGGAAGCTTAGGCAGGAGAATCACTTGAGCCTGGGACGTGGAGGTTGCGGTGAGTCAAGATCGCAACACTATACTCCAGCCCGGGTGACACAGCGAACGAGACTCTGTCTCAAAAACACAACAACAACAAAACCAAGAAGTTAAAGAGTAGGTATGATAGAAATTAAAAATGGCCACACATTCTTTAACACTCATGAAGTAGGTTCTGTTTTCTTCCCATCTTTGAATCCAGGGTAGCCTGTGATTCCTTTGACCAACAAAGCGTGGTAAACAGAAGTGATACTATGCTATTTTTGGCTCTAGCCTTTAATAAGACTTGTAGCTTCCAGTTTGGCCTCTTGAAGCTTGAGTTACAATGTTAGAAGTCTAATACCCTACCGTAGAGAGGCATTGAGACTACAGGGAGAGGAAGAGGAGCATGTCTTTACAGCCAAGCCTGTCAAGGCAGAGGCATGTGAATTCAGTTATCTTGGGCCCTACAAATTAGACCAGCCACCAGCTGAATACCACAATCAACTTCGCCTGGAGCAGAAGAATGTTCAGCTGAGTTTTGCTACAAACTCCTAACCCTCAAAGTCATGAAACCTAATAAAACCTAGTTGTATTCTCAAACTACTAAATGTTGGAGTAGTTTGTTATACGCAATAAATTACACAAAAATAGGCAGATTTAAGCAAATACATTAAAAAAGAAAGTAAGGGCCGGGTGAGGTGGCTCATGCCTGTAATCCCAGCACTTTGGGAGGCCGAGGCAGGTGGATCACGAGGTCAGGAGATCAAGACCAGCCTGGCCAAGATGGTGAAACCCCTTATCTACTTAAAAAAATACAAAAATTAGCTGGGCACGGTGGCAGGCGCCTATAATTCCAGTTACTCGGGAGGCTGAGGCAGGAGAATCGCTTGAACCCAGAAGGTGGAGGTTGCAGTGAGCCGAGATTGCTGCACTCTAGCCTGGGTGACAGAGAAAGACCCCGTCTCAAAAAAAAAAAAAAAAAAAAAAAGAAAGTAAGAGTTCCGCTATATTAAATTTGGCCTAAGGCTGCTGCTGTACCTTGAGTCCCTTAATACTGAACAACAATCCAATTTGGTACGTAAACAAATAGAAAGCTTACGAGTATATTCTTGTAACAAATAGCTGTCTCAGCCATCACAGCTGCCAAGCTTCAGCTAATCATAGGCTGTTAATTGAGCAAATCATGTCCAAATAAGGCAAATACTTGGCTGTAACCAATCAAGCTGTTTCAGTATCTCACTTCCCTTCTCTATCTGTGAATAGTCTCTGCCCACAATGTGGAACGCTCTGAATCTCTTCTGGTTCTGAGTGCTGTCCTGTTCATGAATCATTCTTTGGTCAAAAAACTCTGAAAAATTTAATTTGTCTGAAGTTTTTTTTTTTTTAACAGTTCTCATATTACTAGTAAACAAATTTAACCTGGGCATGGTGGCATGTGCCTATAGCTCCAATTGCTTGGAAGGCTGTGGCAAAAGGCTTGAGCCCAGGAGTGAGGCTGCAGTGAGCTATGATCTATGATCATGCCACTGCAATCCAGCCTGGTGATGGAGCAAGACTCCATCTCTTAAAAAAAAAAAAATAGAGTTTTAGAATAAGAAAACATTGTTTTGTACAAGGAATATTATTTTATTTATGTATTTTTTTTTTTGAGACAGAGTATCACTCTGTCACCCAGACTGCCAGACTGGCTCGGCTCACTGCAACCTCCACCTCCCGGGTCCAAGTAATTCTCCTGTCTCAGCCTCCTGAGTAGCTGGGATTACAGGCGTACACCACCACACCCAGCTAATTTTTGTATTTTTAGTAGAGACAGGGTTTCGCCATGTTGGTCAGGCTGGTCTCAAACTCCTGACCTCGTGATCCGCCTGCCTCAGCTTCCCAAAGTGCTAGGATTACAGGCGTGAGCCACTGTGCCCGGCCTAGGATGTTATTTTTAAATCAGTGAAGTACATACTCTAAAAGACAAAAGTCATAAACATTTATGTGAATATTTATATCCTCTTGGCATGGGTGAGACCATTCAAAGCAAAACACCAAAAGCAGAAAACATAAATGATTAGATTAACAGATCTGAATACATTAAAGGGGTATTATTTTTGTTTTGTTTTGTTTTGTTTTTGAGACCGAGTTTCACTCTTGTTGCCCAGGCTGAGAGTGCAATGGCTCACTCTTGACTCACCTCAGCCTCTGCCTCCCAGGTTCAAGCGATTCTCCTGCCTCAGTCTCCCCAGTAGCTGGGATTATAGGCATGTACCACCACACCTGGCTAATTTTGTATTTTTATTACAGATGGGGGTTTCTCCATGTTGGTCAGGCTGGTCTTGAACTCCCGACCTCAGGTGATCTGCCCGCCTCGGCCTCCCAAAGTGTTAGGATTACAGGCGTGAGCCACTGCGCCCAGCCCATAAAAGTTTAAAGTCACTATATGTCAAAAATATTCCACCATAACCCTAATCTTAACCCTAAACATAATTAAAAACTTAAAAGTGTAGTCCACACACACGCACACACACACACGGAAAAAAATATCAATGTGAAAATGTGTTCAACTTAAAAGTTGTTTTTTTTTTTTAAAGTATAAGTATGTTAAAGAACACAGTTACTGGCTGGGCACGGTTGAGGTAGGTGCATCACTTGAGGTCAGGAGTTCGAGAAGACAGTTACTGAAAGGATACCTTTCTGACCTCTCAGAGTTTTGTCAGTTACAGACTGAGCTTGATTCCCCCCATGTATTACTTTCCTATTCTGTGGTAATTTGCTGTATCAAATTACCACAAATTTAGAGGCTTAAACAACATAAATTTATTATTATTATTATTGAGATGGGGTCTCACTCTGTCCCCTTGGCTGGAATGCAGTGGGACACTAACAACTCACTGCAGCCTCAACCTCCTGGGCTCAGGTGATCCTCCCACCTCAGCCTCCCTGGTAGCTGAGACTACAGGCACATACTACCACACATGGTTAATTTTCATATTTTTTGTAGAGACAGGGTTTCACCATTTTGTGCAGGCTGGTCTCCAAATCCTGAGCTCAAGCAATCCACCTTCCTTGGCCTCTCAAAGTGCTGGGAATTACAGGTGTGAGCCACTACATGCGGCCAAATTTATTATTTAAGAGTTCTGGAGATCAGAAGTACCAAATTGGTGAAGAGGGCTGCATTCCTTCTGGAAACTCTTGAAGAGAATCCCTTTCCTTGCCTTTTCCAGCTTCAGGGGGCTGTCCACATTCCTTGGTTAGTTAGCACATAGATATCTTTGGGGAGGGGGTCATTATGCTGCCTATTGCACCTCAGTTCCACAAAGCTGAGTTATCCCAGAGGTCATGGTACTCAGGAAGTAGGAACCCCAGGGCTAATGGAGGCAGCTACTCAAAAGCAGTTCTTACATCCATAGCTAAGTCATTCTGGGTCCAATTCAGGGATCCATTTAGTGAAAAACAAGAGATACAAAAATTAGCCGGGCATGCTGGTGTGTGCCTGTAATCCCAGCTACTCGGGAGGCTTGAGGCAGGTGAAGCGCTTGAACC
The DNA here is from genome assembly GCF_000001405.40 of Homo sapiens. Taxonomy (NCBI): domain Eukaryota; kingdom Metazoa; phylum Chordata; class Mammalia; order Primates; family Hominidae; genus Homo; species Homo sapiens. The sequence continues at coordinate 49,860,878 of NC_000014.9, forward strand.
CGGGAGGCAGAGGTTGCAGTGAGCAGAGATCGCTCCCCGGAACTCCAGCCTGGGAGACAGAGCAAGACTCTGTCTCAAAAAAAAAAAAAAAAAGATATACCAAAATTATTTTGCTTCTTATTTTAAGGTTGGTGAGAAGGTAAAGTTTTTTTTTTTTTAAAATAGCATCTCTACCTATTTTCATTTTGTAAAAATGCATTCATTTGGAGGTGATTTTTTAATTCTTGAAAAGTTGTCCTGAAGAACCGGAATCAGACCTATTCCATGTGGTTGCAGAGGGCAGACCCAGAAGCAGCCATGGGGGAGATACCTGTTTTATTCAAAGAGGATCTTTTCTGACAGTTATCCTTGTTCAAAATGCAATGAACTACCTCAAAAAAAAAAAAGGGAATACAATTAGCTTTATAAAAAATTTAGTACAATGCTTCTTTCCTCTTTCATTTTATAGACAGTGAGGAAAATCTGTGTTTAGTGCTTAGAGTCTTTAAACTCCCAGTAGATTATCAGATTAATGTTAAGACTGATGTGAATGCTTAACCAGTTTCCACTGGCCCTAAAATGCCTGAATTTAACAGTAAGCCCTCCAAAACAGTTATTTCATATAGATGAAATTTCTAATCACAGACCACCAAGAACTTTTGAAAAATTTAAAGGTTGTCTTCTTTCATAGCTTACTCACTTATTTCTGTTTTTAAAATGAAGCATGATTATGAGACATGCTCAAGGACAGCTCAGTGGAGGATGCAGAGGTTTTTGCTCTCATTAACACTGGGTTCAAGACCCAGGCGGCTGGGCGCGTTCTTTAAACTCCCTTTGCTTCAGTTACTTTTCGGCGTCTAGGTGCCGTTCCCTTTTTGGCAATCCGACGGAGAGAGAAGCAAGCGAGGAGACAGGGTGGTGCATTCTGCCACGCTGGCCCCTCACCTCTGTCATCACAGGGCGTTCTGGGTTCCTCTGAGAGGAGTTTTTCCCTTATAAGGAGGCAGTAGTGGGATTCCTCTTCGGAAGATTAGCCCTGCCTGTAGCCAAGTAGAACGAAAGGATTTGTGTGTAAGACTGTTGATTAGCCCGTCTTTGGTCTATAGCATTCTAAAGCAAAAACCTTGACAGGACAGGGGTGAAAGAAGGTGACATCCGTGACAGGAGGTAGGCAGGGAAGCTCAGGTCAGCTCAGTGCAGGGGAATAATGTTGGTAACTGCAAGCAGCATCCTGAACGGCCGCGGGAAGAACTTGGAAATTCTTTAAGAGAACGTACTTTTTGCTCTCTGTGATCCGGCGGCCATTTTTTTCCGACTGTCTGTGGGTAAACGAGCAGCCCCTGTTGGCTCCGAAGGTAATAACAGCTTTTCGCAGAGACGTTTTGAATATGCGCCGGTAGGGGGCAGCGATGAGGCGGTTGCAAATCCCCAAGCATCCCGTCAACTGGTGAGCTTTCGCGCTGAAGGAAACGTAAAACAGTGGATAAATATAAGAGTGGAGAGAGAAAGCCAACTATAAACCTCAGTAACATCTTTCTCTATATATTTTTTCCTTTAGAGGAAGAGAGGACTCGTCTTTAAATGTGCACATTAGTATGTTTCTTAATACGTATGAACCGGAAAGGAGGCAAACTTCTTAACTTCAAAGACACTATTTACTTACAAAGGTACCCTTAATGAGGGAGGGGGGCAAAAGAGACGGGGTCTCGCTATGTTGCTCAGGCTGGAGTGCAGTGGCTATTCACAGGCGCGATCCCACTACTGATCAGCACGGGAGTTTTGACCTGCTCCGTTTCCGACCTGGGCCGGTTCACCCCTCCTTAGGCAACCTGGTGGTCCCCCGCTCCCGGGAGGTCACCATATTGATGCCGAACTTAGTGCGGACACCCGATCGGCATAGCGCACTACAGCCCAGAACTCCTGGGCTCAAGCGATCCTCCCACCTCAGCCTCCCGAGTAGCTGGGACTACAGGCACGCGCCACCGCGCCCGGCGGTCGGAGACGCTGCGAAAAGCTACTAGAAGCTGCAGGGCAGTTACGTCATTGGGGAGCGGGGGGGCCACGCCGGGCGACGTGAGCTTGGACACACCCACACTGGGCGGTCTGGAGGCTACGTTAGTGTGGCGTCATCCGAGCTGGGCAGCCGTTCTGCCTTACAGGGTTGGGACCCCGGAAGCTTATCGGCGCGGTTGCGGCCGCGGCTCCCTGTGTTTTGATCAGAACACCACGTTCCTGCTTAACAGAAATTGGTCAGTATGCGCTTAATGCTCATAGTGTGGCGTCCGGACACGCAGCGAGAGAAAAACGCAATAACCTGGTCCGTCAGCGTTGCTTGCTTCAGCAGGCCTTAAATATGTGCTGCATCTTTTGGGGGACGTTACTTAAGAGGCAAACATCTGGCTCGAAGTCTTCCATTATTTTCAGCAAGCATTTAGGAGGTGACTGCACTATAAGGAGAATAACCCACAGTAGCACAGGTTGGGAGTCTGCACAGTGCCGAGGCCAGCTCAGTCTTCACTATTCGAACGAAGGAAGCCTGGGGCAACTGTTTGTTTTCTCTGCCCTGCGTGTTAGTTGCCCGTTGTTTTTGGAGAAAAAACTAGTATCGGGGTATATTGGTGGAAAAATTTGGATTTGGCAGCTTGAAGCCTTTTTTGCGACAAGCTTAGGTTAGGAAGGGATAGAGGGGAGGAAAGAAAAAATAATTTTCGACCATAGTAGATCTGCGAAAGCAGACCTTCTGTTTGTCCTCTTATCTATAGTCTTTCCCTCACCCCCCACCCCTTGTCTCCTAAAAACCAGTCCAGACTTTCCCCGCCACCTCCGTCCTTGTAGCAGATAACGTTGCTCCTTCCTTCATGGATAAATTGAAGGCCAACAGACAAAAACTTTTCAACTCTTTGCTGCTCTGTCCGCTCTAAATTTATCTTTACACCTTCAGAGAAGAGCACCCTTCTGTTTTCCCCTCCTACCTCAAACCCAGTAGGTCAAAATTCTTCCATCAATCATTTTTACCCATTCTATCTCTCTCTTTCATTTATACAGATTCCAAGCTGCCTTTCTTCTAAAAAAAAAAAAAAAAAAAAAGTAAAAAAACTCCTTTGACCTTGCCTTTCTAAATGAAATCTGTCTGTTGTTTTCATGGCTGCACTTCTTGAAACCATGTTCTACAATTGCTACATTTGCTTCTTAACCTTCTGTCTTCAGTCCATAGCCCACCAATCCACTGAAACTATTCTAGCTAAGGCTACGATACCCAAGCCTCCTAATTGGCAGGTCTAAGGGACCCTTTCTGACATAGGTGATGTAATTTACCACCAATCTCTGTCACTTGTGACTGCTGTTTCCTCCCTGAACGTTTCTTCTCCCTGGTTCTTGTTCACAGCCCCTGATATTTCCTCCCAGGCTCTCTCTTCTGCCCACCCAGCAAATGTTTTTGTTCCTTACAGTTCCCTCCTAAATGTTCTCTGTTCTCTCACCGTGTTCTTCATGAGTGATGTAATAAATTCTCAAGGCTCTCAAATCTGTAGTTCCAATCTGATGCTGTTTCCAGAGCTTCAGATTCACATTTTTAGTTGCCTTCTGGATGTCACCTTGAAATCATTCAAAACTTCAAATTCAGTATTTGCAAACAAAACTGATCATCTTCTCTTCTTCCTCCAAGCTTACCCATTTTTTCTTTTTATCAATATGTTTATTTATTTATTTTTTGAGACAGAGTCTTGCTCCGTTGCCCAGGCTGGAGTGCAGTGGCACGATCTCGGCTCACTGCAACCTCCGCTTCCTGGGTTCAAGTGATTCTCCTGCCTCAGCCTCCTCAGTAGCTGGGATTACAGGTGCCCACCACCGCACCCAGCTAATTTTTGTATTTTCAGTAAAGATGGGGTTTCACAATGTTGGCCAGGCTGGTCTTGAACTCCTGACCTCATGATCCACCTGCCTCGGCCTCCCAAAGTGCTGGGATTACAGGCGTGAGCCACTGTGCCTGGCTCATCAGTATGTTTAGTTGCTCACTTCAGAACTCTCAGAGTCATCCTTGACTACTATTTCATCCATTCAATACCAAATACTTACTTTTTACTTATCCAGTGACAGGCACTGTACTAGGTGGTAGAGATGTGGTGGTGAAGAAAAGAGACAGAGTGGAAGAGACAGACAAAAACTTAGCAAAAAAAATTATAATTTCAAACTGTGATAAGTACCGGTGAAGGAAGCACAGTACTGAGATATGAACAATGGTGGTAGGAAGCAGGTGGGGCACCTGCTTTTGAGAATGTAGTCAGGTAAGCCTCTTTTAGGAGGTATCATTTAAATTAGGGCCTGAAGAATGAGGCATCGGTTAAGGTACATTGAAGCAAACAAGGACTGTCTGTAAACTGAAGTAAACGAACCTCTCTTTAGGAAATTCAGAAGAAAGAAAATTATCTCGAGGAAGTTGGTCAGAAGAAAATGGGCAGATCATGAAATGTTAGTTGTCCCCCAAAGTCGGTTCTCCCCTTTTACAGTGCTAATACATTGCTACTTGGGCACATGAATCCCAGCTAGAGACCACATTGCCTGAATTTCCTTACAACCAAGTGTGGTCAAGTTCTCACTAATGGAATATGAATGAAAGTTGTATGTGTCCTCTGCATCACTTGCTTAAAAAGAAATCGGTTGCCCTCTACTTTGGCCCTCTTGGCCTTTCCAGCGCTAGGTGGCGCCAGTGCAGATCCACTGCAGTGCCCCACCTTTAACCATGCAAATTAGGAAAAATACCTAGGGTCGAGGAAAGAAACCAGTGAATGCAGAAGGGGCAGGATTGGAAAACAAAACAAAACAAAACAAAACAAAAAAAAAAAAACAACCAAACCAAACCAAAATAAAACCAAAACAGCAGAGTCCATGGATGAATTAATGAAGCTGATCCACCCTATAGCCTCCACCACTCCTACCTCTGGACTGTTAGATGAGAAATAAGCTTCCATCTTAATTCAATCACTATATTTTGGGGTCTCTTTATTATTACAGCATACTCTGTACTCTAACTAATAGAGGGAGGTTCCCAGAAGAAAATCCTGGATAAGCAGAACTCAGAGCAGGAACCAAAAGAGCTCCAGGTATCTACAGGGCACCCCAATGGGATGAACCATCCTCAGTATCCTCTAAGAAGAGTCTGATTTTCTAGTTTGAGTTCTGTATTCTTCTACAATCTGTATTTATATGCATACCTATTTTTATTTTTGTTATTTATTTATTTTTTGAGACGAAGTTTCGCTCCGCTTGCCCAAGCCAGAGTGCAATGGTGTGATCTCAGCTCATTGCAACCTCCGCCTCCTGGGTTCAAGTGATTCTCCTGCCTCAGCCTCCAGAGCAGCTGGGATTACAGGCACGTGCCACCATGCCCAGCTAATTTTTTGTATTTTTAGTAGAAACGGGGTTTCACCATGTTAGCCAGGCTGGTCTCGAACTCCTGATCTTAGGTGATCCACCCGCCTCAGCCTCCCAAAGTGCTGGGCTTACAGGCATGAGCCACCACGCCCGGCCATGCATACCTATTTTTATTATAATTATGTTGTAAATAAAACATCTGTGTCTTGCTTTTCTTTCCCACATGTTACTATGTTTTTGGTGGCAGTATAATCTTTTATTATTATTATTATTTGAGACAGAGTCTTGCTCTGTCTCCCAGGGTGGAGTGCAGTAGCGCGTCTCAGCTCACTGCAACCACCACCTTCCCAGTTCAAATGATTCTCCTGCTTTAGCCTCCTGAGTAGCTGGGACTACAGGCAGGCTTCACCACACCCAGCTAATTTTTGTATTTTTAGTAGAGATGGGGGTTTCACCATGTTGGCCAGGCTGGTCTCGAACTCCTGGCCTCAGGTGATCTGCCCGCCTCCCAAAGTGCCGGGATTACAGGTGTGAGCCACTGCTCCCGGCCAGGTGGCCCTATAATCTTTTGATTTGGTGCATCATAATTTATGACTATTTAAATTGAACCACTATCAGTCACACTAATCACTTTACTATTCTATATATTTCACCTTTATTGTTTTATGAATTAGTGATCGGCATAGTATCCAGTGCTAAGTCAGTTATGCACAACCTCGAATCAGCCGTTTGCTTTTTTTTTTTTTTTTTTTTTTTTTGAGACGGAGTCTCGCTCTGTCGCCAAAGCTGTAGTGCAGTGACGCGATCCCAGCTCACTGCAAGCTTCGGCTCCCGGGTTCACGCCATTCTCCTGCCTCAGCCTCTCGAGTAGCTAGCTGGGACTACAGGAGCCCGCCACCACGCCCAGCTTTTTTGTTTGTTTTTTCAGTAGAGACGGGGTTTCACCGTGTTAGCCAGGATGGTCTCGATCTCCTGACCTCGTGTTCCGCCCGCCTCGGCCTCCCAAAGTGCTGGGATTACAGGCGTGAGCCACCGCGCCCGGCCAGCCGTTTGCTTTTTTAACAGTGCAAAAAACAAGGCCGTGTCTGGCTATATGGGGCTTTGCTTGTTCAAAATGTAACCTCTATACGGCCGCGCGCAGTGGCTCACGCCTGTAATCCTAGCACTTTGTAAGGCCCCGGCAGGCGGATCACTTGAGGGCAGGAGTTCGAGGCCAGCCTGGCCAACATGGTGAAACCCCATCTCTACTAAAAATACAAAAATTAGCCTGGCCTGGTGGCGCGCGCCTGTAGTCCCAGTTATTCAGGAGGCTAAGGCAGGAGAATCGCTTGAACCCGGGAAGAGGAGGTTGCAGTAAGCCGAGACGTGCAACTGCATTCCAGTCTGGGCAAGACTCCGTCTCAAAAAAAAAAAAAAAAAAAGTAACCTGTATGAAAGTTAATTTTGTGGCACTGAACATTGGAGTAGATAATAACCTCATCTGAAATGGGATGTCTCAATCTGTCTACAAAAAACTCCATGCCATAGAGCTCAAAAGTTTGTAAATTAGTCCTTTGGAGACGTTAAAGAGCATGGAGTCATACGAAAAGGCTTTCTGCCCTGGTAAGGGAAGAAAGCTTGTGGGCAGGTTGAGTCTGGTCCTTGAGTTCTCAGCTCTCACCAGGGAAGGGGTACCAGACAAAGCTGAGGCTGAACTTGAGCCGCACAGGCCCTGATTGCTGGGCCGTGAGAGAACACCCGAGGAGGGGGCCCAACGCACCTGAAGAAAAGACGACGTGGAGGTCATAAACGACCAAGAGAAAGGGGCGCACCGCGGACACTATCGCCAGCCGGACCCCAGATCAAGAGAAATAGAAGAGGAGCCGGGGTCTCCAAACACTACAGGCTGGGGTCCCAGGGCAAGGGACTGGGCCGCCGGCGGAAGCGTCGGGGAGAGGCGGGACTGTCGGCGGGGTGTGGGAGAGGCGGGGCGTGGGAGAGGCGGGGCGTGGGAGAGGCGGGGCCACCAGCAAGTGGGCGGGCGGGAGGCGGGGCCGCAGTTGGGGTGTGGAAGAGGTGGGGCAGCCAGCAACTGGGAGGGGAGGGAGGCGGGGCCGCCGGCGGGGCGCGGTGAAGAGGCAGGCTGCCAGAGTGCCTGGCCGACAAATTACCCAGCGTGAGCTCGGTCACCTGGGTGTGGCGGTTCAACCCTGAGCTACGTCCTCCCACGGCGCCCGGAGTTTCCCCACCCTTGACACAATGCCTATTCGCAGCTCGCTGCAGCGGAGTCATCTACTGCTGCTGGCAGGATTTTCATTGCGACGGGTTGTTATGTGCATTTCAGGACATACCCCGTGGGTTGTCCCTGATTCAGTTACATTTAATAAACGAGCGGTGGATTAACCGGAATTACAGTTTGACAGAAAACACGTTTTCTTCTCGACAACACCCTGCGTGTAGGAAGAGCCTTTAATATGGTTGATACACAATATTTAATCGATCCAGAAACACATTTCTTGTGACAGGCTTTTAAATATCAGAATAAATCCTAAGAGTGAACAGTTGAAGTTACTTATCCAATGTTACACTGCTAGGCCTATAAATAAACTTGCGGGGTCTATTTTCTCCCATTTGAATATGCTTTGATTTCCATATGACAGTTCTGCCGAAATGTTTTGACATTTTAGATCTTAGTAGAACTCCATTACAACACGACTATTTATTACGTTGATTCTGATCTGACGTGTAATAAATCATGTCCCCAAACCAAAACTCCATACATTAATATCCTGATATTTAACACACTTTATCCAACTATTGATTCTATCTGTTCACACCAATGTGGTAAAAGCTTTATGTTGTATTTAATTTATTCATTTTGAAAATATTTAAAATGCTTCATTTTCATTAGCTAACTTTGAAGAGTGCTTCTTTTGTTTGGGGACTCTGTAGATTTAGGCTAATGTCACCATTCAGAATAATTGGCAAATTGATTTGCCTTTCTTTGACTTTCTATTCTCCAAGCTGATTATACGCTGAGGTTAACACATTTGAACTGGCCGGCCGGTTGGGTGGCTCACGCTTGTAATGCCAGCACTTTGGGAGGCGGAGGTGGGTGGATCACCTGAGGTGAGGAGTTCGAGACCAGCCTGGCCAACATGGTGAAACCCTGTCTCTACTAAAAATACAAAAAATTAACCGGGCGTGGTGGCGGGCGCCTGTAATCGCAGCTACCCGGGAGACAGAGGTTGCAGTGAGCCGCGGTCGCGCCATTGCACTCCAGCCTGGGCAATAAGAGCGAAACTCTGTCTCAAAAACAAATATATATGTGTGTGTATATATATATATATATATATATATATATATATATGTGTGTGTGTGTGTGTGTGTGTATATATATATACATATATATTTGAACGTGCCTAGATTGTGGTAGGAAAACAAATACTTTAAATTGCATACAGCTTTCACTGACTAAGGTAAGAGGATCAGGATAACATTATTTGCCTAAACCATTCATTTACTCATTCAACAAATAAGTATTGAGATCTGCTATGTGCTAGGTGTCCCAGTGTGTCAACTATTAGTTAATATGGGGGAAAAATAATAGTTTTGAGAATAAAAGTGTAAAAAATGAAACAATTTGCTTGACATGATGCAAACAGTTTAATCATATATAGGTTTATGTCTATTCATCTTGGACCTGGAAGAGAGGACATAATTTCTGAGTAGAAGAATGACTGGGTTAATGTCTAATTTTGCATGTCCTCTGGCCCCAGCCATGATTAGTATAAAAATCCTAGGGTTTCCCTAGGTCTAGGGGAAGATATTACTCTCCTCACCACCTCCACATAGAGTAATATCTTCCCCTAGACCTCCTCCCCTTATGAACAAATGGAGGAACATTGAGGCTGTAAATGGCCTTTTGAGGTTCATATGACAGTCTACTTTCACTTCTTTTATTTTAGAGGGGGAAATTTTAAGCTTTCATGGGTGTGGTTTAGACAGTTTTTAAATATTACTTTGTTGAGAGTTTATGATGTGGTGGTTGAACAAATAGCACCATAGGTACTTGCTAGGGGATACATTACACATACAGTATGTCATCACAATTCACATTGTTAATAATTAAAAATATATTCTGTTACACTATGGTTTATGTGTATGATTTTTTTTTTCCTGAGATGGAGTCTCACTCTGTTGCCCAGGCTGGAGTGCCGTGGCACGATCTCGGCTCACTGCAATCTCTGCCTCCTGGGTTCAAGCGATTCTCCTGCCTCAGCCTCCCGAGTAGCTGGGATTACAGACGTGCACCACTACGCCTGGCTAATTTTTTTTTTTTTTTTTGTCAGTAGAGACGGGGTTTCGCTATGTTGGCCAGGCTGGTCTCAAACTCCTAACCTGAAGTGAACCGCCTGCCTCGGCCTCCCAAAGTGCTGGGATTACAGGCGTGAGGCACCGTGACCAGGCAGTTTATGTGTATGATACATTTCTTTTTTGAGATAGAGTTTCACTCTTTTTGCCCAGGCTGGAGTGCAGTGGTGTGATCTTGGCTCAACTCAACCTCCACCTCCTGGGTTCAAGTGATTCTTCTGCCTCAGCCTCCTAAGTAGGTGGGATTACAGGCATGTACCACCACACCCAGCTAATTTTTTTTTTTTTTTTTGTATTTTTAGTAGAGACAGGGTTTCTCCATGTTGGTCAGGCTAGTCTCGAACTCCCAACCTCAGGTGATCCATCCGCCTAGGCCTTTCAAAGTGCTGGGATTACACGTGTGAGCCACCGCGCCCGGCCTATATGTATATTTTATGACCAAAGGAATTCACACTTTTCTCAGTGTTTGCTTTTAGGGCTAATGAACTGGAAAAGCAGTCCAATTTATACAGAGAATACTGAAGGCACAAGCTGCCTGTGTCTGTTCAGCTGAAACCCCTTGCTGACAAGGTTCTAATTCATTTTGTGACACAGCTCATTTTCCAAGGGGGAGTATAGCCTAGGGTGTGGCAAGAAACAAATAAAGGCAAAACCACTACACATTAGTTAGAATATTGTTAAAAGAGACAGTCTATAGTCACTGTGATGTATGGATAAACAATATTGCATATTACAAGAGTATTTGTATAATCAAAACCATTATATACAAATGCTATTATGATTTATCATTATAAAAACAAATATTAATGTTCTTGTACATTATAATAATAATATAAACTAGAAGAGTGATTTATCCCCTTTTGAGCATAAGATTTATTAAAATAGTAGGTCCCTTTGTGCATTCATTCATTCATTCATTAACTCTACATCATTAGTCATTGGGGAAATGCAATCAAAACCACAAGAGATACAATTTCTTACCTACTAGGATCACGAAAATAACAACAGCAAAACAGAAAATAACAAGTGTTGAACTGGGCAGGTGGTGCATGTCTGTAGTCCCAGCTACTCAGGAGGCTGAGATGGGAGGATCTGTTGAGCCGAGGAGTTCCAGGCCGGCCTGGGCAACATAGCAAGACCTCATCTGAAAACAATGAAACAAACAAAAACAACAAAGAAAAGAATAACAAGTGTTGGCAAGGATGTGGAGAAATTAGAACTCTCATACATTGCCAGCGGGAATGTAAAATAGTGCAGCTGCTGTGAAAAACAGTTTGACAGTTCCTCAAAAATGTAAACATACAATCACCATATGATTGAGTGATTCCACTCCTAGGTACAGACCCCACAAAGAACCAAAAGCAGGTACTCAAAGAGATACTCGCATTAATGTTTGTCACAGCACTATTCACAATAGTCAAAAGGTGGAAACAACTCAACTGTCCATCAACAGATGAATAAGTAAACAAAATGTGATGCATATTCATATTCAGCCATAAAAAGGAATAAGGTTCTGACGCATGCTACAACATAAATGAGCCTTGAAAACATGTAAAGTGAAATAAGCCAGACACTGAAGGACAAATAAATCCATTTGTGTGAAATCTGTAGAATAGGCAAATATGTAGAGATAGAAAGTAGACAGAGGTTGGGAATTAGGGTAGGGAATTAGGAATTTTTATCTTATCTTACTTTTCATTTTTTTGAGACAGGGTCCTACTCTGTCACCCAGGCTGGAGGGAAGTGGCTCACTGCAGCATTGAACTCCCCTGGCTCAGGTGATCCTCCCACCTCCAGCCTCCAAGGTAGCTGGGGCTACAGGTGTGCACCACCACACCTGGCTACTTTTTGCATTTTTTTTTTATAGAGATGGTGTTTCACCATGTTTCCCAGGCTGGAGTTATTACTTAATGGGTATAGAATTTCTGTTTGAGGTGTTGAAAAAGTTTTGGAAATAGTAGTGATGGATGTACAATATTGTGAGCGTAATTGATGCTCCTGAATTATACACTTGAAATGGTTGGCCGGGCGAGGTGGCTCACGCCTGTAATGCCAGCACTTTGGGAGGCCGAAGCGGGCGGATCACAAGGTCAGAAGATAGAGACCATCCTGGCTAACATGGTGAAACAACCCTGTCTCTACTAAAAATACAAAAAATTAGCCAGGCCTGGTGGTGGGTACCTGTAGTCCCAGTTACTTGGGAGGCTGAGGCAGGAGAATGGCATGAACCCGGGAGGCGGAGCTTGCAGAGAGCTGAGATCATGCCAATGCACTCCAGCCTGGGCGACAGAGCAAGACTCCGTCTCAAAAAAAAAAAAGAAAAAAGAAAAAAAGAAAAGAAAAGAAAGAAAAACAAAAAAGAAAAAAGAAATTGGTTAAAATGGCAAATTTTATGTTACATACATTTTAACAGTTGGGCATATCTGTGTGGGTTCATTTCTGGGTTCTCTGTTGTGTGTCACTGATCTGCTTATCCCTCCATCAAGATGACAAAGTCTTGATTACTAGCTATGTGATAAATATTAAAATTGGGTAGACTGATTCGTCCCACTTTTCTTTTTGAAAATTGTTTTAGCTATTTTAGTTCCTTTGCATTTCCATATAAATTTTAGAATAATCTTGTCTATATCTACAAAATAAATCTTGCTAGGATTCTGATAGGAATTGCACTAAACCTGGAGGAAATTGACATTTTTTTACCATGCTGAATCTTCCAATCCATGAACATAATGTATCTTCCCATATGTTTGGATATTATTTTATTTCTTTTGTGTTTTGTAGTTTTTGATATATACATTCTGTATATTTCAATTTTTTGAGTGAATACAAATATTGTATTTAAAATTTTAGTGTCCATGTGTTTATTGCCAGTATATAAAATACAGTTGATTATTATTATTATTATTTGTTTTTTTGAGACGTAGTCTCACTCTGTCCCCCAGGCTGGAGTGCAGTGGTACAATATCGGCTCACTGCAACCTCGGCCTCCCAGGTTCAAGTGATTCTCCTGCCTCAGCCTCCTGAGTAGCTGGGATTACAGGTGCCTGCCACCAGACCCGGCTAATTTTTTGTATTTTTAGTAGAGACAGGGTTTCACTATGTTGGCCAGGCTGGTCTCGAATGCCTGACCTCATGATCCACCCACCTCGGCCTCTCAAAGTGCTGGGATATAGGCGTGAGTCACCATGCCTGGCTGAAATACAGTTAATTATTGTGGGAGGTTTGTGTTTTCAGATTTCTTGGGATTTTATATGTAGGAAATAACGTCTTCTATAAGTAGCAAAAGTTTTATTTTTTCCTTCCCAATCTATATGCCTTTTATTAATATTTCACTTTCTAGCCCTAATGCATGGCTAGAACTTTGAGCACCATGTTGAACGAGACCAGTGAGGTTGAACATCTTCCCTTGTTCTGATCTTAGTGAGAGAGCATTCAGTTTTTTACCATTAAGTATGTTAGCTGTAGGGATATTCTTTTCTTTTCTTTCCTCTTTTCTTTTCTTTCTTTCTTTCTTTGGAGGTTAAAAAAAATCAAATTGGGAAAGTTCTTCTCTATTCCTGTTTTTCATAAAATTTTATACCATGAGTAGGTGCTAAATTTTGTCAAATATTTTTTCTGCCTTCATAGAAATGATCAAGTGATTTTCTTTCTTTCTTTCTCTCTCTTTCTTTCTGTCTTTCTCTCTCTCTCTTTTTTTTTTTTTTTTTTTTTTTGACAGAGTCTCACTCTGTCGCCCAGGCTGGAGCACAGTAGTGGCATGATCTCGGCTCACTGCAACCTCTGCCTCCCAGGTTCAAGCACTTCTACTGCCTTAGCCTCTGGAGTAGCTGGGACTACAGGCACGTGTCACCAAGCCCAGCTAATTTTTGTGTTTTTAGTAGAGACAGGGTTTTGCAGTGTTGGCCAGGCTGGTCTCGAACTCCTGACCTCAAGTCATCCGCCCACCTCAGCCTCCCAAAGTGCTGGGATTATAGGCAAATTTTCTTCTTTATCCCATTGATTGATTGGATTACATGATTTCCAAATATTCAAACATTCTTGCATCCCTGAAATAAACTCCATTTCATGGTGGTATATGATTATATTTATACACTGCTAAATTTTATTTGCTAATATTTTGTTAAGATTTTTGTATCTGTATGAATTATTAATATAGATGGCTCACACTTGTAATCCCAGCACTTTGGGAGGTCATTTGAGGTCAGGAGTTCGAAACCAGCCTGGCCAACATAGTGAAACCCCATCTCTACTAAAAATACAAAAATTAGCTGGGAGTGGTGGGGGGTGCCTATAATCCCAGCTACTTGGGAGGCTGAGGCAAGAGAACTGCTTGAACCCAGGAGGCGGAGGTTGCAGGGAGCAGAGATTGTGCCACTGCATTTCAGCCTGGGTGACAGAGCAAGACTCCATCTCAATAAATAAATTAATAATAATAATAATAAAATACAAATACAAAAATTAACCAGGCATGGTGGCACACGCCTGTAGTCCCAGTTCCTCGGGAGGCTAAGGTAGGAGAATTGCTTGAACCTGGGAGGTGGAGGTTGCAGTGAGCAGGATCGCAACAGAGGGAGACTCTGTCTCAAAAAAACAAGAAAAAAGAAATACAGGTCCAGCTGGGCAGGGTGGCTCAAGCCTGTAATCCCAGCACTTTGGGAAGCCGAGGCAGGCAGATCATGAGGGTCAGGAGTTTGAGACCAGCCTGGCCAACATAGCGAAACCCCATCTCTACTAAAAATACAAAAATTAGCTAAGCGTGGTGACGCACGCCTGTAGTACCAGCTACTCGGGAGGCTGAGGCAGGAGAATCGCTTGAACCCGGGAGGCGGAGCTTGTAGTGAGCTGAGATCCCACCACTGCACTCCATTCTGTGCAACAGAGTGAGACTCTGTCTCAAAAAAAAACAAAAAGAAAAGAAAAGAAATATAGGTCTGTAGTTTTATATTCTTTGTGTGTGTGTGCACTTATTTGTACTGAATTATCTGGTTTTAGTATCAACTTCACAAAATAACTGAGAAGTATTCCCTCCTCTTATATATCCTGAAACTATTAAAATGTTGGGTAGCAATCTCCTGGAACATAAAGGTGCATCCTATAACCATCTGGGTCATGAGATTTCTTTTTTGGCAGTTTTAAAATTATAAATTCAATTTCCTTAATGATTACAGGCTACTAGGTTGGGCGCAGTGGCTCACACCTGTAATGCCTGTAATCCCAGCAATTTGGGAGGCGGAGGCAGGAGGATCACATGATGTCAAGAATTTGAGACCAGCCTGGCTAATATGACAAAACCCCGTCTCTACTAAAAATACAAAAATTAGCCGGGTGTGGTGACAGGTGACTGTAATCCCAGCTATTTGGGAGGGTGAGGCACGAGAATCGCTTAAACTCAGGAGGCGAAGGTTGCAGTGAGCCGAGATTGCGTCACTGCACTCCAGCCTGGGTGACAGAGTGAGACTGTGTCTGAAAAAAAGAAAAAAATTAATAATAATAATAGGCTGCTAAAATTATCTATTTTATATTGGGCGAGTTGGGGTACTTTGCGCTTTTGAGAAATTGGTCTTTTCACGTGCATTGTCAAGTGTATGTGTATACAGTTGTTTGTAGCATTCTGTTATTATTTTGATATCTGCAGGGTCTATAGTGATATCTCATGTTTCACTTCTGTTATTGGTAATTTATGTCTTCTTTCTTTTTTTCTTTTTAGTCGTGATAGCAGTTGTTGCTTTAACTGATATTTTCAAAGAACAAGCTCTTTGTCTCATTGATTTTCTCTATTGTTTTTCTCGTCTCGATTTTATTGATTTCTACTCTTATTATTTCTTTCCTTTTATTGCTTTGGATTTATTTTGCTCTTTTTAAAGTAGGTTCTTGAGATGGGAGTTTAGAATATTAGTTTGTGAGTTTTCCTCTTCTAATGTGCGCATTTAGTGCTATAAATTTCTCTCTAAGCAGTACGTTAGCTGTGTCCTTATAATTATGATATACTGTATTTTCTTTTTTTTTTTCATAGAGGTAGGGTCTCACCTTGTCACCCAGGTTGGTCTCAAACTCCTAGCTTCAAGCAATCCTCCTGCCTCAGCCTGATATGTTGTATTTTCATCTTTTTCTTTTTTTTTCTTTTTCTATTTTTTGAGACAAGGTCTTGACCTGTTGCCCAGGCTGGAGTTCAGCGACGTGATCATGGCTGGCTGCCACCTGTCACCCCAGGGCTGAAGTAACCCTCCTGCCTCAGCCTCCTGAGTAGCTGGGACTATAGGCAAGCACCACCAAGCCTGGCTTTTTTTTTTTTTTTAAAGAGATGGGGTCTCACTATGTTGCCCAGGCTGGTCTTGAACTCCTGGGCTCAACAGATCCTCCCGCCTTGGCCTCCCAAAGTTCTGGGATTATAGGCATGAGCCACCGCACCTGGCCTGTATTTCCATTTTCATTTATTTCAATGTATTTTCATTTCCCTGAGACTTACTTTTTGGCCCATGGATTATTCAGAAGCATGTTGTTTATTTTCCAAGTGTTTAGAGACTTCCCTGCTACCTTTCTGTTATTGATTTCTACTTTGAGTCCATTGTAGCTGGAGAACATACTCTGTATCATTTCTTTTTTTTTTTTTTTTTTGAGATGGAGTTTCACTTTTTTTGAGATGGATTTTCGCTCTTGTTGCCCAGGCTGGAGTGCAATGGTGTGATCTCGGCTTACTGCAACATCCGCCTCCTGGGTTCAAGCAATTCTCCTGCCTCAGCCTCCCTAGTAGCTGGGATTACAGGCAGGCAGCTGCCACCACGCCCAGCGAATTTCTTGTATTTTTAGTAGAGACTGGGATTCACTATATTGGCCAGGCTGGTCTTGAATTCCTGACCTCAGGAAATCCACCCGCCTCAGCCTCCCAAAGTGCTGAGATTACAGGTGTGAGCCACCGTGCCCAGCCCCGCTTCAATTCTTTATATATTTATTGAGGTTTGTTTTATAGCCCAGGGTATGGTCTATTTTGGTATATGTTCCATGGGCACTTGATAATAAGATACGTGATATGTTGTCTTTCAGTCCTCAGTTTTTGCTGATATTTATGTTCTTTTATTCTTCTCTGCTTATAATTGTCTTATTTATTTATTTATTTATTTATTTATTTTTGAGATGGAGTTTCGCTCTTGTTGCCCAGGCTGAAGTGCAATGGTGCAATCTCGGCTCACCACAACCTCCGCCTCCTGGGTTCAAGCAATTCTCCTGCCTCAGCCTCCCAAGTAGCTGGGATTACAGGCATGCGCCACCACAACTGGCTAATTTTGTATTTTTAGTAGAGACGGGGTTTCTCCACGTTGGTCAGTCTGGTCTCGAACTCTCGACCTCAGGTGATCCACCCGCCTCGGCCTCCCAAAGTGCTGGGGTTACAGGCATGAGTCACCGCACACAGCCCTTTTCTTTTTTCTTTATGAGCAAGGACTTGAGCAATAATTGTCTTTACTATGCCCTCTACATACATTTAGAACTACATTGGAGAGTTATAACTTTTACTTCAATCATCAAACATAATTTAGAAAACTCAAGAGGAGAAGAAAAATCGATTGCATTTACCCATATTTTTGCTTACCATGTTCTTTCTTGCTTCCTGATGTACCAACATTCCTTTTTCTAAAAAAAATCCTTTCCTTTCTGTTTAGAGAAATTCCAACTTCTTTTAGCTATTTTTTTAAAAATTGTAGAGATGGAGCCAGGTGCAGTGGCTCACGCCTGTAATCCAAGCACTTTGGGAGGCCGAGACGGGTGGATCACCTGAGGTCAGGAGTTCAAGACCAGCCTGGCCAATATGGTGAAACCCCATCTCTACTAAAAATACAAAAATTAGTCGGGCCTGGTGGCGCATGCCTGTAATTCCAGTTACTCAGGAGGCTAAGGCAGGAGAATTGCTTGAACCCAGGAGGTGGAGGCTGCAGTGAGCCGAGATTATGCCACTGCACTCCAGCCTGGGCAACAGAGCAAGACTCTGTCTCAAGAAGAATTTAAAAATTAAAAAAAAATTGTGGAGATGCGGGTCTCACTATGTTGTCTCGGCTGGTCTCAAACTCCTTGCCTCAAATGATCCTCCTGCCTCGGCCTCCCAAAGTGCTGGGATTACAGGTGTGAGTCACTGTGCCCAGCCCTTCTTTATATCTTCTTTATCTCTGCTGAGACTTTCTATTTCTTTGCTGAGACTATTTTTTAATTGTTTCAAGTGTGTTCATAATTGCTAATTAAAGCATTTTTTATGCTGGCTGCAGTAAAAACTTTGTCATATTATTCTAACATCTTTTTCATCTTGATGCTGACATTTATTGTCTTTTTTCATTCAATTTGATATATTGTTATAATGAGTGATTTTTGGTGGTGACCTGAATATTCTGAGTATTATGTTATAAGACTCTGGATGTTATTTATTTTTAATTTAATTAATTAATTTATTTATTTATTTTGAGATGGAATCTCCCTCTGTTGCCCAGGCTGGAGTGCAGTGGCAGGATCTCGGCTCACTAAACCTCTGACTCCCGAGTTCAAGCTATTATCCTGCCTCAGCCTCCCAAGTAGCTGGGATTACAGGTGCATGCCACCACACCCAACTAATTTTTATATTTTTAGCAGAGATAGGGTTTCACCATGTTGGCCAGGCTGGTCTCGACCACCTGACCTCAAGTGATCCACCCGACTTGGCCTCCCAAACTGCTGGGATTGTAGGTGTGAGCCATCCCACCCGGCCTAATTTTAATTTTTAATTAAGATTCCCCATTGTTAAGCAATGAACCTTATTTATTTATTGAGATGGAGTCTCACTGTGTCACCATCTCGGCTCACTTCAACCTCTGCCTCCTGGGGTCAAGTGATCCTCATGCTCATGCCTTAGCCTCCCAAATAGCTGGGATCACAAACCTGTACCACCACACCTGGCTTTTTTCTTTTTCTCTTTTTTTTTTTTTTTTTGAGACAGAGTCTCACTCTGTCGCCCAGGCTGGAGTGCAGTGGCATGATCTCGGCTCACTGCAACCTCTGCCTCCTGGGTTCATGTGATTCTCCCGCCGCAGCCTCTGGAGTAGCTACGACTACAGGTGCACACCACCATGCCCAGCTAATTTTTTGTATTTTTTGTAGAGATGGGGTTTCACCATGTTGGCCAGGCTGGTCTTGAACTCCTGACCTCAGGTGATCTGCAGCGCCTCAGCCTCCCAAAGTGCTGCGATTACAGGTGTGACTCACCCCACCCGGCCACTGCACCCAGCTGGATCTTACTTAAACTTCTGTTTTAGCTGGCCTCCTCTAACACCAGCAAGGAAAGAGGAGCACTACCTTGTTACTGCCAGATGGGGGCAGATGTCCAGGTTCCTCATTTGGCCTCTGTTGACAACCTAGGAGTGGCTCCTTGTTACTACAAGGTGAGGGTGGGAGTACTCGCTCCCCACTAGGCCTCCAGTGATAGCTCCCTGGCTGGAAAGCGTAAGAGTACATTATGCTCCCCATGGGGTTTTCACTGACTCTATACCACAAGGGAGGCTGGTATTGGGGGTGAGGGAGTAAAAGAAAAAAACCTGTTTTCCAGCGGGGCGCAGTGGCTCACGCCTGTAATACTAGCACTTTGGGAGGCCAAGGTGGGTGGATCACCTGAGGTCGGGAGTTTGAGACCAGCCTGGCCAACGTGGCGAAACCTCCGTCTCTACAAAAAATACAAAAAATTAGCCGGGTGTGGTGGCAGTCGCCTATAATCCCAGCTACTAGGCAGGGTGAGGCAGGAGACTCGCTTGAACCTGGGGGGCGGCGGAGGTTGCAGTAAGCCTAGGTGGCACCACTTCACTCCAGCCTGGGCAAAAGAGTGAAACTCTGTCTCAAAAAAAAAAAAAAAAGAAGAAGAAAAAAACTGTTTTCCTGTACACTCATGAAACTTCTGACACCAAATGTGTGGAGTTTTCCCTCACAGTAAGCAATTCTCCAGCTCTCTAGATCCCAGTCGGGTGTACTACAATTATGACAGTAACTACCCAGAATTAGCACAGACCACACAGGTTAAGGGTTCAGTCTCACAAGACTATCCCAGTTCAGAAGTCAGTCTCAAATTCCAAGTTGTGACTTGTACTTCTGACCCACTGGCTATAAATCAGGGGCTCCCATGACTCCCTCCTGGGGCTTGATAATTTGCTGGATGGCTCGAGGAACTCAGGAAAGCACTTTACTTGCAATTACCCGTTTATTATAAAGAATACAATTCAGGAAGAGCCAAATGAAAGAGATGGATTGGGGCCAGGCACAGTGGCTCACGTTTGTAATTCCAGCACTTTGAGAAGTGGTAGTAGGTGGATTGCTTGAGTCCAGGAGTTTGAGACCAGCCTGGGCAACACAGTGAGACTGTCTCAAAAAAAAAAAACAAAAACAAAAACAAAGAAAGAGATACATTGGGCAAGGTATAGGAATGGATGGGCTGTATGAGGGTTCCAGGCCCTTGCTAGAGGTGCCACCCTTCTAGCACCTCAGTGTGTTCACCAACCCAGAACCTCTCCAAACCTTGTCGGTTAGGGATTTTATGGAGGTTCTATTATGTAGGCATGATTAATTAAGTCAGTGGCCATTGGTGACTAAGATCCTCTCCCTTCCCTGGAGTTCAAGGTGTGGGACTGAACATTCTATCCAGGGTTGGTTCCTCTGGCAACTAACCCCTATCCTCTAAGAGTTACCTCATTAGCATAAATTCAGGAATGGTTAAACGGGCTTATTACTGTTAACTTAAAAAAAATCACAAGATTTATAAATTTAGAAGTGGAGACTTTATTTCTTGTAAAGTGTTACAGCCTGCAAGGTGGCCATCCCAGAGGCTGGGAAACGCAGCCTCCAGTAGAGACCTGGAAACAGGCATTTCAAAGGAGGAGGGGCTGGGGTAGGAGCTTTATGCTGAAGGAGTTGGCTAAACATACATATTTAACAGGCTAGAGGAGGAGCTATGAATATTCATGAAGGTGGTCCTGGTGCATGCATGTTGAATAAACATGCATGTTACTTATGAACTATGTTCACCTTGGGGTGGAGACTCAACATTTAAATGTATTACGGTTAGGCCCTATTCATCAGAGGTCTTTTCAGGACACAAAAGGACTTTTAAGCACGCAGTCTACGTAAACTGGCTAGACCCAGTCCTTGGTCAGTGGTCTTCTTATCAGGAGAAAGTTACTGAAATCAATCTCTTGTCCAATCAGAGCTGTAGTTATGGCTTATGGAACAAAGTCAGTTGGTCAGCATGTGGTGGTTGTAAGCTGCAACTGCTTCAACATTGTTTATCTCAAGGCCAGTGCTTATTTAGCTGCTAGAGAAAAAGAAAAACCTTGTGGTGGTTAGGACATAGGTTATTCTTTAAGTGTAGGAGTGCATGGCTTAACACTTGCCTGGCATGGCCTTAGATCCTGTTTATAATTTGTATCTTATTATCATAAAGATAATCTGTTCTGTCAGTCTTTTTTTTTTTTTTTTTTTTTTTGAGATGGAGCTTCGCTCTTTTGCCCAGGCTGGAGTGCAATGGCGCGATCTTGGCTCACCACAACCTCCGCCTCCCAGGTTCAAGTCATTCTCTTGCCTCAGCCTCTTGTGTAGCTGGGATTACAGGCATGTGCCACCACACGTGGCTAATTTTGTATTTTTAGTAGAGACGGGGTTTCTCCATATTGGTCAGGCTGGTCTCGAACTCCCGACCTCAGGTGATCTGCCCGCCTCGGCCTCCCAAAGTGTTGGGATTACAGCCGTGAGCTACTGTGCCCTTCTGTCAGTCTTTTTGAGACAGGGTCTTGCTCTGTTACCCAGGCTGGAGTGCCAGGGCACAATCATGGCTCACTGCAGCCTCGAACTCCAGGCTCAAGTGATCCTCCACCTCACCCTTCCAAGTAGTTGGTACCACGGGTGTGCACCACCATGACCAGCTAATTTTATTTTATTTTACTTTTGTAGATGCGGAGGGTGGGAGGGTGGTCTCCCTGTGGTGTTCAAGTGAAACCCCATTGCAAAATTGGAACTGACGCAGGGAAAGAGATCTGAACCTAACCAACTCCAACTTGCTTCTAATCTCCTATCTGTCCTTGTTCATTCCTGGGCATAGGCCAAAGTAACTTTGGGAGGCACTTAGTTTTTAGTTTATGGTTTAAAGCAAAGATGATAACAGCCCTTTCCCAAAACAAACCCCTTTCTTGCCTGGAGACTAGGCTGCCTTTGTGGGACTAACAAACTAGCCAAAAGATTAAAAATTATGGTTTAGGAGTCATGCAGCTGGAGGCGATAAGATTCTGACCCTTCCCAAATTGCTCCTGGGGCTAACATCACTATTGTAAAGATTCAGATCAGTGCTTGAGATATTTTGCAAACTCTGAACTTGATGGATCAACTGGCACCACCCAGACTGATACATTGACTCATGTGATCTTGTTGCCCCCACCCAGGAACTGACTCAGCGCAAGAGGAAAGCTTCAACTCCCTTCCATTTCGTCTCCTACTTGACCAATCAGCACTCTTGACTCACTGGCTGCCCCCTCACCCACCAAGTTGTCCTTAAAAACTCCGATCCTGGGCTCGGTGGGGTGGCTCACGTCTGTAATCCCAGCACTTTGGGAGGCAGAGGCGGGCGGATCAATTTGAGACCAGCCTGGCCAACATGGCAAAAACCCATCTCTACTAAAAATACAAAAATTAGTCTGGCGTGATGGCACGCCTGTAATCCCAGTTACTCGAGAGGCTGAGGCAGGAGAATCGCTTGCCTCCCTTGCTGGGAGGCTGAGGTTGCAGTGAGATTGCACCACTGCACTCCAGCCTGGGCAACAGAGTGAGACTACCTCTCAAAAAAAACGAAAAACAAAACAACAAAAATCCTACTCTGATCCCTGAATGCTCCGGGAGACTGATTCGAATAACAATAAAACTCTGGTCTCCAGCACAGCTGGCTCTGCATGAATAACTTTCTCTATTGCCATTCCCCTGTCTTGATAAATCGGCTCTGCCTAAACAGTGGGCAAGGTGAACCCATTGGGCAGTTACACAGGCTGGTCTCTAACTCCTGGACTCAAGCAATCCTTCGCCTCGGGCTCTCAAAGTATTGGGATTACAGACATGAGGCTCTGTGCCCAACCTGTTTTGTCAATCTTATGATCTCTATTTTAACATCAATGATGGTCAGTTGTGTCTAAACTGCAACAGGGAGGGGGTACAAAGAGGCATGTCTGACCTCCTATCTCGTTATAGCTGGGAACTCAGTTTTTAAGGTTTCTTTGGGGTCCTCTTGGCCAAGAGGTGGTTCATTCAGTCAGTTGCAGGGCTTAGGATTTCATTTTTAGTTAACGTGATGAATAACAAAAGATGTGCCCCTCACATCTATCAGTCAGGAAATTCCAAGGGTCTCAGAAGTTTTGTGCAAGAAACTGGGACCAAAAATCAAATATAGATCTCTTATTAATATATCACAATATCAGAAGGAAGCAGTGGTGGGAGAGGGAACTGGACTCCTTATAGTGAAAATCCTGACTTTCCAGTAGGCCTCCTCTGATCCACCCCAGCAGGGCAGGGTACGATGCCTCCTACTGCCAAAGGGAAGTAGAAATCCAGGTTCCCCAAGTGATCTCCATTGACACCAAGAATTTAGGTGGGGCTCATTATCACCTGGTGGGGATGGACAACCCTGTTCCCTACTCAACTTGGTGAGGGGACAAGAGATTGGGGCACCTCATTAAGAGCCTGGCAAGTGCGGATGCCTAGGCTCTAAGAAAAGAAAGACAGCTACGAACAGTCTGAGCTCTGTGAGGTATGTAAAACTTATCAGGCCCAGAGACATGAGTATGGGCCTTCAGGCACCTCCCCACTCATGTCTGGGGGCATTTTTTTTTTTGAGTGTCGCTCAGGCTGGAGAGCAGTGGCACAATATCTGTTCACTGCAGCCTCAACTTCCTGGGCTCAAGCAGTCCTCCCACTTTAGCCTCCTGAGGAGCTGGGACTACAGGCATGCGCCACCACACCCAGCTAAATTTTTGTATTTTGTAAAGATGGGGTTTCACCATGTTGCCCAAGTCTCGAACTCCTGAGCTCAACTGAGCCACCACTCCAGGCTGGCGGCAATTGCTCCTGACTAGTATTTTGTTCCGGACTAGCTGCCTCACCCATTGTCTTCATGTTCCTGGAACTTGTGATACAACGAACAATGTATAGCCAATCAATAGCTTCAGTTATTTTAATGTAAATTCTTGGTAAACAATCTAGGAACTGCCTATTTCCTTCAGAAACACACTTGTGGCCGGGCACGGTGGCTCATGCCTGTAATCCCAGCGCTTTGGGAGGCCGAGGTAGGTGGATCGCTGGAGATCCGGAGTTTGAGACCAGTCTGGCCAACATAGTGAAACTCCATCTCAACTAAAAATACAAAAAAAAGTAGCCAGGTGTGGTGGCGCATGCCTGTAGTCTCAGCTACTCGGCAGGCTGAGGCAGGAGGCAGAGGTTGCAGTGGGCCGAGATCCAGCCACTGCACTCCAGCCTGAGCGACAGAGTGAGACTCCGTCTCAGGAAAAAAAAAAAAAAAAAAGAAAAGAAAGAAAGAAAGAGAAACACATTTGTAATGACTGCTAATTAGAGTATATTCAGAGCAACTTGGATCTACACTCCTCGTTTGCAGTCCTCAGACTTGGCCCAAGTACACTCTCTACTTATATTAAGATTGCCTCAGTTTTTTTCCCTTTAGGTTGATAGCTCTCCACCTGGCCTTTATTACCATTGGTGGAAGTGGGGCTACAGATTTTTCTTTGGTGTTTGGCTGACATGGTTATTTTCTAAAAGTTTTCTGCCTTTCTAGGCTTTCTTCTGGTCCTTTGGCTGTCTGTCTTCCTGCACTTTCCTCATCATTTGGCTAAAGAGAGAAGGCTTCTCTTGGAGCTTCTTTCATATTTCAAGGTTTCAACTTCTTAAGTTCCAGGTTTGGAAGATATAAGGACAAAAAAGCAGCAAGAAACTTACCACTAAGTCATTCCTTGGGTTTCCAGGTCGCTAGCCAGCCTGCCTCCTTCTCGCCAGCTGTCAAAGTCTTCTTATGCTTCTTGTATTTGTAATGCCTCGGGTTTTTAGTTGTACTTAGAAAAAGAATTGGAAAAAGTATGCCTACTCTATCTCCCTGGAAGTGAATTCTATTGTATTAATTTTATGCTTACCTTTTGTTTAGGGCAAATGATACTGGCTGAAAAACTCCAGTGACTCTGATTTTTTTTTTCTATTCCCACATTAAGACAACTATTGTTATGGTATGAGGAATACATTAAATTATTCTAAGAGCTCTATAAAGCAATTCAAGCACAGGTCAAAAGGCCAGGTCAGGCTGGGAGTGGTGGCTCACACTTGTAATCCCCCTGTAATCCTAGCAATTTGGGAGGCCAAGGTGGGTGGATTGCTTGAGCTCAGGAGTTCCAGACCAGCCTGGGCAACATGGTGAAACCCCGTCTCTGCAAAAAACACAAAGATTAGCCAGATGTGGCAGCTCACTTCTGTACTCCAAGCTACTTGGGAGGCTAAAGTGGGAGGACCTCTTCAGCTTTTGAGCCTGGGAAGCAGAGGCTGCAGTGAGCCGACTGTGCCACTGCACTCCAGCCGGGATGACACAGCCAGACACTGTCTCAAAAAAAAAAAAAAAAAAATCCAGGACTTCAGTGCTCTTTATAAACTGAATTAGATTTATCAATAGCCCACCCTACCCCTTTAATTCTAATGGTGGTCATATACATATAATTCTCTTGAAGCATTAACATCTATGACTTTGATGCATTTACTTTAAAATTTTGTTTTGCTTGCACATTGCTTTTTCTTGACATGTTTTGTAAAACTATTGCCTTTGTTTATATGTAACAGAAGCCAATTAGAGCCTGCTTTAGCAAAAAGAAAAGTAATGTGGCCGGGCACGGTGGCCCATGCCTGTAATCCTAGCACTTCGGGAGGCAGAGGTGGGTAGATCACCTGAGGGCAGGAATTCAAGACCAACCTGGCCAATATGACAAAAACCCATCTCTACTGAAAATACAAAAATTAGCCGGGCGTGGTGGCACGCGTCTATAGTCCCAGCTATTCGGGAGGCTGAGGCACAAGAATCTCTTGAACCACGAGAATCGCTTGAACCACAAGAATCGCTTGAACCACGGGAGGCGGAAGTTGCAGTGGAGCCAAGATCGCTCCACTGCACTCCAATTGGGCCACAAAGTGAGACTGTCTCAAAAAACAAAACAAAACAAAAAAAAACCCCAAAACTAGGGTGTTTCATGAAACTCAGTGATTGGTACGCAGACAGACCCTAGTAAGGGCCTGGAGTGTCAGGAATAGTCTCTGCTTCATCTCTGCTTTCTCCACACATCTGCTTCTTTCTTTCTCCCTGAAAACTAACCTCTGTCTGCCTCCCAGTACTCAAAACAGGAATATGGCTGTGACACAGTCTCTAGTTAGTAAGATGCATCCTCTGGGAAAAGATGGACTGGCACAGTATTTCTTCAGATCTGATTCTAAATTCTTAGGAATAAAAATCCAGGCTGGGCATGGTGGCTCACACCTGTAATCCCAGCACTTTGGGAGGCCAACGCAGGTGGATCACTGGAGGCCAGGAGTTCGAGACCATCCTGGCTAACATGGTGAAACCCCATCTTTACCAAAATTACAAAAATTAGCCAGGCGTGGTGGCACGTGCCTGTAATCCCACCTACTCGGGAGGTTGAGGCATGAGAATTGCTCGAATCCAGGAGGTGGAGGCTGCAGTGAGCCGAGATTGTGCCATTGCACTCCAGCCTGGGCAACAGAGTAAGACCCTGTCTCAAAAAAAAAAAAATCCAAATAGCCAATTAGGATAATGAGTCTACCTGTGGTCCAGTTGGTATGGCCAGAGATGTACATGCTGAGGAATCCCACAGAAAATCCAGAACTGCTAGGAGTCTACTCCTGTATTTCTGTGGATGGGGGCGGCAGTTTCTAAAGACATCCTAAGAGTGTTAAACACATCCTAAGAGTGTTAAACACATTGAGTAACTTGCTCTACTCCTAGAATCTTTGATATACTGTTAAAGATTTATCCACATCAAAATTGTTATGATGTTCCAGGTCAGCCTTCTAACATAACTATGTAAATACACTGAATTCACGATTTGTTTTTCCTGTAATGTTAAAAAGATATAATAAGCAGCAGAAAGACCCATTTTTACATTTGGAAATGAAACTGCTTCAAAGGCTCTAGACTTTCCTTTTCTGGCATTAATTCAGTTAATGTGGAAAGTCGGCACACAGGGTAGTTGACCTTCATCCCATAGTGAGACAGCGGAGGAACTCTTGCCCTAATTCACCGGAGAGGGGCATAGCCCCCAATGACCCAGGTTTAAGAAACTGTAATGTTACCTCTGAAGCCAGTCTTTTTTTTTTTGAGATGGAGTCTCACTCTGTCGCCCAGGCTGGAGCGGGGTGCAGTGGCGTGATTTCAGCTCACTGCAATCTCCACCTCCTGGGTTCAAGCGATTCTCCTGCCTCAGCCTCCTGTGTAGCTGGGATTACAGGCACGCACCACCACACCCAGCTAATTTTTGTATTTTTAGTAGAGACAGGGTTTCACCATGTTGGCCAGGCTGGTCTGAAACTCCTGACCTCAGGTGATCCACCTGCCATGGCCTCCAAAGTGCTGGGATTACAGGTGTGAGCCACCACACCTGGCCTGAAGCCAGTCTTTAACTCAGCAGGTTATGCTATTTGACTATTATTTGTGGACATATAATCGATTTTATTTTTATTTTTGAGACAGAGTCTCTTTCTAACTCTACTGGAAGATAAATCTTTCTTACTTGAAATGGAAACAAACTCATAAATTGTGTCCGGCTTAATCCTTGTAAAATTGTTGTAACATTTACCTAGGATTTTACAACCATTTCCACACTCATAAATCTTGGTCATTGTGCTCAAAACTGTATCTTAAAGTAGGAGCTACTACAGACAATTATATGCTGATGGTTCAAAGGTTCTGAACAGCATAGAAGCTGCTCCATTGTTTGTTCTTGGTATATATACTATGTGTGTTTATAAAGTAAAATTTAAAAAGAGGATATGGAGCAGGAAATTTCACATGAACCTACCTGGTTATAATTTTCTAAGGAATTTTACCTTTCCAACCTAAATCTGGGTTTTGGATTAAGATATCGTTTACAACACTGCCAAGCTCTACTTTTCAATACAACTCTCTTCTTTTCTTTCCTTCCTTTTCTTCCTTTCTTCTTCTTTTTTTCTCTTCCCCATTCATTTTTTATTAATTCATTTATTCTCTCTTTGAAACAGCACTATGTAGCATCTAAAGTTATTATTATTTTTGAGACGGAGTTTCGCTCTTGTTGCCCAGGGTGGAGTGCAG
Organism: Homo sapiens; assembly: GCF_000001405.40. Classification (NCBI taxonomy): domain Eukaryota; kingdom Metazoa; phylum Chordata; class Mammalia; order Primates; family Hominidae; genus Homo; species Homo sapiens. The sequence continues at coordinate 49,888,959 of NC_000014.9, forward strand.
TGGTGTGATCTCGGCTCACTGCAACCTCCGCCTCCTGGGTTCCAGTGATTCTCCTGCCTCAGCCTCATGAGTAGCTGGGATTACAGGCATGTGCCACCACGCCCAGCTAATTTTGTATTTTTAGGAGAGATGGGGTTCCTGTACGTTGGTCAGGATGGTCTCGAACTCCCGACCTCAGGTGATCTGCCCACCTCGGCCTCCCAAAGTGCTGGGATTAGAGGAGTGAGCCACCACGCCTGGCCTGTTATTATTTTTTGAGATGGAGTCTCGGTCTGTCACCCAGGTTGGAGTGCAATGGCGCGATCTCGGCTCACTGCAAGCTCCGCCTCCCGGGTTCACGACATTCTCCTGCCTCAGCCTCCCGAGTAGCTGGGATTACAGGAGCCTGCAACCACGCCCAGCTAATTTCTTTTTTTTTTTTTTTTGGTATTTTTAGTAGAGATGGGGTTTCACCGTGTTAGCCAGGATGGTCTCGATCTCCTGACTTCGTGATCCGCCCACCTTGGCCTCCCAAAGTGTTGGGATTACAGGCGTGAGCCACCGCACCCGGCTCTGTTTTTATTTATTTATATTTATTTGTTTTTGAGACCTAATTAAAAAATTTTTTTTGGCAGAGATTGGGTCTCGCTATGTTGCCCAGGCTGACCTTGAACTGCTGGCCTCAAGGGATCCTCCTGCCTCAGCCTCATGCATAGCTGGGATTACAGACATGAATCACTATGCCTGGCAGGATTAGCAATTTTTCTAAAGATACACTTTCTTATAACTTTATTTACACTTTATTTCTACTGCTAATAGATTTCCCAGGATTTATCCCTTCTTTAAAATAGTGTTCAATTCTGGGTAAGTCTGACCTAAGGGTTTCAAATGATAAAAGGGATAAAATCATCATCAAACAAGTGCATGGTCAGACCACCTTTGTCATGTGGTCAGAGTCATCCTTGGTACTTGATGGGATAAAAAGAAATACCTGACAGGGTCTTATGAAATGAGCGATTTTTAAGAGTTATAAGAATTCAGAAATTAGGGTAAACAGTGTGTGGTACTATTGTTAGAGAATACATTAATTCCAATTTAAAAACAGAGGGCCGGGCGCGGTGGCTCACGCCTGTGATCCCAGCACTTTGGGAGGCCAAGGCAGGTGGATCACGAGATCAGGAGTTCAAGACCAGCGTGGCCAATATGGTGAAACCCTGTCTCTACTAAAAATACAAAAATTAGCTGGGCTTGGTGGCACATGCCTGTAGTCCCAGCTGCTCAGGAGGCTGAAGCAGGATAATCACGTGAGCCCGGGAGATGGAGGTTGCAGTGGGTCCAGATTGCGCCACTGAACTCCAGCCTGGGCGACCAAGAAAGACTCCGTCTCAAAGAAAAACAACAACAAAAAAAATTAGGTCTAAGCCATTTTTTACAAGTAAACATATTTCTTATGAGATAGATATAGTATTGGCTGGGTACAGTGGCTTAGGCCTGTAATTCCAGCACTTTCGGAGGCTGAAGCAGGAGGACTGCTTGAGTCCAGGAGTTTGAGACCAGCCTGGGTTACAGTGAAGTCCTGTGTCTACAAAAAATAATGATAAATAAATGAATAAAAATTATAGTATTTTATTTATACTGTTTTAGTCAGGAATATCATAAACATAAGTGGTTGTTGAAGAGATTAAAAATTATGAAATGGCATTCTCTAGGGAAGCCTGGTTTGCGTGTAAATTCCAGAAATCTCTTCATTTACAGGCTTTGAGTCAAAAAGTAGAGAAGATTTTTCTATACTTAGCTGTTGGAGCATTCATCTGTTTAAAATTTAAGACATAACCCAGGCCAGGCCTGGTGGCTCACGCTTCTAATCCCAGCGCTTTGGGAGGCCAAGGCCTGCCCATCACTTGAGGCTTGAGGTTGAGTTCGAGACCAGCCTGGCCAATACGGTGAAACCCCGTCTCTACTAAAAATACAAAAATTGGCCCGGCGTGGTGGTGCATGTCTGTAGTCTCAGGTACTCGGGAGGCTGAGGCAGGAGAATTGCTTGAACTGGGAGGCAGAGGTTGCAGTGAGTCGAGACCGAGACCGAGCCACTGCACTTCAACCTGGGCAACACAGCAAGGCTCTGTCTCAAAAACAAAAAACAAAAACACAAAACACAAAAACATAACCCAGGTGTCTAGATAAAAATTAAAAAAGGGCTAGGCGCGGTGGCTCTTGCCTGTAATGCCAGCACTTTGGGAGGCCGAGGCGGGCAGATCACTTGGGGCCAGGAGTTCCAGACCAGTCTGGCCAACATGGCAAAACCTGTCTCTACAAAAAATAGAGAAATTAGTCAGGCGTGGTGGCGCACGCCTTTAGTCCCAGATACTGGTGAGGCTGAGGTGGGAGGATCTCTTGAGCCTAGGAGGCTGAAGCTGCAGTGAGCTGACATCGCACCACTGCACTGCAGCCTTGGTGACAGAGCGAGACCTTGTCCCAAAAATAGAGAGGTGGGGTTGGGGATGACACTTGAACCCCAATCTTCAGACTCCTAAGCTTTTCAGTTTTATGACAGTGCTTCATCTTAAGGTAAATGGAAAGTAAATGAAATAATTGTTAGAATATTAATGTTTAATAAGTTTATTTCCGACTGAAATGACGTTTATAAGGTTATCATATAACCTATCTACCATTATCTAATATTTTAAATTTGTTTAATAAAAACAGTATGTTACCATATGCTGTTTATAGCATCTTGCTTTTTAAACAAAGATACCCATTTCCTGTTTTTCTCCCCTTGATATTTGAAGGTTTCACGTTATTTTAAGTCTAATTTTATCATTAACCATTTGATACAAAAATGTGTCCTTGGCAGGGCGCAGTGGCTCACGCCTGTAATCCCAGCATTTTGGGGGGCCGAGGCGGGTGGATCACCTGAGGTCAGGACTTCGAGACCAGCCTGGCCAACATGGTGAAACCCCGTCTCTACTAAAAATACAAAAATTAGCCGGGCGTGGTGGTGGGCGACCTAATTCCAGCTGCTCCGGAGGCTAAGGCAGAACTGCTTGAACCCAGGATGAGGAGGCTGCAGTGAGCCGAGATTGTGCAACTGGACTCCAGCCTGGGCGACAGAGTGAGACCCCGTCTCAAGAAACAAACAAAAACCAAAAAACCAAAAATGTGCCCTGAAGTCTTCCACATTGTATTATTTAAGCCTCACGTGAGTTAGCAAGGTCAGTTTACACGAGATAAACTTAGTAAGGTTAAGTGCCCAGATCCAGGCCATACAAGCGGTCGTTCTATATTCTAAATTCTATGCTTCTTAAAGTTAAGAATGGGTAGTAGTTAAGAAGCTACTACTAACAGTATGAGATAAAATGATATTTTAAAGATGAACAGATGTCGCATTCTAAAAAGGTGAAAACGCGGCAAGGCACAGGAACTCTTCATAATACTGCAGTTTTTAAGAAACATGGGCTGGTCTTGACGAGACCTATAGGCAGACAGGGCTCAAACATTCAAAAGAGCTGCAGAGTAAACTCAACTCCGGGAAAGCGCTGCACTGACTGGCAGATTCCACACGAGACACTGGCCTCCCACGTGTCTTTCAGGAAACATACAAAATTCAAGGGATAAAGGAAGCCAAGAAGGGGTTGCGAAAAAGGGAAAAAAAAAAAAAACAAAAGCGAACAGAGCTTCCCTGGGACGTTCAGGGAGCGCGGAGGGTGCGGGAAGGCTGGGGCGGGCGGAGGGAATTCGCAGAGCATCTGGCGGGCACCGAGGTCTGGGAACAGGCCTGGAGGCAGCTCGGTTCGTGGAGAGAGCGGGCTGCCCGTGGGCCCCACCCTGTAGGGCCCCCCAGTAGATCTGCTCCCTTGGTTCGGGTGGGCAGGGGAGGGCAGAGCGCAAAAGAGAAAAGCAGGGAAGGAGACGCTAGAAGAGCCACGGGTAGGCGCGAGTCAGAGTCCGAGGTTCGAGGGCTCTGGGCCGGCCGCATCTGCGAGCCCTCCGAGGCGCCGTAGCCCCGCCCCTCCGGCGCGTGGCGCCCATGACGCTAGGCGCGCGGGCCGCTCTCCTTACAGAGGTCGCTCTTGTCCGAACGGTCGGCCTCTGCTGCGCCTGCGTGGTCGGGAGGGGAAGTGAGGCGGTTTCCTCGGCGCCTTTTCCGGCAGCGGCGGCGGCAGAACTGGGAGGAGGAGTTGGAGGCCGGAGGGAGCCCGCGCTCGGGGCGGCGGCTGGAGGTAACCCCTTGGGCCGAGCTGGAAAGGCGGGCCACCTCGGTCTTCGCTCCTTTGTGGAGCTCTGGCAGTAACTCCCCTCCCTCTCTGTTTCTCTGCAGGCAGCGCACCGAGTTCCCGCGAGGATCCATGACCTGACGGGGCCCCGGAGCCGCGCTGCCTCTCGGGTGTCCTGGGTCGGTGGGGAGCCCAGTGCTCGCAGGCCGGCGGGCGGGCCGGAGGGCTGCAGTCTCCCTCGCGGTGAGAGGAAGGCGGAGGAGCGGGAACCGCGGCGGCGCTCGCGCGGCGCCTGCGGGGGGAAGGGCAGTTCCGGGCCGGGCCGCGCCTCAGCAGGGCGGCGGCTCCCAGCGCAGTCTCAGGGCCCGGGTGGCGGCGGCGACTGGAGAAATCAAGTTGTGCGGTCGGTGATGCCCGAGTGAGCGGGGGGCCTGGGCCTCTGCCCTTAGGAGGCAACTCCCACGCAGGCCGCAAAGGCGCTCTCGCGGCCGAGAGGCTTCGTTTCGGTTTCGCGGCGGCGGCGGCGTTGTTGGCTGAGGGGACCCGGGACACCTGAATGCCCCCGGCCCCGGCTCCTCCGACGCGATGGGGAAGGTGCTATCCAAAATCTTCGGGAACAAGGAAATGCGGATCCTCATGTTGGGCCTGGACGCGGCCGGCAAGACAACAATCCTGTACAAGTTGAAGCTGGGCCAGTCGGTGACCACCATTCCCACTGTGGGTTTCAACGTGGAGACGGTGACTTACAAAAATGTCAAGTTCAACGTATGGGATGTGGGCGGCCAGGACAAGATCCGGCCGCTCTGGCGGCATTACTACACTGGGACCCAAGGTCTCATCTTCGTAGTGGACTGCGCCGACCGCGACCGCATCGATGAGGCTCGCCAGGAGCTGCACCGCATTATCAATGACCGGGAGATGAGGGACGCCATAATCCTCATCTTCGCCAACAAGCAGGACCTGCCCGATGCCATGAAACCCCACGAGATCCAGGAGAAACTGGGCCTGACCCGGATTCGGGACAGGAACTGGTATGTGCAGCCCTCCTGTGCCACCTCAGGGGACGGACTCTATGAGGGGCTCACATGGTTAACCTCTAACTACAAATCTTAATGAGCATTCTCCACCCATCCCCTGGAAGGAGAGAAATCAAAAACCCATTCATAGGATTATCGCCACCATCACCTCTTTCAATTGCCACTTTCTCTTCTTTTGAATTTGAACTCTGGAGTTACTGTTCTACAGTTTGGCGGGGACGGGGCTTGGGGGTTTTCTCTTTTGTTTGTTTCCCTTTCTTTTTCCTTTTTTTTTTTTTTTTTTTTTTGTTGGCTTTGCGTTAGGATGCTCTGATCTGACATTTGACATGAACACAAAGTTGCTAGATGCTCTTGTTGACTTCCAGCAGATGGGATGGGGGAAACACAGCAGTTCTTGGTAAAGTCCTTTGTAATAATAGTTTGATTTTTTTATTTCGAGAGAATCTTTCATTTTCCTATGTATGCTTTTTTCCTTTTTTGCCCAGTTTCCTTATCACTTGCTGTAGATGGCTTATTTTGCATTCATGCAGACTATGTTGCAAGTCTGTTTCATCTAGTAAACTGAAAATTATTGCTTAATCAAACTGCCGTTTGTCTTTTATATTTAAGGCCTTCCCCCCCCTTCCTTATGAGTTCTAACTTAGTAATTTCAAATGTGACCTTTTATATCTAAGACCAGTATAGTAAACTTAGCCCACAGTGGCAAATAATGAGTAATATTGTAATATGTTCCAGTTGCACCTCAGTATGTTAAACAGGTAATGTAAGAAGTTCTCTGAAATGTCAGCAAGTAAGTTCTGAAACACATCATGCATGAGTAGGAATAAAACCCAAGTTCCCCATAACGTAGATAACTTAATGCTGCATAAAAATATGAAAGTGTAACCCATGAAGGACACTTTTTCTTTCCACTGCAAAGTTAGCCACTTTGCTGTTTTTCCTCTTTTTTAAACTTTGAAAATAGACTCTTTCCAGAAATTGGAGCAATAATGGTGTTACCACACACAGATTAAATAATTTGTAGATATTTTAAGTGACTTTTGGGCAAAACTGGAATGTATACTTTTACCTTGTTTCAAACACCTAAGACCAGTAATTTAAAAATTACTAAAAGGTTTACTTTGTTCATTAATAAAACATTTAACAATTCAAATTATATGCACCTTTTACCTAGTTGAAAAAAATACACATTCCTGTTTTCACATTATAGCAACTGATTAAGCTGAAGCTGTAAGTCATTTTTTATAGATGAGTGATCCGCATCTCCATCAATTAGAACACTGGAAAAGATGTTTTATAAAAGAGGTATTTAATTTTGTTTGTAGGATTAACTCATGCAAATAATAAAAAAGATATCCTGTTGGTTCAATAGTACACTGTCTCCTTTAAGGAAGGAAGCGTGATGAATGAATGATGTGTAGACTTGAGGGATGACTATTAAAGGGGACGTAGGATGAAGAGAAAGAACCTACAGATGACAATGAATGTAAACTTATTTTTCTTCATGTGTAAGCAGTGTGCTCGCTGGTGATATCCAGATCCTAACAAGATTACTTGGTTAGCTGGTTAGGACCAGTAACTGGATTGCGACCACTATGATAATATTTTGAACCAAATGTTAATGCTTGATGCAGAATTGTAAAGCAGCATCTGGTTCCTATATAGCCTTAAGGATTAATTTTAGTGATCCTCAAGGAATTAAATAGGGAATTTCAGAAATGTAGACTGCAAAGGCAGTATACAGGAAAAGGTGGAGTGGGTTTTGTTTATGAGGGTGTCTGAAAACTAAAATTGAGCGGGATATCATGGTATAGTTGGACAGTATTGGTCCTTCACACTTTGGCCATATTGTATAATGGAGCTTTTACCAAAGATGTATGAGAAGTGTAAGACTATAAAAAAATGAACTATTCAAAGTAAAACTCTTAACAAACATTTTACTTAAAGCAGATGCAAAAGGGTATTCTCATGTAGGCTCCTGTTGGTGCAGAGGGATTTTTTTGATTTCAGGATACAACTAAAGTACGAAGTTCTCAGTTTCACTTTAGTAGAAAGAGCTCTAGAAATGAGGCTGATAAACACATCTAAGAACACTGGTTGCTTTCTAAAATTTCCAAAGCTCCACCATAAATGTAATTTTTAGTGTTTCAAATGATTGCATTTTAAAGTATATAAATATGGGTTATCCAATATCAATGCTATAGTAACATCCTGAAACAAAACAAGCACAAAGGTATAAATGCCTAAACTGGAGGAAACTTGAAACCCTCATGTTAAATCTTAAATGTAGTATTTCTAACTTGTGAAGACAGATTGGTAGGCAGCCATTTTTTTGTGTCTTAAAATAACTGGGGGCATAGTTAAAATTTTATACATCAAGTGATTGCTATTATTGAATGTTGCAGGTGAGATGTGGTTATTTTTAGTTTATTTGAAATGTTTGACTGGAAAGGGGGGAGGGGGAAGCAAATATTTGAAATTTGGAAAACCCTAAACCTTTTGGTAAGAAATTGTAATTTTCACTTAAAATTTTCTTTAAGGATATAAGAGGTTTATAATTGATGTAGTTAAATTGAACAATAACCATTGGTGACTGGAGCAGGTAATTATAGCCTGCAGAAAAAATTATCTAAGAATTTTAAAAATAAGATCCTGAAGTTGTTTAATTGCATCCATTTCTGTATTTATGTGAATTTATAAACTGCAGTAAGTTTTGAATGAGGTTAATCTTGTTTAATATAAGTAAATGAGTCTGTAGACTGTGATCTCCCCAAACTAAAAAGTACAGTACTTGGAATTGTGTTCTTTATGGTTGTAGTGTTGGTAAAGCACTAATATGCAGAAAATAAAGGAATTACACAGTGCAGTTTCTCACGTTATGTTACTCGCTTGAACTAGATAAGTGGGACGTGTGGTGTGTCGGGCCATGTTATTCTCCAGGGTATATGGTAAAAAGTGACTTAATTTGGAAGTTGCCTGACTTTTGTAAGAAAAAAAAATCAATTTGGTTCTTGTAAATGCTGGCTGTTTGAGGTAATGCGCCCTGTTTTAGTTCCACCAACTTAATCTGATTGTATGATAATTTAGAATACCACAGTTAAACAATTTTTAAAATTTGAGGTCCCATAGCAGTCTTTATTCTGCTGTTTTTTCCAAATTACAACCTTAGCATTTTTAGAAGTAGAGAATTGTGTCTAAAGAATTGGCCTTAAGTCTTAAATTCAGGCCTTAATTCTTTATAGACTTTTGGATTTCAAAGTTTCTTTTAGAGGTCAAATTGTTTGTCCTATCGAAATGGCAAAACTGTATTCATTTAGAAAGTAAAATAGTATCATAGAGGATAAGGTTGGAAGAAAGAAAAGTAAAAGATGAATAACTTGTTGGATAAAAGGGTTTGAAAGACATTCTTGTAAGCCTTTCCTCCTATATCAGCAATTTTTATAGTGTGATTTTAGAATGTCTTCATGTGATCTCTAGTATGATTTAACCCCATGTTAATATTTATTAATATATTTAGTACTGTGGTTAAGATACTGTGACAAAGTATCAATTTTTCAGTGCTAGCAGTAGAAAATATTTTCCCCATGAATGGGTTTTTATGTTTTAATATAAGCTTAGAAGTAGCCATAATCTGAATGGTGATGGAGCTTACAAAATTCCAAAAGTTATTTTCTCAATACCTTGCCCAATATGTATCAGGATTACAAGTAAGGTAAGTTGTATCTTTCCTTATAGGTAAAAACTGTATTTGTAAAACCACATACAGCAATTATAAGAAATTTTTAAGTGATTAGTCACTGAACATAATATATTTGGAGTATAATATTCAATATTATCTAGCCTTTTGCTTTAATTAAATGGTAAGGATTAGTAAAGGTTACAGTATTAGAGAGTTTACAAAAATGGAATGTTGGGAGATGGAGCCATAGAAGAGGCAAAGCAACTTGTTGCTTTGCCAAACAAAAGTTGCCAGACTAGACTAGTGAGCTGAACAGGCAAGGAACACAGAGGTGAGATCAAGGAAGGCAGAACAAGAATGGAGCGGGATTTAGGAATTAAAGCAAATCTGCAATTAAATATAACTGAAGTAATGGTAAATTTCAAGAGAACTAGACTGTAAGAACTAACCTCACATTGTGGGAAAATAAAAATTTTAACCTTTTCCCCCTTTATTTGAAATGTTCTATGACTACTTGAAAGAATTTAAAAATGAAAGTATTTGTCAGTTTTGTCCTTGAATATCTTTCATTTGTTATAGAATACATATTTTGTCCATAGTATTTTGTTTTATAAGTGTGAGGGTAGATTTTTTTATTGAGAGCCTACTAATATGCCTGGCACTGTTGAGGTGCAGGAGATCGACAGTGAAAAAAAAAACAAAAAATCTGTATTCATGGAACTTACCTGGAGGGTTGGGGGCAGAGAACAAAGATCAGATGATAAGTAAAAGTCTGTTAGGTTATATGCTATATATTGTACAATATGTTATGTATGTACACATATTAGGGAATAGGTAGGTGTGTTCGGAGAAGACCTCATTGAGGTGATGTTTGAGCAGATACTTGAGGAAATGTTAATATTGGTATAATTGACATAGTCACAGAAAGATAATAGTACAGTGTAAAGCAGAGGTGGGAAAACTGGCCAAGGGCAAATCTGGCTGCAGCCTGTTTTTTATAGGGACTGTGCTAGAATGGGTGTTACATTTTTAAAGGATTTGTAAAGTTTTTAAGAAAAAACCACGAATATGTGACAGACAATATATGGCCTGAAAAGCCTAAAATGTTTACTATCTGGCTCTTAGGAAAAACATTTAACCTCGAGTGTAAAGCCAATTTTTAAAACATTATCAAAATTTATAGGAAATGGAACAATTGAAAGTGAAAGGCCATTGTTAAATGAATCTAATCAAAATTTTAGGACACAGAGGCTGGGCGCGGTGGCTCACGCCTGTAATCCCAGCACTTTTGGAGGCCAAGGCGGGCGGATCACGAGGTCAGGACATTGAGACCATCCTGGCTAACACTGAAACCCCATCTCTACTAAAAATACAAAAAATTAGCCGGGCGAGGTGGTGTGTGCCTGTAGTCCCAGCTACTCGGGAGGCTGAGGCAGAATGGTGTGAACCTGGGAGGTGGAGCTTGCAGTGAGCCGAGAGCGGGCCACTGCCACTCCAGCCTGGGTGACAGAGCGAGACTCCGTCCCAAAAAAAAAAAAAAAAAAAAAATTAGCGCACAGTGACATAGAATTTCCACATTTTATACATTTAGTGAGCTAAGACTTGTTATTGAGTAGTCTAACCTGGATTTTGTTTTTCTAAATGAGTTTAAATGCGTGAAATCAGTAGTTTCTCAGTTTTGATTTTAACACAGTTGTTTAAAACTGTGTGAGTCACTTCATTTTAAATATTTCTTTTATTTTTGTGGTAGTTTTACTGGTCTTTGGATTTAAGTTAAATGTGATTCTCTGTTACGTGTCCTTTCTTCCAGATAACCTAGATTAGTTTGGTGTAGGTTCAGATAACATCGTTTAACTGTGGCTTTTTTATCCACTCTTTCTGTAATTAAGTCATAAGTCTATTATTTTTATGGAGAAAGTTTGTAAGGGGAAGTGTTTTATTGACGTGGAAACTTATGGTGCATGATATTTGGTTTCCAGTATTATTCCTCTAACCAATATAAACTAGAAAAATTTGCTTCACACATGGATTATTTCTTGCCTAGAGGGTTATATATTAATACTAAATCATACTAAATAATTTCTACAAGTAGGATGAGAAATCTATATTTTAAACTATTTAAACTATTACAAAGTTGTGAAACCTATAACTATTTTAGACTACTACAAAGTAATCTAGCGGAAGTTATGGAAGTAAATTTTATTGAGGACATTTAGAAATGAGCTTTAAAGAAATGAAAACATTTGTAGTTCATAGAAAGACCTATGTGAAACTAGTTATTTATGATTATAAAAGTTGTTTTCCATTACAACTGAATAGCCTGAGAAGGTTATAGCATATGAGAGGGAAAAAAAAACATTGTTGTGGTAGAGCAGAAATTTGGATCTTTGAAGTTGGTTATAATAAGGCAAACCAAAGTGCTTTCTCTGCATGTCTTTATTTTTTATTTTATTTATTTATTTATTTATTTTTGAGGTGGAGTCTCGCTCTTGTAGCCCAGGCTGGAGTGCAGTGGCTCCATCTCAGCTCAGTTCAAGTGATTGTCCCGCTTCAGCCTCCCGTGTAGCTGGGATTACAGGCATGCGCCACCACGCCCAGCTAATTTTGTATTTTTAGTAGCGATGGGGTTTCACCGTGTTGGCTGTTCTCGAACTCCTGAGCTCAGGCAATCCACCCGCCTCGGCCTCCCAAAGTGCTGGGGTTATAGGTGTGAGCCACCGTGCCTGCCCATGTGTTTATTTATTTATTTATTTGAGAAGGAGTCTCGCTCAGTCACCCAGGCTGGAGTGCAGTGGCGCGATCTCGGCTCACTGCAACCTCCGCCTCCCAGGTTCAAGAGATTCTCCTGCCTCAGCCTCCCAAGCAGCTGGGACCACAGGTGCACCACAACACCTGGTTAGTTTTTTTTTTTTGGTTTTGTTTTTTTTTTTTTGTATTTTTAATGGAGATGGAATTTCACCATGTTGGCCAGGCTAGCCTCGAACTCCTGACCTCAGGTGATCCACCCACTTTGGCCTCCCAAAGTCCTGGGATTACAGGTGTGAGCCACCGCGCCCGGCCCACGTGTTTATTTTTAAAAGTTAGTTTTATGAATAAGTCCTAGGTTGGAGTTAGGCCTAAGGAAATCAAACTCAGAAATATTCTAAGAATAGTAAGAGTTAGCATTTACTGAATGTTTGCCATGTGTCAGGCATTGTTCTAAGCATTGAATGGGTATTAATTCTCTAAATCCTCACAGCCACCTTGGGAGATAGGGCTCTCATTTTATAGTTGAAAAAACTGAGGCATACAGAGGTATATGTTAATAAGTAGCAGAGCCTGAATTTGGATTCAGGTAGTCTCTGCTGTACTATGAATGTGACTAAGGTGAACCAGTGCTTACTCATGTTCTTAGTATCTTTTTGGTGTATGTTTTCTTATAAATACCTGGCTTTAAGTAAATTTCCTATAATTTTCTTATTTTATCATCAATAAGATTTATTTATTTATTGAGACGGAGTCTTGCTTTGTCGCCCAGGCTGGAGTGCAGTGGCGCGATCTCGGCTAACTGCAAGCTCCGCCTCCCGGGTTCAGGCCATTCTCCTGCCTCAGCCTCCCGAGTAGCTGGGACTATAGGCGCCCGCCACCGCGCCCGGCTAATTTTTTTGTATTTTCAGTAGAGACGGGGTTTCACCGTGTTAGCCAGTATGGTCTCGATCTCCTGAACTCATGATCCGCCCGCCTCGGCCTCCCAAAGTGCTGGGATTACAGGCGTGAGCCACCGCGCCCGGCCATCAATAAGTTTTGAGTCCCTGTATAATTTCACTCTTGTGTACAGTGGAAAACACAGTATTAGGCACTTAGGGAACTTTTTTTTTCTGTAAAAATCAAATTTGACTGCTTGATAGTGAATTTGACAGATCATTGTGAAAAATAGGAAAAATTAAAATTTTCACTCAGCTGATTATTTGTATACTTATATATAGATTTCTTTTAAGAAAAGTTTTATATGGAATGCTTCATGAATTTGTGTCATCCTTGCACAGGGGCCATGTAATCTCTGTATTGTTCCAATTTTAGTATATGTGCTGCTGAAGTGAGCATCCCAGTTAAATTTCAATTAGATAAACTATTTTTTTAGTACAACTGCATCCCAAGCAATATACTAAAATTATATATTAAATTATATATACTATATATATAAATTATATACTAAAACTTAAATTGAAATTTAACTGGCCATCCTATATTTTACCTACAATCCTATATCTGACTTTGAGTGGTACGAAAGGAGGTAAGATTCAAAACGTCTAAGTTTAAAAAGATATTTAGGAACCCTCAAGAACTCTACCAAGTAGTTTGGATATTGTTTTGTGTGTAATGGGAGCCACTGAATTTTTACATACGTAAATATATATATATACACACATATCTTTCTGTGCATATAGATAGATAGATAGCAGGAGAGAGTCACAGTGTTTAGGAGTATTTAGTAGCTTTGTATAGAATCATGTATCAAGATTATGGATAGAGGTTGGAAGAAAGAAGTCCTTTCAGGAGACTTTGTTGATAATTCAGTTGAGAAAATGAGGGCCAAGTACAGTGTAGAGAAATGAGAAAGAAGTGAGAAAATGAAATAAATTGGTGAAATATGTTACTTGTGGAGGAAGAAAGCGTTAACAATTGTGATCTGAATTCTTTTTTTTTTTGAGACAGAGTCTCGCTCTGTCACCCAGGCTGGAGTGCAATGGCATGATCTCAGCTCACTGCAACCTCTGCCTCCTAGGTTCAAGTGATTCTCCTGCCTCAACCTCCCATGTAGCTGGGACTACGGGCGCCCACCACCATGCCCCGCTAATTTTTGTGTTTTTAGTAGAGATGGGGTTTCACCATGTTGACCAGGCTGGCCTTGAACTCCTGACCTCAGATGACGCGGTCGCCTCAGCCTCCCAAAGTGCCGAGATTACAGGTGTGAGCCACTGTGCCCCGCCTTGATCTGTTTTTTTTTTTGAGATGGAGTTTCACTCTTGTCGCCCAGGCTGGTGTGCAACGGCGCGATCTTGACTCACTGCAACCTCCGCCTCCCAGGTTCAAGCGATTCTCCTGCCTCAGACTCCGGAGTAGCTGTAATTACAGGCGCCTGCCACCACGCCCGGCTATTTTTTTTTTTTTTTTTCTGTTGTATTTTTAGTAGAGACAGGGTTTCACTATGTTGGCCAGGCTGGTCTTGGACTCCTGACCTCGTGATCTGCCCGCTTCGGACTGCCAAAGTGCTGCGATTACAGGTGTCAGCCACTGTGTCCGGCCCGGCGTTGATCTTAATTCTTACATAAAAGATAATGATAACACCATTGGTAGAAATCAGGATATATAGCATACTTCAATGGAGAGACATTGATAATTGGGTAAAGTACTTTGTTTGCAGTGCTGAAAAAGAGTTTGAATCTGTTAGGGATTCTCTCTTTTGTAACTATTCTTAGAGTAGTGCTGCCCGATAGAAACATAATGCAAGCCAAATATGTAATTTAAAATTCTTAGTGCTCACATTTAAAAAATAGAAGTGAATTCAATTTTAATAATGTTTTATTTAACCCAATATATCAAATATTTCAATATGTCAGCAGTATGAAAAAGAATTTTTTTTTTTCTGAGACAGAGTCTCGCTTTGTCGCCCAGGCTGGAGTGCAGTGGCACGATCTCGGCTCACTGCAAGCTCCGCCTCCCGGGTTCACGCCATTCTCCTCCCTCAGCTTCCCGAGTAGCTGGGACTACAGGTCCCTGCCACCACGCCCGGCTAATTTTTTTTTGTATTTTTAGTAGAGACGGGGTTTCACCATGTTAGCCAGGATGGTCTCAATCTCCTGACCTCATTATCTGCCACCTTAGCCTCCCAAAGTGCTGGGATTACAGGCGTGAGCCACCGGGCCCCCCCACTTTTTTTTTTTTTTTGAGACGGAGTCTTGCAACCTCTGCCTCCCGGGTTCAAGTGATTCTCCTGCCTCAGCGTGCCGAACAGCTGGGACTACAGGCACCTGCCACCATGCCCAGCTAATTTTTTTTTTTTTTTTGTATTTTTTAGTAGAGACAGGGTTTTCACCATATTGGCCAGGCTGGTCTCAAACTCCTGACCTCGTGATCCACCTGCCTCAGCCTCCCAAAGTGTGAAATAATTATTAATGATATATTTTACATACTTTTTTTTTTTTTGGAGACTGGGGTCTTGCTATGTTGCCAAGGCTGGCCTCAAGAGATCCTTTCTGCCCTTAGCCTCCCTAGTAACTGGGACTACAGGTGTGTGCCACCATGCTCAGCTCTACATTCTTTATTTCATACCAAATCTTCACAATTCAAATGTGTATTTTACATTTAAAGCACATCTCAATTCAGACTAGCCACATTTCAGTTCTCCATAGCCACATGTGGCTAGTGGCAATCATATTGGACAGCTCATTCTTAGAGGGTGATTTTTTTTCTTTTTTTTCCCATACTGTATCTGCAACTTAAGTAACTATAGTAGGGGATACCAGTTGAGATGATTTAGATGTGATGAATTTTTCTAGGCCAGAGGTTGGCAAACCATGACCTGTAAACAAAATTGGTCCCACTGTTCTGTTTTTGTAAATAAAGTTTTATCAGAACACAGCCACAAGCATTCATTTGTGTATTGTCTATGGCTGCTTTTGCACAACAGCAGAGTTTGTGACAGAGGCCCTATGGCCCACAAAGCCTAGAACATTTATTATTTGGCCCTTTACAGAAAGAATTTGGACCCTAAAGTCAAGTCTCTGGGATAAAACATATACCTTATACTTTTTCTCTTTTTCTTTTTTCTTTTTTTTGAGATAGAGTCTCGCTCTGTTGCTCAGGCTGGAGTGCAGTGGCGTGATCTCGGCTCACTGCAACCTCTGCCTCCTGGGTTCAAGCAATTCTTCTGCCTCAGCCTCCCGATTAGCCGGGATTACAGGTGCATGCCACCACGCCCGGCTGATTTTTGTATTTTTAGTAGAGACAGGATTTCACCATGTTGGCCAGGCTGGTTTCGAACTCCTGACCTCAAGTGATCTGCCAGCCTCGCCCTCCCAAAGTGCTGGGACTACAGGCGTGAGCCACTGCACCCAGCCTACATATTTTATACATTTAAATTAGGTTCCCCAAAGAAATAATATTTGAAATGATTAAAATATTGTATATATATTGATTCATTTATTCACCATTTACTGAAACCCTACTAAGTTCCATGTGCCATACTAGGCTCTATTAGCAAGATAAATCGGATTAATGACAGACCTGTTGCATCACAGCCACCATGTCCTACTGGATTCAATGCTTAAAACACACACACACACGCACACACACAGCAGTTTGTTAGGAGCCTCTCTTCCTCAAGGCTATTGCTTTGAAGTCAACAAGACTTAGGCTTGAGTATACTTACTAGCTGCGGTATCATGGACAAATAACACATGTTTGTGCATCAAGTTTCTTATGTGTGAAATGGAAGATGATACCACCTATTGTGCTGATCTGTTGTGAGAATTACATCTAAAGCCCATAGCATGCTGACAGGCACACAATATTTATTCAATAATAAGTACTGTTATTTAACTCTATACTCCGTTTTCTCATCCTGTAGATATTTTTTCCTCTAACTCCTAAATTACCGTGGAAGAAAATATCCTACAATTCAGAACTGGTGCTGATAAAGTATTAAACCTAAGTTTGCAAATATTAAGGGAAGTTTCATAGTAAATGTAACTATTTTAGTTAAATAGGGATTAAGCTAATCAGCATGATGCCTCCATATTAGAAATTCTGTTAAATTTCACTCCGTGGCTATTTGAATGATAAATACAAATAAATTTTGAGTCTAGTCTCAGCTATATCACTAACTGTTACGATTTTACTGGACAAATATCTAGTTACAGCCACCATAAGCTCACTTTCTACATTTTTGAGACGGGAGACACCATCATTTACATTTGTAATTATAATGTGACTACAATTACTTGGACATTGTCATTCCAAGGGGAGACTCTTAACTATGGGGGAAAAAAAAAGCTAACAGCATTAAGATTACTTCCTTTTTTTTTTCTTTTTTTTTGAGACAGAGTCTCACTCTATTACCCAGGCTGAAGTGCAGTGGTGCCATCTCAGCTCACTGTAACCTCCACCTCCCGGGTTCAAGATATTCTCCTGCCTCAGCCTCCTGAGTAGCTGCGACTACAGGCGTGAGCCAACACGCCAGGCTAATTTTTGTATTTTTAGTACAGATGGGGTTTCACCATGCTGGCCAGTATGGTCTCTATCTCTTGACCTCGTGATCCACCCCCTTGGCCTCCCGAAGTGCTGGGATTACAGGCTAAGCCACTGTGCCCGACCAAGATTACTTCCTTTTCAAATGCATTGTTTCTGCAAGTTTTCCTTACCTCTAGAAAACTGAGTAGCATGTGTTCCTCATTTCATACTCCACCCCCAACCATCAATAACTACAATACCCACCTGAACAATGTTTTGAAAATTAAATGACTCTCTTAAAGTGTTTTTATAAACTTTAACACACATCTCCCTCTGGTATCACACCCTTAACATCTATCATCTTGTCTTTGTCACCAGCTCTCTGGAACACTCCTATTAGCAGCTTCTCTACTGCCTCCGGTCTCTACTGCAAACTAGTTTCTGGCCATTTCACCCAATCTTTCTAACTAAGGAAGGTCCCAATGACTTTTTTTTTTTTTGAGATGGAGTCTCACTCACTCTGCCGCCCAGGCTGGAGTGCAGTGGTGCTATCTTGGCTCACTGCAACCTCTGCCTGCTGGGTTCAAGCGATTCTCCTGCCTCAGCCTCCCGAGTAGCTGGGACTATAGGCATGCACCACAACACCAGCTAATTTTTGTATTTTTAGTGGAATTTTTAGCAGGGTTTCACCATGTTGGCCAGGCTCGTCTCGAACTCCTGACCTCAGGCTATCCGCCCGCCTCTGCATCCTAAAGTGCTGGGATTACAAGTGCCAGGCCAGGTCCCAATGACTTTCTAACGTCAATTCTAAAGAATTCTTTTTGAACTTCAATCTTCTCTCTATAGGATATGTTCTCTCCTCTAATTTGTTCCCTGTCAGGTGCTTGTGCGTGCTCCTGAAGACAAAGCAACATTTTGGAGGGGCGGGGTCTTATTTGAAGTATATGAGGAAGGCGCTTCCTTGCAATGAGTGAGGGAGTTGGCAACTTTTAATAACCCCCAATCATTCTTCTTTATTTACTCAATAGCACCTGAGGGCCTGGTTGAAGAGAAAGGTTTTGAGGTAGGGGATGAGGCACAAGGGGCAAGAAAGCAGAGAGCAAACTCTTGCTGTCTCCCATCCCGTGTTGTTAGGTAGGGGTACATCATATTATTATAGTTAGAGCTATACCTATCTATGTGTTCTTGATGAAGGCATTGTTTGCAAGTTGCTCTTTTTCAACAGCAACATTAGTACCAGGTGATTACTGAACCCTTCACAGTTTGTCTTGCCCTTACTTGGAGAGAGCTAGATGTATCCTGTTTCTGCTGTGCATTTGGCCAACAGTCATGGGCGTGTGAATACGTGCCTTTGGTGTGTTTGTGTTCAATTCTCTTCATTTCTTTTTGTGTCTTGGACTTTGCATTAGGTAAACTCACGAACTTATTCATAAAGAACTCAACTTTTATGGTGTATAAATATTTAAAGAATACGTGAAAAAACAAGATGAAGGACAGGCTTATTTTCAGAGGTTTGTGCATGGTAGCAGAAAACATACATTTTAATGAAGTCATCTTTGTGCCAGTGAGCATTTGACTATTAACTTTTAAGAAGTGGAAAAAAATTCCTGAATTTTTTCGATAACTTTTAGAAAAGTCTTGTAGCATGTTCTGAGTTTGATCCACTGTTCACTGAATTATATGATAGGACTTCAATTTTAAAAGTGTATAAAAGCTTGTAGAAAGATTTGGTTTATTAAAAAGATTATGATGTGAAAAGCTAGCTCTAAAGTATTAAAGCTTTATTTTTCCCCCATTCTGAATTAAAATAGGAAGGGAGAGAGGAAGACGAGTCAGTGTTAAGGCCACGAGGTTGAATCATCTAAGGAAATGAGTCAGTGACTATAAACCATAACTTTCCTTTTTCTGGGGCTTTGACTTGGAGAACTTAATGTTGAATTATTTGAAAAATCTTGCTTGATATCAGTGAATTTAAAATAAGTTTCTTTTTTGTTTTGAGAAACCTTGTAATATTACTTGGATTCATTTATTTTTTATTTTTATTTTTTGTGAGACGGAGTCTCGCTCTGTCTCCAGACTGGAATGCAGTGGTGTGATCTCAGCTCACTGCAACCTCCACCTTCTGGGTTCAAGTAATTCTCCTGCCTCAGCCTTCCGAGTAGCTGGGACTACAGGCGTGTGCCGCCACACCCAGCTAATTTTTGTATTTTTAGTAGAGACAGGGTTTCACCATGTTGGCCAGGATGGTCTCTATCTCTTGACCTCGTGATCCACCCGCCTGGGCCTCCCAACGTGCTGGGATTACAGGCGTGAGCCACCACACCCGGCTGGATTCATGTATTATTTCAACAAATATTCAGTAGAAAAAAGTAGCGGGTATATTCTTCAAACCAAAAGACATGCAGTGATTTGAAAATATGGGTAATGTATCAGTATCTCTGTGTATATATTTAGCTCTAGGTAACCAATAGTGATTCTTAATCTGCTTTTAAAACAAGTTTTTTGAGGTTAATAACTGATGACTCATTATTGGATTTAGGATAAACCTAGAATGCTGGTAGCTATTGACACATCATATTTCTATTTGATATGCTGGAGTTTTTTTCCTAGTCATGAATTATTTCTTAGGAACCCTGAGCCCATAATTGAAATAAATGCATTGTATTTTGGCTTATTTTTGAAACTTTAAAAATCTCAAATGGTGTCAGGCGTGGTGGCTCACACCTGTAATCCCAGCACTTTGGGAGGCCAAGGCGGGTGGATCATGAGGTTAGGAGATCGAGACCATCCTGGCTAACACGGTGAAACCCTGTCTCTACTGAAAATACAAAAAAAAATTAGCCGGGCGTGGTGGCGGGCGCCTGTAGTCCCAGCTACTCAGGAGGCTGAGGCAGGAGAATGGTGTGAACCCTGGAGGCGGAGCTTTCAGTGAGCCGAGATCGCGCCACTGTGCTCCAGCCTGGGCAACAGAGTGAGACTCCGTCTCAAAAAAAAAAAAAAATCTCAAATGTAACTAATGATCAAGTCTGTAGGTAAACATAGATAGGTCTCTCAAGGTAAACGCTGGCATATTATATAAAAAATTCTTGACCTTTTATGATTGATTGCTTGTCTTTATGACTTGGACTCTTTTTATAAGATTGGATTGCATTTTTAATTCTCTCCAACTCATGAGTAATACTTGATTTATGACAGTAAATGCATTTTACACAAGAACCTAATATTTAGAAACTTACTGAAGTATCTTAAATCCTGTTTTTGTCATCAAGACAAACTTGAATTAAAGACTAAAACATTACATTTTTATTTTTTATTTTTTTTGCTTAGTATAATAATATGGTAGTGGTATCTTAGGGGAAATGTTTTAAATAAATACTAATATATCTTTTTCTTTTATTATTTCTTGGGTATCTTGTTGAATACAGTATGGATTTTAGACTAGCATGACAACATTTCTAAATTGCCTTCTGGTCAAGAGTGGTGGTTCACACCTGTAATCCCAGTACTTTGGGAAGCCAAGATGGAAGGATTGCTTGAGGCCAAGAGTTTGAGACCCACCTGGGCAATATAGTGAGACCATGTCTGTTTTTTTTTTCTTTTTTTCAATAGAGATGAGGTTTTGCCATGTTGGCCAGGCTCGTCTCGAACTCCTGAGGCTCAAGTGAACCACCCACCTCGGCCTCCCAAAGCGCTGGGATTACAGGTGTGAGCCACCACACCCAGCTAGACCACATCTCTTTTTAAACAATCAATCAATCAATCAATCAATCAATCAATATGGTTGGCAGGGCTATTGTTTCCATATGCTTAGACATCCTAGACATGTTAATTTTTCTCCTTTCAAACCTATGGTAATTTCTAGGTTCTTTTTCTTGCTGCATGTCCCAATCTAATAAAACCTAAAGTGTTACCCACTGATACACCTCAGGGTCCATGCTGCTTTGCTGAGCATCAAAATAGTGATTTAGGAAATTGTGATTTCTGGATTCTGGATTACAGTGTTAGAAATACCCAAGAAATTAGGATCTGGAAACATCCTATGTATGATGCTATGAAGGCCATTCATTGAATGGAAAAAGGATTGAAGATGGAAGAGAACCTCCTTTCCTCATATAAGCCATATATGATACTTATCTTTTTTTTTTGAGATGGAGTTTCACTCTATCATCCAGGCTGGAGGGCAGTCGCGGGATCTTTGTGGCTCTCTGCAACCTCCGCCTCCTGGGTTCAAGGGATTCTCCTGCCTTAGCCTCCTGAGTACCTTGGATTACAGGTGTGTGCCACCACACTTAGCTGATTTTTGTATTTTTAGTAGAGATGGGGTTTTGCCATGTTTGCCAGGCTGGTCTTGAACTCCTGACCTCAGGTGATCCACCTGCCTCAGCCTTCCAAAGCGCTGGGATTACAGGCATGAGACATTGTGTCCAGCCCTTCCTACCTTTTTTTTTTTTTTTTTTTTTGCAAGCATTTTTAGTTTCCTTTCTGACAGGATTGATTTGGGTAAAGAACATTGAATTTTGAGTCAATAGTCTCAAATAGATAGACCTATGTTTGAATTCCAACCCTGACCTCAATAGCTAAGTGACACTGGAAAATCTATCTCTTTGTCTCAGTTTTCCTGCTAAAAATCGGGATGGTAATGTTCACCCAGCAAGGCTTTATCACAAAAAGTGGTAACTTATGAGAAAGTCCCTATCTGGCATGGTAAGCACTCAAGAGAAATTAGTTCTATTTTCCTTCTTCCCTCTAGTTTAATAATTTAAAAAATTAAATCATGCAGCCATAAAAAAGAATGAAATTATGTCCTTTGCAGCAACAAGGATGCAGTTGGAGGCCATTATCCTAAGCGAATTAACACAGAAACAGAAAACCTAATGCCGCACATTCTTACTTATAAGTGGGAGCTAAACACTGGGTACACACAGACACAAAGATGGGAACAGTAGGCATTGGGGATTCAAAAAGGCAGAAGAGAGGAAGGGGGGCCAGGTTTGAAGAACTACTTGTGTTCACTACTTGGATGATGGGATCATTAGAGGCCTAAACCTCAGCATCATGCAATATACCCATGTAACAAACCTGTGCCCGTACCCTCTGAATCTTGGATAAAAAAATAAAAGCAGGCCAGGAGCGGTGGCTCATCCCTATAATCCCAGCACTTTGGGAGGCTGAGGCGGGCGGATCACTTGAGGTCAGGAGTTCGAGCCCAGCCTGGCCAACATGATGATACCCCATCTCTACTAAAAATACAAAAATTAGCTGGGCACAGTGGTGGGCGCCTGTAGTCCCAGCTACTCGGGAGGCTGAGGCAGGAGAATCACCTGAACCCAGGAGGCCGATGTTGCAGTGAGCCAAGATTGCGCTGCTACACTCCAGCCTGGGTGACAGAGTGAGACTCCATCTCAAAAAAAAAAAAAAAAAAAAAAATATATATATATATATATATATATACACACACACACACACACACACACACACATACACATACACACACATACATATATTCAGTGAAAAAGATATTCTCAAGGTGATAAGAAACCAACTATTTGTTGTATTTTACCTTTTAATAGGTAACAATTGAGAACAGGCATTATTGATTCAAGAATGGTGTTAGTTTTTTTCCTTTAACTACACAAAATGTGTAGTCATCAATTCTTTGACTAAGAGGAAGGAGTGTCAAGAGGGAAGCCTGAAAAAATCTTGAAGTTTAAATGCTTTTGTCTAACTATCTGAGTCACTCCTCAGGGTGGAGTTTCTATGGCATGGCTCCCTGCCAGCATAATTTTGAGCTTTTAAGAGAGAGTAGTTGGGCCAACAAACACAGTAACCAAAATGACTACTCTGACACTGGAACCAGCTTTACATACAAATATTTTCTCTATTATCTCAGAAATAATCATGGAA
Source organism: Homo sapiens (assembly GCF_000001405.40). NCBI lineage: Eukaryota > Metazoa > Chordata > Mammalia > Primates > Hominidae > Homo > Homo sapiens. The sequence goes on from NC_000014.9 coordinate 49,911,983, forward strand.
ATATACAAGCATTTCCTCTTCTGAACCATATTAATTTTCTAAGAATGAATGTATATTCAGCTACAAACATAATTGAAACAATTCCAGAGAACAAACAAGTGTGGGCCACTTACTCCTGGGGATGTGGCTGTTCTGCACAGCTTTGAGATGTAGGAGAAAAAAAGTATGACTTCCTTCTGTTTAATGATTGTTTAAGTGTGCTTTGATTACTGCAGAAAGCCTAAACCTACTTTTTAAAATTCCATGCAAATCTTGTTGAAGTGAATTCCAGTGACTAATATATTTGAGAAACTTTCTTGGAAAAAAGAATTACCAATGATATATTTAAACAACTGGTATTCATAATATAGAAATATAATTAGACTAATGTGTTCAGTATTTCAATGAAGCTTGATGTTCTTGATCATTAAAGACTTACTTTTCGGCCGGGCGTGGTGGCTCGCGCCTGTAATCCCAGCACTTTGGGAGGCCAAGGCGGGCGGATCACGAGGTCGGGAGATGGAGATCATCTTGCCTAAGAGGGTGAAACCCCGTCTCTACTAAAAATACAAAAAATTAGCTGGGCGTGGTGGCGGGCGCCTGTAGTCCCAGCTACTCGGGAGGCTGAGGCAGGAGAATGGCGTGAACCTGGGAGGCGGAGCTCGCAGTGAGCCGAGATAGCGCTACGGAGCGAGATTCTGTCTCCAAAAAAAAAAAAAAAAAAAAAAAAAAAAAAAAAAAAAAAAAAAAAAAAAAAACAAGACAAAAAAAGACTTATTTTTCTTTGTGAGGCCGAGGCAAGCAGATTGCTTGAGCCCAAGAATTCAAGACCAGCTTGGGCAACATAGTGAAACCGCATTTCTACAAAAAAATACAAATTTGCCGGGTATGGTGGTGCACACCTGTACTCCCAGCTACTCGGGAGGCTGAGACAGGAGGATCTCCCAAGCCGAGGTCAAGCCAAGAAAGTGCCACTGCACTCCGGCCTGGGCAACAGGGTGAGACCATATCTCAAAAAAAAAATAGGCCAGGTGCAGTGACTCACACCTGCAATGCCAGCATTTTGGGAGGCTGAGGCAGGCAGATCACTTGAGGTCAGGAGTTTGAGACCAGCCTGGCCAACATGGGGAAACCCCGTCTCTACTAAAAATATAAAAATTAGCCGGGCATGGTGGCGGAGCTGTAATCCCAGCTACTTGGGAGCCTGAGGCACGAGAATCGCTTGAACCTGGGAGGCGGATGTTGCAGTGAGCCGAGATCGCACCACTGCACTCCAGTCTGGGCGACAGAGCAAGACTGTCTCAAAAAAAAAATAATAATAATAAATAATAAATAAAAATAAAAAATAGGCTGGGCGCAGTGCCTCACTCCTGTAATCCCAGCACTTTGGGAGGCCGAGGCGGGCAGATAACCTGAGGTCAGGAATTCAAGACCAGCCTGGCCAACATGGCAAATCCCCGTCTCTAGCTAAAAATGCAAAAATTAGCCCAGTGCGGTGGTGTGCGCCTGTAATCCCAGCTACTCGGAAGGCTGAGGCAGGCTAATTGCTTGAGCCAGGGAGGCGGAGGTTGCAGTGAGCTGAGAGCCTGGGCGACACAGCAACACTCTGTCTCAAATAAATAAATAAGACTTAATTTTATTTATTTATTTTTGAGACTGAGTTTCACTCTCGTTGCCCAGGCTGGAGTGCAACGGCGCAATCTCGGCTCACTGCAACCTCCACCTTCTGGGTTCAAGTGATTCTCCTGCCTCAGCCTCCTTAGTAGCTGGGATTACAGGCCCACGCCACCACGCCCGGCTAATTTTTTGTATTTTTTAATAGAGACTGTAGAGACGGGGTTTCACCATGTTAGCCAGGATGGTCTCGATCTCCTGACTTCGTGATCCACCTGCCTCGGCCTCCTAAAGTGCTGGGATTACAGGTGTGAGCTGAACCACTGTGCCCAGCCTATTTATTTATTTTTAAAATTTATTTTAATTTTTTACATCTGGGAAGTTGTGAAAAACTTTTTTTTTTTTTTTTTTCTGAGATAGAGTCTCACTCTGCCACCAGGCTGAAGTGTAGTGGCACCATCTCGGCTCACTGCAACCTCCGCTTCCCGGGTTTAAGCGATTCTCCTGCCTCAACCTCCCTAGCAGCTGGGACTACAGGCCTGCACCACCATGCCCAGCTAATTTTTTTTTTGTATTTTTAGTAGAGACAGGGTTTCACCATTTTGGCCAGGATGGTCTCGATCTCTAGACTTCATGATCCGCCCGCCTGGTGATCCGCCCGCGTCAGCCTCCCAAATACTTTTTTTTTTTTTTTTTTTTTGAGAGGGAGTTTTGCTCTTGTTGCCTAGGCTGGAGTGCAATGGGGCGATCTCGGCTCACTGCAACCTCCACCTCCCAGGTTCAAGTGATTCTCCTGCCTCAGTCTCCTGAGTATCTGGGATTACAGGCATGAGCCACCATGTCCAGCTGATTTTGTATTTTTAGTAGAGAAGGGGTTTCACCATGTTGGTCAGGCTGGTCTCGAAGTCCTGACCTCAGGTGATCCACCCGCCTCGGCCTCCCAAAGTGCTGGGATTACAGGTGTGAGCCACCACGCCCGGCTAGAAAGATTTATTTTTAATTAGGCCGGTTCAGTGGCTCATGTCTGTAATCCCTTCAGGAGGCCGAGGCAGACGGAACACTTGAGGCCAGGAGTTCGAGATCAGCCTTGCCAACATGGTGAAACCTCATCTCTGCTAAAATAGTCCCAGCTACTCAGGAGGCTGAGGCACGAGAGTTGCTTGAACCC